>NC_000005.10:115564352-115867382 GCF_000001405.40 Homo sapiens
GACCAGCCTGACAAACATGATGAAACCCCATATCTGCTAAAAATACAGAAATTAGCCAGGCATGGTGGTGTGTGCCTATAGTCCCAGCTACTTAGGAAGCTAAGGCAGGAGAATCACTTGAACCCAGGAGGCAGAGGTTGCAGTGAGCTGAGATCACACCACTGCACTCCAGCCTTGTGACAAAGCGAGACTCCATCTCAAAAAAAAAAAAAAAAAAGCTCCCTGATGCCTCCTTAGAAGCCAAGTAGATGCTGGCACCATGCTTGTACAGCCTGCAGAACCATGAGCCAGTTAAACCTCTTTTCTTTATAAATTACTCAGTCTCAGGTATTTCTTTATAGCAATGCAAGAATGGCGTAACATAGAAAGTTGGTACCAGGAGTAAGGCATTGCTATAAAGATACCTGAAAATGTGGAAGTGACTTTGGAACTGGGTAACAGGCAGAGGTTGGAAGAGTTTGGAGGGCTTAGAAGAAGACAGGAAGATGAAGGAAGTTTGGAACTTCCTAGAGACTGGTTAAATGGTTGTGACCAAAATGCTGATAGTGATATGGACAGTGAAATCCAGGCTTATCAGGTCTCAGATGGAAATGAGGAACTTATTGGGAACTGGAGCAAAGGTTACTCTTATGCCTTAGCAAAGAACTTGGCTATATTGTGTCCATGTCCTAGGGATCTGTGGAAATTTGAACTTGAGAACAATAACCTAGGGTATCTGGCAGAAGAAATTTCTAAGAAGCAAAGTATTCAAGATGCTCATGGCTGCTTCAAACAACGTATGCTCAGATGCAGAAGGAAAGAAATAACTTAAAGTTTAAAGTTATATTTAAAGGAGAAGCAGAGTATAAAAGTCTGGAAAATTTGCAGCCTAGCCATGTGGCAGAAAAAGAAAAAGCTTTTTCAGGAGAGGAATTCAAACGCACTATGGAGCAACCACTTGTTAGAGAGATATGCATGATTAAAAAGGAGCCAAATGGCTAATAACTGAGAAAATGGGGAAAAGGCCTTGAAGGCATTTCAGAGATTGCAGAGGCAGCCCCTCCCAACACAGGCCCTGAGGTCTAGAAGGACTGAATAGTTTCCTGGACCAGGGCCAGGATCAGGGCCCTGGTATCCTATACAGCCTTGGGACACTGCTTCCCACATCCTTGCCACTCTGGGTCCAGCCTTGGCTCAAAGGACCCCAGATATAGTTCATGCTGCTGCTTCAGAGGGTGCACGATGTAAGCCTTGGCAGCTTCCATGTGGTGTTAAGCCTGTGGGTACACAGAATGCAAGAGTGAAGGCTTGGCAGCTTCTGCCTAGATTTCAGAGGATGTATGAAAAAGCCTGGTGTCTAGGCAGAAGCCGGCTGTAGGGGCAAAGCCCTCACAGAGAACCTCTACTAGGACAGTGCAGAGGTGAAAGGTAGGGTTGGAGCCCACACACAAAGTCCTCACTGGGGCACTGCTTAGTGAAGCCATGGGAAGGGAGCCACTGTCCCCTAGATCCCAGAATGATAGAGCCACTGGCAGCTAACCCCCTGCACCCAGAAAAGTAGGCACTGAACAACCTGTGAGACCGGCTGTAGGTTCTGAATCCTGAAAAGCCACAGCGTTGGGGCTGCCCAAGGCCTTGGGAGCCCATTTCTTGCACCAGTGTACCTTGTATGTGGGACATGATATCAAAGGAGATTATTTTGGAGCTTTAAGATTTAATGTCTGCCTTGCTGGGTTTCAGACTTCATGGAAACTGAAGCCCCTTTCTTTTGGCCTATTTCTCCCTTTTGGAATGGGGATGTTTACTCAATGCCTGTACTCTCATTGTATATTGGAAATAAATAACTTGGTTTTGATTTTGCAGGCTTATAGGTAGAAGGAACTTGCCTTGTGTCAGATGAGATTTTGGACTTTGGACTTTTGAGTTAATGCTGGAATGAGTTAAGTCTTTAGGGGACTACTGGGAAGGCATGATTGTATTTTGCAATGTGAGAAGGACATGTGATTTGGGGGGCCAGGGGTGGAATGATATAGTTTGAATGTATGTCCCTGTCAAATCTTATTTGAATTGTAATGAAGTTGTAATGAATTGTAATGAGTTGAATTGTAATCCCTAATGTTGAAGGTGGAGCCAAATGGGAGGTATTTGGGTCATGGGGGCAGATCCCTTTTAGCTTGGTGCTATTCTTGCAATTATTAGTGAGTATTCACGAGATCTGGGTAAGTAAGTGGCACCTTTCTGACTGCTCCTGCTCCTGCTTTACCTTCTGCCGTGAGTAAAAGCTCCTTGAGGCTTCCCCAGAAGCTGGGCAGATGCTGGAGCCATGCTTGTACAACCTGCAGAACTATTAGCAAATTAAACCTCTTTTCTTTATGAATTACCCAGTCTCAGGTATTTATTGCAATACAACAATGCCTTACTAGTAATGATCAAAAGCTACAAAATAAACACCATGCTTGGAAGACTTTGACCAAGAATATTAAAATAGCCTCTATTATTAAGCAGCTACTATATGCCAGTATTGTACTTAGTGTTTTACACAATTTAGCTCATCTAAAACTCAGTACATTTGGTTTACCTAGGAGTAATAGAATGTTCAATTAAAAGTGGCTTAAATACTGAATAAATTTAGTGTTTCACATAATTCCATGATGTTATTGGCTCAGTGATGTCAAAAAGGACTCCTTCACTTACCATTTTTCTGCATCTTATCCTCAGTGTGTTCGTGACATCTTCATTTTAGATTACAAGTTGGCTAGAGTAGTCTCAGGTTTCACACGACTATATGTAATGAAAGTAGATTTCTAGCATCTCTTTTTATTAGAGAGGAAATGTTTCTCCTGCTGATTTCTCCCTTCGGACCCCAATGGCCAGGACTATGTCATGTTGTATTCAGGCCCTAGCTGCAAGAGCAACTGGGATCATGAGGATCTGGAATTTTCAGCCATAGTAATTGGAGGTGAGCTCCATTGGCAAGGAGTAAGGAGGGCAGGAGGGGTAACTCTTAGGTAGGAAGCCAACAGCATCATGCACAGGGGCTACCGTTATCCTCATTTTACAAAGGAGAAAACTGAATCTTAGACAGGTTATGTAATTTACCAACAATTACTCAGCTAGAACATGTGGTATTACAATCCAAATGCAGCTCTGTAGAATTCCAATGCCCAAACTCTTTAAGGACTTAGACTCCAAGTCAGATGGACCCAGGTTTACATCTCAACTCTGCCTCTTTTCATTGATGACTTTGATTTTTTATTTGTAAAAAGAAATTATTGTATTATCTATTTCGTTGGAATATGGTGATGATTAAATTCATAATGTATAGGTAGATCTAAAGTCCTGGCACTGATATTACTGTTGTCATCATCATCTATCAGCAGGAGCAACATTATTACCCGACTCCACTGGATGAAATTTCTAGGTTATCTTTCAGAGTCCAGTTGTTCTTTTCCCATCTTTCATAACACCTCGTATATGGAATTTACTTTGTTACTATGTCCATACTCTAACTTGGATTTTGGTTTTCACTCATATAGCTCCTTGAAGGCAGGGACGATGTCTTATTTATTTTTATATCTTCAGCCTGTTGTACAATGAATGATGCATAGTATGTGCTCAATAAAATATTTTGCATGAAGCTGTAGGTGAGGGTAGGAATAGCACTATAGCGCAACAATTGGGAGCTATAAATTCTATTCCCAATATTAGAGGAATCATCACATTCCAGAAAAACATTTGATTACAAATACATTATACAGGAAGGTCTACGATGACAGGCTTAGCATTTAAACAGCTATGTATTTTCTTTTTTTTTTTAGACGGAGTTTCGCTCGTCACCCAGGCTGGAGTGCAATGGCATGATCTTGGCTCACCACAACCTCCACCTCCTGGGTTCAAGCGATTCTCCTGCCTCAGCCTCCCAAGTAGCTGGGATTACAGGCACACACCACCAAGCCCAGCTAATTTTGTATTTTTAGTAGAGACAGGGTTACTCCATGTTGGTCAGGCTGGTCTCGAACTCCCGACCTCATGTGATCCTCCCGCCTCGGCCTCCCAAAGTGCTGGGATTACTGGCGTGAGCCACCACACCTGGCCAACAGCTATATATTAAAAAAAAAAAAAGTTTTTTTTATTCTCCCCAAACTCCAAAATGAAGGGCTACTATTATATAAACCTCTTTCTTTCATTTTAAACCTTGGTGTACTTTCATTCATTAAAATTTATAGTAAGATGTCAACAAATTCTCAGTTCAAAGTAGTTCATTGTCCAAGTCTCCAGAAAAATCCATGGGTATTAAAAACTGAAATACTTTAAAAGTTCAGGAATAACATTTTAAAATTCAGCAATAAAATACTTCTTGGAATAAGAGGAAAATGCTTTCTAGAAACCTTTCAAATAAAACCAAACTTAAAAGAAATGTGCATTTCTTAAATTTGATTTCAAATTCTCGAGTTTCCTTGTGTCTGAGGGTAGGAAACATAACTCCTCAGCACAGGATTAATAGCAGCTGGCTTATAATACTCACCCTGAGAGCAAATAAATACACTGTGGGAAGCAGATACTGTTCTAGCTGAAATAGATATTTCAGTGGCAGTCAAAACAGGGCAGACATATTGATGTCCTCATCTGCTTATCATCCATATCACAATCATAGAATTAACTTTTCTTTTTGCTAATTTATAGGTGGTTAAAGCTTTCTTTGACAGTAAAATTACAATGGATGATTTCTCTTTTTTGTTACTTTGTTTTGTTTCACAACAGGTGTATAGTCATGCTACTGGCAAATAATAAAACTGTCCAATAATTTCTTTCCAACTATGCACACTTAATTTTACTATTTTGCTTCTTTAAAATAATTCTACAAGCCACTATTTTTAAAGTTATATTTTTACATATCAGTCATTCATTAATGAATCTATAATTTCAATAAGAGTTTCTTTAGGAAGAGTGGCTGTATCATAAATAAAATGAAGAAAACATCCAGCATTTGTAGGCTGCTCTGATTTGGGAAAATATTGTGTTTTTAAACTACCAATATACCTCTTATAAATGTCATTCAAACCCAACCTTGTTATGCAGCTAATTTTTTAGAATTTCATTATTTAGATATAAAATTACTGTTACTTGTAGAAAAGTTGGAAAGTACAACAAAACGGAAGGAAAAAAAAATTGTCCACAATCCAACCCTTGTAGATGGCTAATACTAACATTTTAGTTTACTGCCTTCTTGTCTTTTTTCAAAGCATAGGTAATATATACATTCAACTTTTTAAAATGAATTCAAGCCATACTAAATATATTTTTGGTTTCTTGTACTATTACTTAACATTATAGCTGGAATTTTTATGTCAATAAATATTTATTTTAAAAAGTTGAATCACTGAAATGCATTTCAAGATAAGGATTACTGTAATTTAACCAAATCTTCACCTGTGGGCATTTACATCATTTCTAATTTTTGTTATTATGCTAAAAATAATATAAGCACATGTATACAATGCTTTCTTCATATCTCTAATTTTCTGGCTTTGGAAGGGAATTATTAAAATATATATTTTTAAGGTTCTTAATATTTTTAAATTAAAAATGTTTACTATTAACTTTAGAGACATAGCCATAATACAATGTCAAAATGTTTTGCTCAAGTCATAAAGTAAAAACTGTTGGTGCACTAGTGCAAGGCCTGCTTTAAACACTTGGCACACATAACATATACAAAAGCTTGGCATTTTTGTTAAAAGCACCCAGAGATGGCACATCTGTGTTGCCCTTTGGCATAAGATGTCCCTAGATGGAAAGACACAGCAACATAAATATATCAAATCTCCAAGCTAAGCTGTAAATGGAATGCAGCCCTAATAAAAGGATTTTTATAGCAATATAAGCATATTTATATTAATATATAAAATTTATATTTCAGTCATATGCAATAGTAAACAAGCAAGCACAGAAGTAGAAAATTTTGAAAATGAAGAACAATAAGGGTAAACAAGCTTTCTCAGATACTAAAGCATATTATAAAGCTTAGGAAAAAACTCAGATAAAAGAAAAACTGATAAATTCTGCTACTTACAAATACAAAATATCTCCACGGGTAAAAAAATTACCATAAGCAAATCTAAACCCGCACTGTGAAAAATATTTGCAAAACACAGACGGGGGCTAATTTACCCAACATATAAAGAGATCCTATTCTTAGGAGCTCCTATTCATATAATAGTTATATAAAGACTAATAATCCAATAGAAACTTGGGCAAAGGGCATATACAGATATTTCACACAAAAGGGAATACCAACAGCTCTTGAACATATGAAAAGATGTTCAACTTCACATCTTAAAAAACACCAATTAAAACTTTGGTGAGACACTGTTTTTTACCTTTAGATTGGGAAAGTTTGGTGACACACTCTTCTAAGGCTCTGGGAAAACAGGCACTTTCACATAATGCTGCTGGGAATGTAAACTGATGCAACTTTTGTGGAGTATCTGTAGAAATTTCATATCCACATGCTCTTAACCCAGCAAGTTCACTTCTAGGCTTTTATCTTACTGATATATTCATTTATACATGTGCAAAATTTCACACATACATGGTTGCTTGTTACAGGGGCGCTGTAGTATCGAGAGACTGGAAACAATATAAAGGGCCATCCATCAATGGGTACTGGTTAAAATAAGTTATGATACATTGAAACAACTGAGTACTAGGCAGTCAGTAAGAACAAAATGAAGAAGCTCTTCATGCATTGGTATCGGATGACCTCTGAGATAGATGGGGATGGGTAGATTTGTATATATGTACATATGTTATTGATTGTATATGCATAAGGCATCTTGGCAGAACTCATAAGAAGCTTGTAATAGTAAATGGCTTTGAGAATGGAAACAAGGTTGCTGCATTGTACTCTTTGAATTTCGAGGCATTTGAATATATTAACTATTTTTAAAAATTAAATAGAACTGAATTAAATGTTTTAAGTTGAGTAGGCCCTTACAACCACAAGAAATAGCTTGGGTCCTAATGGGGCAGTCCAAAGAAGAATAAAGGAAATATCTCAGCAAAAGGCTAAGAAAATAACCAGGACCTATTGTTCCCCTAAGTCCTCAATTGTTAGGTAGCCTGAATTCTCTAGTCTCCATGCCAACCACGCAGCAGAGCACTAACCAGTGCCAGAATTTCTTTGGCGGTGAAAATCAGGCCTAGAGCTCTCCTCACCTCCTTCTTCTTGTTGCTGGCAACAGAGTAGCTACTATAGCACACACACAGAACTGACCAGTGAATGAATGGCTGGGAGCTTTCCAGTTCTGGGCAAATATAAAACTCAGGGAAACAAAGACAGTATTGGAGTCGCTGGGTCAGTGATTAGAGATCCTTATGTCACCCGCTTCAGAACACCAGCCCTGAGTTTTCTCTCAGCTGTGCACCAGTGACTGGATGCCTGACTGCAGCAGCCACTACGACAAGAAGGAGGCAGTATAGATGAAGCCTACCATAAGATGGAGCTCATCCTTACAGAGATCTTTTCTTTAATTTTTTTTTAAGTTAAAAGCAATAAATGTATTCTTAAGTGGTAGATGGATTGTTCTTTGGCTTTAGGCAAATGTATTAGAGGAAAGTAACACATATGGCCTTGAAGGGGAAAAATAGGGCAACTATCAAGATCTGGATCTAATTGCTTAACTAGTCTCTTAGCAGTCAGCCTTGAATAATAGGCAAGGTCAGGATGAAAGCGACTTCTAAGAATGCCTTACTCCCCCTGTCCTAAGTACTGTATCTCTATTAAATCACTTACTTTCCAGAACACCTCTGAGGTAGTCATTCCTATGATTTCTACTTTACAAATTGAAAGTATAGAAAGGTTAACTAAATTTGACCAAAGTTACCCAACAAATAAATGTACAACTAAAATTGAACCCAAATAATGGGGCTGCACAGGCTGTACTCTAATCAAAACATACGGCATTCAATATCACAGTAGTTTTACATAAAATCTAAGCATTAAACATAATTTTTGCTAGATCTATCCCACCCTGAAACTCACAAATCACAGTGTATGTAAATGTCTGCATTCGTTTCCCTTTGTTAATGTTTCCTATATTGCTGAACAACATCTTTGTTCTGAAACACAGAAAAGATGCACATGATTATATGCATACAGGAGCTAAGCAACACATTTTTCCTGAAATAAACACTAGTCCCACTTATTATGTACCCCATTTTTCCTCCTCCCTCTAAATCAAAGCAGTGTTTCATTTAACATATGTGTCATCTAGTATGAGCAAATAAACTACATAAAGCAAAACAAAACAAGAGTATTTGGCGACCCTTTAAATTATCATGCCAGACATAGTGGACTTCTTGTTCAGAGCTAAAAGACACTGACATCCTCCTCTCTCCCTAGACACAGACAGGGCTTACTAAGAGAGCATCATTTCCATTTCCAAAGGTCATGGAGTTTGTGACAAAATAGTGCTTAGTGATGCTTGTTCAAAAGCTGAAGTGAAGAAAGTACAACAAAAGAAGGGAAGCATTTTAGAATGGGCAGAGACCTTAGTTTTTAGAGCTCAGAAAAAAATCACACAGCTAGAAAATGTTAGAAATCAGCTACTGCAATACTTTGAGTCTTCTGGAGGAAAGTGAAGATTAGAAAAGTTAGCTCCACAGCAGCACAGTGGAATTAGGACGCATAGTTCCTGAGACTCTCTGTCATGAGTTGTGCATACTAGGCAAAGAAGACTAGAATTATGGCAACCTCACCATGAACTTGTTATGGTTTTCTCTTTGTACTACTGGCCTCTCCTAATTTCTCCACCATGAGAAAAGCAGACAGGTACATTGAGAAGCACAATTATGAAGCCTAAGACCCACAAGGCTTTGGAGCCAGACCACTGAATATTTCAATGACTCCATCCTCTACCAGCCTGTGATCTTGGGTATATTACATTTCCAGCATCTGTTTCTTGGCCCAGTATTGGACACTGTATGACTAACCTTGTAGGAATCTGGGGAACACTGGAGATAATGTAAGTTAAGTGCCAAACACAGTAGGTGATAAAAAATGAAACGTATTATTACAAGCATATATTTCTCTACCCATTGACAGTCTTCATCTTTTTTTAGTTCCTCAAATCATTGCACGTGTAGGAAACATCTACAGCACTTAACATGACTACAAGTGAATGCTAATTTAAAAAATAATTATGAACTTTTTCAAACATACAGGAGAGCATGGAAAATAATATACCATCACCAATGTAAGTACCCATTAAAAATACAGAGCTGTCTTGTACGTTTTAAAACTTTATATAAATGTTATCAAATTATCCATATTATTCTATAATTTACTTCTCCCACATATTACATTTTAGAAATTTACCCATATTCACATATGTAGGTTTCCTAGTTATTTTTAATGCCCTATAGTATTGATTTCATGAACCTGCCATAATGTATTCCTGCATCCTCCTACTGATGGACATTTAGATTGTTTCCCATTATTTACCTATTACAAAGAATGCTGCATAGGCATCCTTCTCACTCGTGCTTCTTTGGGTACCTGTGAGAGAGTTTCTTTGGGATACAAATCCAGAGGTAGAATTGCTAGATTCATAAGATATGCCCATCTTCAACATTACTAGTCATTGCTAAATCATGTTTCCAAATCACTGTAGCATTTTATTGTCATCTTTGCTCGAGAGTATTTTTTAGGTTCTTTATTGAGATATATTTTACATACCATAAAATTTACCCATTTCAAGTATACAACTCAACAGTTTTTAGTATATGTGCAGAGTTGTGCAACCAGCACTGCAATCTAATTTTAGAACATTTTAATGTGATAGCATTATTTATAAATACACATAAAATATACAGAAATCTGTAAAGCTTGTTATGTGTCCTGTCCAATATATACATGGAAAACCTCCGGAAGGAGCTAGTTTGTAGAGGTCCCCTACAAATAATAGAAAAAAACAATTTTCTTGATTTAAACCTGTAGTTTGAGTAGGTAGCTGAAAGCAACATTTCTAATTAGATTTGGAAACTGCTTAAATGCAGGTTCCTGTTACTTGCTAATAAAAGCATTTCTAATTATTCACCTCAGAGTGAAAATGACTCAGAACTCACTCTATCTGAAGAGAAATAGAAGTGTGTTAAACTAACTAAAGAAGTGATTTCCCCAGAACAATTCTTGCTCATGACAGAAAGGAAGGCAACTGTGAAGGAGTATAGATGTTGGAGTAAACAGTTGTGAGAGCAGGTTCATTGGCAAAGGAGAAGAGAGAAGAGCAATTGTCTTTCTTTTTTTCCACAAGTTAATTCGTTGAGCTTTTTTTTTTTTTTTTTTTTGAGACAGAGTCTCACTGTATCGCCTAGGCTGGAGTGCAGTGGCCAGATCTAGGCTCACTGCGACCCCTGCTGCCCAGGTTCAAGCAATTCTCCTGCCTCAGTCTCCTGAGTAGCTGGGATTACAAGCACCTGCCACCACGCCTGACTAATTTTTGTATTTTCAGTAGAGATGGGGTTTCACCGTCTTGGCCAGGCTGGTCTTGAACTACTGACCTCGTGATCCACCCACCTTGGCCTCCCAAAGTGCTGGGATTACAGGCATGAGCCACCACACCCAGCCTCATTGAGCTTTTAATCAAATAATTTTCATGCTCTGAGTTATTAATTAATGGCACTTTCAAGTATTACTTACCTCAATCCAAACTTAATATGTTAATTGACAAGAGTATTGCCACATATGACATATATATATATATATATATATATATATATATATATATATATATATATATATATAAGAAAGTTGTCCTTATCCAGCCGTTAAGTGTTCAAAATCTAATAAATTTTTCTACTTGGAATCTCATAAGAAACATCAGGTCCATGGACAACAACATCAGTTCTCTGGTTCATTCCTTCTGGTCATTGGCTTAAGGACATCAACTTCCAGATGCTGTGGTTTCATTTCATCAAGTGCCTGACAGCTTTCTGAAATTTCCTCCTTGCCCTTCAGACCATCCACAGGTGTGGAGGGTACGTCACTTTCTGTGACAGCTTAGCAGATGACCTAAGACCAGGCGGTGTAAGACTGAGAAGAGGAGGAAAGTCACAGAGGCAGCGCAGATTGCTCAGGGCAAACACACGGAATCCCACCTTACCAGCAATGCAGCCATGGCAACAGCTTCTCACTAGCCCTGGGGCCAGCCCCACCACACTCATGGATCAATGGACTTTCTCTACAGTTGGGAATAGCCTGACTCCACAGCATGGCATGTGGTTTCTTTACCTGCACTGAGGTTTTTTACCTGCAAAATGTACAGATAAAGGACCTGAAATCCTTTGCCTGCACTGAAATGATTCTCCTGAATTAGATACTAATATTGAGCCACTCTACACCCTTTGAATACTTGGGCCCCAACTCAGATTTCCTTTGCAACAAGACTGTGAAAACCACTTTGATCTCTTTTTTGCAGGGTCCTTTGCTGGGCAGACAGATGACTCAGTGAAATCTAGTCTATTTATTCGTTACTGGAGAGGAAGTGATTAAGCTTTCCAGGCTGGAACAACATCCACCATCAGGAACTGGGATTGGGCCTTAGGAATGAGCTGTTGCAAATGAGAGGGCCAAGGGAAGTTATTTCTGTTACTAGTGGTGTTACCTTCTATGCAGTGAAGTGGTTTTGACAACCAATGCATTAGGATCTGCAAAATTGAAGGATGAGGGACTGAAGCGGAAAACATCCCTGACTTGTGCTGGAAAGCGTTAACCCCAGCAAACAGCTTGTTGAATTCAAGGCAGAACTTAAGTTAGTCAGGAAAGAAAGGAGCAGAGTAGACTAGTGATACTCTTACTCCCTTCTCCACCCAACCCAAGGGGAATAGTATAACTAAACTCATACAGCCTATTCCCAAATGAGGCAAAATTATCTGGGAGTTGCTAAGCCCCAGAAAAGAGCTAAATTAAACGGATTACACCCTCTGCCCTCCATAATCAAATGAACACAAAGTTGATCCACCATTTTTAAGTGTAAGGAGCAACAAAACTCCACTGAAGGCATCCAGGTCTGAGCCATTCTTCCTCCTAACTGACTTCAAAGCTGGCACTCCTAGACTCCATTTTCCTGCTTTTCTAGTTTATGGCTCAACTTTCTACTTGTTAGAATCATGGCACCATGCTCTTGCATCCTTCATGCCACCAGCTTCCTCCGCACTCATACTCATCATTAACAGCTCACACATCTCTTGCTGATCAAGGGGGCTCCTCTGCTTTTCAGTGCCTGACTGGGGGCTGTACTGCACATGGGAACAAGGCCTGGCATCTTCCTTTGTCTTTGTTTAAAATCTATTCCCTACAAGTTGCGAGGTTTCCAAGGATAGGATTGTGGGTATGTAAAAATGCATATGTGTCCTGCCCGCCAACCCATGCTGCATATTGAATGTGTGTAGGCAACAAAAAATAGTTCTAGTAGCATAGATATGGTAGCTATATGTGAGGCACTAGCTCATTAAATCCTCAAAATGACCTTTCAGGGAGGTATTTATGATCTTTATTTTTAGATGAGGACATTAAAACTCAAAAAAATTAAGTGTCTTTTTAAGAACATCACTTACAGAGGACAGAGGTGGAATTCAAATCCAGGTAGTCTGACTCAGAAACGGTGTTGGAAGATGTTTGGATGCAGGGAGGCTAGGAGGTGTCCACTCAGGGTAGGGGTAGGGAGAATTTTGAAATAATGGAACCAGCTGGGAGTCAGATGGCTCTTTATCATTACTGGGTATCAACAATTTTCAATAATGCAGTGATGAATTATTTTTTCCATATGGGTGGACCACTCCTATCATCTTATTAGGCTGGACACTGTCATGTCTGTATACAGTGTCGGACACTGGAGCAGCCAGGCTACACCTTGGAAGGGAGCTCAACCGAAACACTGAGAATGGAAGAGCAAAAAGATGGAAAGAACCTGGGTTTGTTTTTTTACCTTTTCTTTTTTTTTTTAATTACAAGTTGAGCATCTCTAATATGAAAATCCAAAATCCAAAACACTTCTGGTCCCAAGCATTTTGGATAAGGGATATTCAACTTGTATTGTGGTAAAATATATATAACATAAAATCTATCATTTTAGCCATATTTAAGTGTACAATTCAGTGGTATTAAGTACATTTCGCAATGTTGTGTGTCATCACCATTACCCATTTCCAGAACGTTTTCAACAACCCCAAACAGAAACTCTGTACCCATTAAACAATAGCTCCATATTCCTCCCTGCCCTCAGCCCCTGGTAACCTCTATTCTTTCTGTCTCTGTGAATTTACCTTATATAAGTGGAATCCTATAATATTTGTCCTTTTGTATCTGGCTTATTTTACTTAGCATAATGTTTTCAAGGTTCACCCATGTTATGGTATGTATCAGAATTTCATTCCTTTTTAGAACTGAATAATATTTCAGTATATGACTGGGATTTTAATGACACATTTGAGCCCCTGTACCTTGGCGGACCTCTTGTTAAGTCGGATAATATTTTTTTCTTATGGTTTAGGCCACGTGGCGTGGGGTTTTCCTAACTGATACATGAGGCTCAACTCGGGTTCTCCCCTGTAAAGCTCCAGGGTGGGCAATAAGGCCCACAGAGTACTCAAAATGAAAGCTCCCCAGCATAGTGCAAAATTTCCCATATTTCCTGATATGTGTATGTACCTAGATATGTACATGTGTGTATGGGTGTGTGCACACGCACATATGTACACAACAAACATGACAAAGCCCACACCTTTACCTGTTTTCATCCTCAGTTTAGCTATTTTGTTACAATTGATAATTTCAACATATATAATAATTCAGCACTTAACATTTTTTTTTTTTTTTTTTTTTGAGACGGAGTCTCGCTCTGTCGCCCAGGCTGGAGTGCAGTGGCGGGATCTCGGCTCACTGCAAGCTCCGCCTCCCGGGTTCACGCCATTCTCCTGCCTCAGCCTCCCAAGTAGCTGGGACTACAGGCGCCCGCCACTACGCCCGGCTAATTTTTGTATTTTTAGTAGAGACGGGGTTTCACCGTTTTTAGCCGGGATGGTCTCGATCTCCTGACCTCGTGATCCGCCCGCCTCGGCCTCCCAAAGTGCTGGGATTACAGGCGTGAGCCACCGCGCCCGGCCAACATTTTTCTTTATCATAAAAAAAATATGGAACTCCAAATTGGGTGAGACATTGTGTCTGGTGCTCTATGAAGTACAAATCGATGCTTCATTTCAAAACACTCTTCCACAATCTTCATTGGAGTTGAAAATAAACAAGTTTAGTCAAGAGTAAAGAATAAAAACATTTATTTTAAAAATACCATTTAGCATCAATTGCCCCAAGTTTGGCAGGCATGAAGAGTGGGCAGTTCATGTTTTATTAGTATATAAAATTGGCTTTACAGGAAGCATTATGGCAAAAAAATGAATACTTATTATGAAAACTGAAAAAGAGAAGTGAGTAGTAAGCTACTATCAGAACGTTAAGGCTAAGAAAATGTCACTATGCAATGAAAACCATCTCCTCCTCTAATAAGTACTAACAGAATAGGAGGCTTGACTTACTTGCATGCTCCTCATAGAACGTTTTGGTTCATGGCTATGAAGAGGTAACTGCAAAAAGATGTGTGCAGATCCCGGTACTGGTAGGGGATATACAAGTGGGGAATAAGAAAAAAGAAATTAAGCAAAATGTCTTTACTCAAGGATCTCTATAAAAATTTATTTTTAAGAAAGCCTGAGTAAGCATGTATATTTTTTTCCTGTGACTTTAAGTGTAATGACAGCATTAAAAATAAATTATGCTGTCAATATACAAAAAATATCTTTTCATTATAAGCATATATAAAGCCTTCTGCAACTATTACATATCACTTTATCGAATCCAAACTTTTTTGCTTGTTCCCTTTTGTGGTCCCTAGTTTTTCACATCCTCATAGAGGACAAAAGCCTTTAGAGATCCATCAATTCAACCCTTTCATTTCACAGATAAAGGAGGGTAAATAGTTTGCCCACAGTTACATTCATCCTCAGTGGCAGAAATTGGACTAGAACCAAGTCTCATGATCCCGAAGAGGGCTTTTCTCATTACATGACATGACCCATTCTCCACCCCATCCCTGATCTCAAGTGGACGATGCTCCCTCAATCTCAGATGGGCAGAAGGGCTGTGGAGGAAAGAAACAATCCTGTTTGGGGCCTCTCTGGCTTGTTAGGAGCATGGGGCTCTAGAATAGGAGGTAATAAAATACATCTCCTTCTATCCAAAGTCTTTATAAATAACCTATCACACACACACATGCACACAGTCAGGCTACTTTGAAGACCTAAATGAGAAATACTTCCTGAGAAGAGAATTGTGTGTGACGGAAACTTTTAAAGCTTCCATAAGAGAGGTTTTTGATTTAAAAAGTGAATATCTGGCCACTCACACAGTTATACGCCTTTTAGAAGCTCTGCAAATAAAGCCATAGTTACAAATGATGACTAATATGAAGAGATTTAAGCCCCAGGGGACGTCTGAACACCACTCCACGAAGTCCCTAACTACCACACTATCAAATGGGCTGTGAATCGGTGGTGGGAAATGCCTCCAAATATGCAGATTTCAGCAGAAAATACATTTGACTGGGTTCTTTTAAAAAGTTCCACCATTCTCACATCTATTTCTGATTTTATATGCATCAACGCTTAACATGCTAAATGTTCTATTCTGGCAATTCATATTTCTGGGTGATAGTACCCGAATGCTTATTGCAACATCCATGAGAGGTGCCTCAGGAGGAAGTGTGATCAGATCTCCTGGGGCCATTTTTTTTCTGTGTCCTTTGAGATCAAAATTCAGAGAATAAAAGTGTTGTCACATTTTTAAAAATGTCTGTCATACAAGTTTTTGTTCAAGGTTCAATACAAGGAATATGGATTGAGAATTCCTTTTTCATATCCATGAACTAGGAAAATTGTGAAAGAAAAGTCCTTGAAACTCTGACAATGTCAAGTTTACTGAAACATCAAAAAGTACCACAATTTTATAGGCTGTCCTGCAGAAATTTATCTTTCTTGTGCTCCATAGGTTTCTTTAAGGTGAAGACTCTCTTTTATTTAAACATTTCCTAGAAACTGCTTTCTCAAGTGAAGATTAATCATTTGGTTTACAAAACAAGAGCCAGCCACATGTTATATGTTTCATCTCAGGCAATAAATTGTCTTTGTACCATATTTCTTGTCTCTTTCCATATAGTTTGTTGTGTCTTATACACAGACTCCTGAAAAATTCTTTCTACTTGTGTAGGAAATCCACGACTTTCTTCCTCTAAGGCATTGATGGTTTGGAGGGCAAAGGGAGTCCTTTCTCGGGGAAGGGGATTGTTCAGGGGCCGCATGGGTATAACAGAGTTGTATTTATGCTGCCTGTTAACGGAGTTCATTAGGGACGTATAGAACTGGAAATTACACCAAGTATCTCTTAAAAAGTTTTCAGTCAGTAATAAGATTGTCCATGCAGACCCATTTACAGCATCATCTAAATTCTGTAAATGCTGTCTGCCACATGGCATCTCAGCAAAGATTATTCCGGGTTTGATACCAAAGTCATCTTGTAGCAGATTCTGGACTCTGAGGGCTTCATCTGTGTCATCTTCTGCATGCAATATCACAAATTTGAGGAACACCTCTTCTTCAGCTTCTTCTTCAAACATCTCTTCCACGCTCTGAGCTCCCTCCTGCTTTCCTGTTGGCCCCTCTGTTGTATTGCTGTGCTCAGCAACATTACACAAGGATAGATCTTCAGACTTCTTGGAATCTGACTCATGATATCCTGGACTTGTATCCACACTGTGCCTTTTACCCCAAGAGAGAGAAAGAGGGCAGGAATTTATTTTAGACTTCCCGATACCCATTATAAATATCCAAGGCAGAAGAGGAAAACTTTATGTATTTCTCAGCATTTCTTTTCAATCTAAAAGAAGTAACAAAACAGAAGAATATTATAAATTTAATCAAAACATTAAAAATGGAAACTTTCATTCAAACTGAAAAGCTCAAAAAGATTATAATAGACAGATCCAAATACATAAACGACAAACAGATAATTGGGAAGCTAAACTACTAATCTTTTGTGAGCTTTACAAGGGCTATCACAGGCAGCGAAGGGAACATTAAATAAAGGGTCCAGTTTAATATAATAGGAGACATTCGGAAAATGTAAATGGTGTTATATTAGCACTACAAACCTCCAGATTGAAATAAATTACGTTGGTATTTTTGTGATAGGTACCATACCGCTTTATCTTTTCATGCAGTTTAAATCTAATTTCTCCATTATCAAATTACCATGTAGACTAGAAACAGGAAAATATAAAGAAACTGAATATTCAATTAAGCATAAATATATTTCTGTATCAAGCACAAACAAAATAGAACACAAATATCCTAACAATGACTGGCAGCATCTCTACTGACAGCATAAACAGAAGATCTGAAATGTCAAGTGAAATGATGTCCAGGATTTACTGGTTCGGAGCTTTTTTTTGTTTGTCTGGAGTCAGGCATTGTGGTGATGGTGAATCTAATGGAGAATAAATTATAATAAGAGTGTGTGAAAAGTAAGAAATATCTTTTTCCAACGAATCCTGTAACTACTGAAGAAAATATATTTATTCACCTAAGGAAAAATTAACATCTCAGTTTGGAAATGAACTCTAGAAACAAAGACTTGAGACTTTCTCCAGTGAAATCAACAAAGAATGATTATAGTCTAGATTCATTCTTGTTTTTGTTGTTATTTATTTATTCATTTATTTATTTATTTATTTTTTGAGACAAGGTCTGGCTCTGTTGCCCAGGATGGAGTGCAGTGGTGTGATCTCAACTCACTGCAATCTCTGCCTCTCAGGCTCAAGCCATACTCCCACCTCAGCTTCTGGAGTAGCTGGGACTACAGGTACATGCCACACACCTGGCTAATTTTTTTTTTTTTTGGTTTTTTTTTTTTTTTGGTAGAGATGGGGTTTCATATGTTGCCCAGGCTGGTCTCGAACTCCTGGGCTCAAGCAATCCTCCCGCCTCAGCCTCTCAAAGCTCTGGGATTACAGGTATGAGCTACCACGTCTGGCCTAGACTCATTCTTTTATTTAAAAAAATTCTAAATTCAGAGTGGAAGAACTAGATCAACTGTGAAAGAAAAGTATACCATGTGAATCTAATTTAAATAAGTCTTCAGAAAACATTGGCAATATTCCTAATAAAATCCCCCAGACAGGCAGTTTCAAGGGGAATTCTTTTATTAAAAGACAGAACATTTAGAATATATAAATACAGGTTTCATACTTTCAAATGTGAGCCACAGACTATATTCCAGAGCATTTCTACTTGTTCTTTATGGGCAAAGGCCATACCTCAAGAAGAAATTATAACATTCATAACAACATAAGTAACATGGCTACATATGCCTACATAATTCAGGTTTAGAAGAAACTGTTCAACAAAAGTGGTGAAAACTGTCATGGGAACAAAAACCAAGGAAAAAAACAGAGAATTTCATTCAATGTATGTGAGTAAAAATGTTTGCAGCTGCCTCTGACTAGTGAGGAAACTGCTGACCACTCCGTCATTCACTCTGTCTGTACTTTAGGTTCTCGCTCCACGGTATATTGTGCTAGTTACCAAGAGGTATTCTAAGGCATAATAACTCTAAAATGTGACATATATCCATCCAAAATAATAAAACCAAATTAATTTGGACTCTCTTCATTGATTAGGATTCACTGCTGACTTTTGTTACTGCATCGTAAAAAAAAAGGGTTTTGCTATGCAAAGTTGCAGAAAGAAGTTTCCCCTGAATGAGAAAACAATAGTTAAACCATCCAGAGGCATCTATTTACTGTCAATTAAAATGATCTACACTTATCACTGAATTCAACACCATTATCTTAGTCACTAGCCGGTAAGACAAGTGCTTTGAAGGAATATAACAGCTATTTATAAAGAATATGAAAAACTTCTAGGGTAAGATAGTGTGTCAAGGCAGATCACAAAATCTTTTAAAATAAAAACAAAGAATTACAACTTCGACTTATTTTTCTTAAATACCAGTTAGCAAAAAAGAGCAAAAGACTTCAGAAATCTATGATGTGTTCCAACTTCCAAGCAGTGTCACCCACCTAATCAGACCGAGAGAAAAAAACTAGTGGCAATGTCTATAAAACTTTACCATCATCTTCTAATCTGGAGGGAGGGAGTAAGGAGACTGCCAAGGGAACAAGCTGTGGAAAGTTGTGCTGTTCCCACCACCACTGTGACTCAGACATGGAGAGATGGTCAGGATTCCTTAGTGCACTGTGGTTCCCAGGGCTGGGAGGAAGTGAGAGGACACGACTGTGCTTCACTGTTGGCCAGTTAACTCCATCAGTAAAAAGGGCTCTACTGGAACAAAGGAAAGGCATGGCGTGGTGAAGGAAATCTGGGGAAGGTTGGCCAAAGGAATCCTGGAAAGCCTCCTTTAAAGTTCTCCTCCTCCATCAGAACAATGAACACCAGGCTTAAAAAATTTAGGTTTCACCTCCTTGCTTCAGCTAAATGGAAGGAGAGTGAGGGTGCCACTTGGGAGACGCATGTGAGACCACTGTTCATAAAAATTAAAATGTGTATGTATATACATTTTCATTTACTTTTTTTAAAAAAAGGTGGTGGTGTGTCTCCATCCATCCTGTTACTTATTCCCATGGTCTCCTGCTGGTGACCACTTTTATCAGTTTCTCCTGCATCTTTCCACTGTTTCTCTATGAATATATATTCTTATTTTTCTTTCCTTTTTTCAAAAATGTCCCAAAATTCAAACAAGGATATTTTGAAAGAATATTCTTGTTATTCTTTCCTTTTCAAAAAAAGTATCATTATTCATATGTATACATGACATATAAATCCCAAACAGCAGTGGATAAACATTAGTATACATTGCTTTTTCCCTTTATATCTTCAGAGCTTTCCGTAACAGCGCATAGAGAACTTCTTCTTATTTACAACTACATAATCATGCAGCATGTGGCTATCCCATAATCATTCCCTGTTCTTGGATATGTGAGTTGTTTCCAGTCTACTACTAGGACAAACTATGCTGCAATGGATAATTCTGTACAAAAAGCATTTCATATGTGTGCAAGTTTATCTATAGAACAATTCCCCCAATGGGATTTCCATTTGTAACAGTGATTCATTTGGTCAAATTGCTCTCCGTAGGGCTGAGCCTTTTTTAAAAAAACTTATAACTTGATAGAATGACACCCCAACTCTATCCCTTGCCCCAGAAAAGACATAAGAGAAAAACTACCAATTACTGTTGACCAAAGCCCAACAGAGTGAATCATATCCATCCCCTCAGGCAACAGAAATGTGAAGAAACATAATCAATCCAAATGGTACCCTTAAACTAAAGTTCTGAAGGGAAGATCAATAGGCCTGAGATAAGAAGGAAGGAGAGTCCAGAATTTATCCACTTCATATCTATGCAAAAGAGGACCCCAGTAGAATTCTCTATATTAAACAGAAGAGGAATGAAAAAAACAACATGGCAAATATGCTATGGTGAATATGTAAAATATTACAGGAAATATAAAAGAATATAAAGGAGAATCATAGCGTACAAAAACAGATTTAAAATTCCATTTCATGAAGACTATGCACTCTGGAATCAGACTGCCTGAGTGTAAATCTCCTTCCTGCTATAAAATAACTGTGATTTTGTACAACTTAATCAATATATTTGTGCTTTTATTTCATTATCTGTAAAATAATTATAGTCCCTATCCTTAGGGGTTTTATGAAGATCAAAATGGCTTAGGATGGTGCTGGGCACATAGTAAGTACTCAATAAACATTAGCAGCTATTATTGCTATTAAATACATAACAAAGAAGCTAAAACATTTATACAACAAATGTTTATATTTTAGGGTGGTGCTAGTCAAAGCGTAGTCCATGAACAAGATGCCAGTCTCTGAACTGTTTCTTACCAGTCAATGAGGAGATAAGCAGATTGTGCCAGGATGTAAATCAACTACATCAGTAGGTATGCTGTTTAGCCAGCTGACATTTTTTTCCTAGCAAGACACTCTCAAAGCAGGAAGCAGCATGGTTTACATTCTGGTGCATGCTTCTTAGATTATCATGGACAAGCAGTTTGAATAACCTTGCTCTAGGAGGTACTAAAAAGAATATGCAATCAATGAAACAAAAATAGCAAAGATGAGATAAATTAACAGAATTAGATAAAAAGGGAGGCTATAGACAAATCAAGGATCCAAACACTATAAGGAAAATATAGAAACCGCAAAGGAGTGCCGTGGGGCTGGAGGGAGCCAAGGGTAGCCTAGAAGGAGATAAGCGAGAGCAGAAGCCAGGGGAGGATTTTGAGCAGAGGAGTGACATGATCTGACTAGTTTTCACAGGATCACTTTGGTTGCTGCACTGAGAATAGAAGGCAGGAATAGAAGGCAGGAAGGGAAGGGTGGAAGCAGGAACACTAGTTAGGAGTCTGTTGCAGAAACCCAATAGTAAAATGATGATGGCTTGAACCAGGATGGTAGTAGTAAAAGTGGTGAGAAGTGGCTAAATTTGGGGCATATTTTGAAAGTAGAACTGAGAAGATTTGCTGATGATGTTGACTAGGCATTGAATATAGAGTCTGGAGTGTAGGAGAAAGGTTCCAGCAGGGAGATGCATATTTGGCCTTTATCTTTGTATAGATTGTATTTGAGAAAGACAATATGAGATCATTAAAGACTATACAGGATTTTAAGGAGGTGAGTATAGATAGAAAAAGAAAGGCTGAGCCCTATGGCACTCCAACATTATGAAGGTGGAGTTATTGTTGTCATTATTATTAAGATTAACTATTCCTACAGTGATTTTTTATTTGTGTTGTGTTACAAATGATTTTTGGATAGTTGATGATCTGTCTTTAGGCTAGATTTATGGCAATTTGTTAGTCACTTCTACCCATTACTGCTATGACAACATGCAATTCATAAATCATTAATGAAACCATTAATTAAGGTAGAGTGTTGGAAAAAAAAAAAAAAAAACAGAACAGAAAGAACTAGCAAAGGAGGCAGAAAAGGACTAGTCAGTAAGGTTGATGGGTTGATGGAAAACCAGAAGAGAGTGGTACCCCAGCTGCTAAGGAAAGAAAACAGTTCAAGAGAAAGACAGTGCTTAACCGACTTCAAATGCTTATATGACTGGTCAAGTAGGGTGACCGATGAATGTAGCAATATTAAAATTTTAACATATTTAAAGAAATTTCACCTAGTACTGAATCCTTCAGCCTTGGAGAGCCTTTTTCGTTCATATCTGAACAGCACCATCTTGTGGCAAATATATGTAAAATCAAGATTCCTGTGTTCAATAAGTTTTGTTGTTAATAAATGTTTGTTATTAATAAATATTTTGGTGGAAACTCATTCTGCAGCAAAACATGCTAGGTTTTAGAGATGTGAAGCCAGGATAATTAAACAAGACAATTAGGACTCACTGCACAGGTGCTTTATTCAGAATATCAGGTGCCATGAAAGCACTCAGGAGGGCCATCTGCAGCACGGGACGCTTCACCCTTGCAAGACAAAGACAGGTGGACATTTTCTAGGCAGTGGAAGCAGCACTTGAAAAAACACTGAGGTACCAGAGGGCAAAGACTGTATGTTAGAATCATTTTGCACCGGACATTTATGGCTCAAGTCCATGAAGGAGGAGGCAGAAGAGGAAGGGAAAGAAGTAAGAGCAGGGGAAAGGTAAAGTAGATTAAAAGAGGTTCCTTATAAGGAACCTAAGGTATTTTGCTCAGGACTTTGGCTTTCATCATGCTGGCAGACAGATAGCCCCTGGTAGGTGTTAAATGCGAGTGATCTGATCTGACTTGACACAGGTTAAAATAGTCCTAAAATTGTTGATGATGAATATTACAGATGATATGGTGACCTATGGGACTTTGAGTTGTACCTTTTAGAGAGAAGGTGAGTGCACTTTTGTTTATATGAAGGAGAGTTGTATTCTATTGGAAGATGGCATACCATTATAACTATTACTGTTGTCTGGAAGTTTAGGTTTGTAAAGAAACTAGGCTACAGGACTGGAAGATGCTAGACTGGGAGAACAATTAGTTAAGAGGCTGCTACAATAGTGTCGGTGAGAAAGCAGAGCCCCAAACAGATGAAGTGATAGTGGAGGTAATGGGGATGGCATAGAGGGAAGAGTCAGGGATGCCTCCCAAGCTTATGCTTTTTGTAACTTGGTGGGTGGTGGTGTCATTCACTGAGAAAAGCAATATAATCAGGATGGAGTGGGTTGGGGGTGACCAAGAAATCCAGTCTGGGACCTATGGAGCTTGGGTGCCCATGGCTTCCAAGAGTGATCCAGTAGGCACTTGCACATGTAGGTCTGGGGCATAAAAGAGCATCTTAGATTGGGGATACAAGTTAGTTGCTTGCTTAAATCATGTGAGTAACTGAGAATAGGTATTGAAAAGAGAGGAGAGAGAGAGCTAAAGACAGAACCAATGACTGAAGAGCATATGCAGGGTGAGGGGCCCATAACGGAACAGGAGTGGCCCAGGAACAGCATGAAAATCAGACACAGAATGGCATCTGAAAGCCAAGGGAGGAGAGGGCTTCAGCAGTGGTCAGCACCCACGGCTGCCAAGAAATCAGCATCCACTGCATTTAGCACCTTGACATTCAGAGGAAAAGGTTGGCTGAGAGGGAAAGGAGAGGCCAATACTCATAACTAAATGCAGGGTCAGGAGAGGCTTTCATTAAGAGAAGATACTTGGAATGCTTACGAACTGAAGGGAATTTGCTAGTAAAGAGGGTGAAATATACGTGTGGAAGCGTCTTAGAATTAAGGTCTTATCCTCTTGGGCACTGGGTAAGCTCTGTCTCTCCACCACCACTCCTTTTCTGAAGAGGAATAGGCCACTTAACTCTTGAGTGTGCTGGGTCACAGGATAATGTCTGTGATGAATATTACAGATGATAAAGTGACCTATGGGACTTCACGTTGTACCTTTTAGAGAGAAGGTGAGTCCACTTTTGTTTATATGAAGGAGAGCTGCATTATATTGGGAGATAGCATGCCATTACAGCTATTGCTGTTATCTAGAAGTTTAGGTTTGAAAAGAAGAGTGTCCATGATGTTAATTAGCCAAAGTGGTGTTCTGTAGATCTGCTGCAGTATCTGCTAAAGAATTGTTCATCGAAAACTTATTCCTGTCTCTTTTTACTGTATCTTCCTGTACTTTCTGTACCACAAGTACTAAAAACTTTCATCTCCCAGACTCCCTCAATGCTAGGTTTCCTAAACGTAATTTAAGTTCAGCATCAGATGTACTTACACGTCTGAGTTAAATATGCAACGAGGCAGAACATGAAGCACCTGTTTTGCTGGCTAAGATTCTGGTAGAGTGGGCATAATTAAGGAGCTGGCTGCTTCCTGATTTGGCAGGAGGCTTCTGAGTATGCCAAAAGCCCCAGGCCAGTAGACAAGTCTGTTATATGGCTTTGAGAGGTGTTTCTAGAAACCCAACCTAGAGTGCAGTTCTTCAACTTTCCCAACGATACTGTACATCTTGTAATATCTCATAAGACACACCTTTCTACTTAAACTAACTAGAGTAGATTCTGTTGTCCACAACTAAACTGTGATTGATACAACATCCAAAACAAACTCTACCACCTGCTTCTGTAAATACATTTTTATTGGAAGGCAGACATGTCCCTTCATTGATGTATTTGTCTGTGGCTTATTTCATACTACAAAGGCAGAGTTGAGTATTGCAACAGAAACCATATGGCCCATAAAGCCTACAATATTTACTCCTTGGCCCTTCACAGAAAAAGTGTGCTGATCCCTCAACTACAGCACGGGAGTGTGCCAAGCTCTGCCGAGCTGTCAGGACACAGTAGAACAGATCCACGCCAGCCAGATAAGAAACACATAGACTATTCTTAGACTTCTTAGACACTGGAAATATTAAAAAATCCCAACTAGGGTAATAAGTATTTTCAGGAACAGAATGAGTTGAATTTGAATCCATCTTCATCTTAGATTGAAATAACATTCTTGAGAATTGGCTGTCATTTGTTTTCTTTCTTTGGGGGATTGCAGAGAATCAATAAGGATGGCAAAGGCCCAGCCTAAATAAAAGGATTATCAAATATCAAATATTACCTATTGGCATTTATTTACAGTTAGAGTAAGCCAGTACCTATACTTTTCATTCTTAGCTATTAGAGCTTGCATTAGAAAGGTTAGAGTTATGGGATCTATCAAAGCCTAGCACTCTGTATCTTTCCTTCATGGCACTAATCACAATTAATTATTTATGTGAATGGTTATCTGCTTAGTTTCTCATCATTCTCGCTAGACTGCAAACTCGATCAGAACAACGATCAACTTGTCTTATTCATCACTATATCCCCAGAGCCTAGCATATAGTTAGCATTCAAGAAATGCTTTGTGAATGAATAAATTAATTAGCTCCAAAGATATGACAGAATTCTGTAGCTTTAGAGAGAAAGCCAAACAGATAGCTTTTGATCATCCCTATTATATAAATCATTGACTCAACCAGAATAGAGAGTAACCAATCCAAATATATTTTGTTAGATTTTAAAAATGATCACTTATACTACATTTTTTAAATAATTATGTGAATATAGGGTCTGGTGCAGTTGTCCATGTCTGTAATCCCAATACTTTGAGAAGCCGAGGTGGGAGGATCACTTATGGCCAGGAGTTTGAGACCAGCCTGGGCAACAAAGCAAGACCCCATGACTACAAAAAACATTTAATAAATAAATTTAAAAAGAATGAGGATCACTTGAGCGCAGGAGTTTGGGGCTTCAGTGAGCCATGATTGCACCACTGCACTCTAGTTTAGGCAACAGAGCAAGGCACTGTCTCAAAAAAGAAAAAGTTACGTGAATATAAATATGACATATGCATTATACATAATATGGAAAACAGAAAAGATTACAAAGTAGACAAAAGGACCATTATCTAACTATGAAGAAATGAAATATGAAACCTTTCCACAGTGCTTCCCATACCTGGATTCAGAAATTTCTGTACAAGTTGGTTGTCTTATTGATAGAAAGCAATATTAATGTACATTTTCTAAATTGAAGGGAAATCCTTTCAGGGGATACATTGTATTAAAAACTCAAGTTCACTTTCTTTATTACCCATCCATATCCTATCTATTAGCTACAGATGTATACAGATGTCTGAGCTGCTGACAATCAATTTTCTTTAAGATTTTTCAGGTTCTTCTGTTTGTACTTTTGCTCTCCTGCTTTTACTTGCATGTCGTACTTATTTAATATCTTTCCCTTTAGAACTATCATCTTACCTTTCTTTCTATTCCAAAGATATAGGCTACAAAGGAAAGAGGAAATAACTCCTATGAAAAGTTATTTAACTCTCTATTATGGCTTTAAAGTCACTAAAGGCATTTCCCAAGATCCATTTAACTATACCATCATGTGTCAGTCTCTCTCTCTCATCTCCTCCTTCTCAGTCTCCTTTACTAAATGCTCTTTCTTGGCCTGTTTCTCAAATATCAAAATGGGGCTATTTGCAGCTTCCACTTCTAGTACTGGTGGACTAGGTAATTTGGATCAATGCTACTGCTGAGGATAACTAGAAAAGCTAGACAAAATAGAAAAAAAAAATAGGCTTGAAGCATCAGAGAACTAATGACATAGTGAAGAATTATAGAACCCAAATCCAGAAGACAGAAACCCAGAGACGACTCTCCCCCTAGAGTATTTTTCAATTTCAGAAGAGGAAAGCTAGTGCTGTGCTTTTTGCCCCTCATGGTTAATGAGACAAAAGTGTGACTCCAGTTGTGTGCTTTGGGTTGGGACCCTGAAGGCTACACCTAGGTGTACGAGTGATCTAAAAACAGACTGATCCTCCCAGGAATGGAAGCATTCTTTTTAATAACTGCCATCTCTGAAATCAGATTAAAGTGATCACAGATTGTTAGTGCTGCCAGGAACCCGGCACAAGCAAAAATTAAATCCTCTCTGGAAGAAGACAAGAAAGCCAGCAAACGCAGCTGACAATAGAAATAAATCTATGTGGATTTCAAACTTTTATTAATAACTGTGATTGCACAAGAGGAGGAAAGATTGAGAATTTTGTCAGATAACTGCAAACTTTAAAAAAAGGCATGGCAGGTAAGAAAAAAATCTAAAATTGAAAAATATAATAGTTGAAATTAAGAATTGAATGGATGGATTTATCATTAGATTAGATCAGCAGCAGAAGGAACTCATGAACTAGAAAACAAGCTAGAAAAAAAACCCTTCAGAATAAGGGAGAGAAACAAAAAAAGAAAGTAAAATACAAGAAAGCAGGTAAAAGCTACACAGAACAACTATACAATTAGAAGGTGTAACAAATGTGTAAATTGGAGTCCCAAATGAAAAGAGAGAGAATTAAAGCAAAGCAGTAATTTAAGAGATAATGTAAAGACTTTGCAATATTGAAGAAAAACATCAGATCACACATTTTTAAAAGTCCTATGAACTTCAAGGAAAATAAATAAAAAGAAAACCACATCTAGCTTCAACACAGTAAAACTGCTAAGAGCCAATAGCAAAGAAAAAAGTCTTAAAAACAGCAAGAGAAAATAGATTACCTTAAAAGATGCAACAATAAGAATGTTTCTCAAGAGAAATAATGATAGCTTTAACGTGATGAAAGAAAATAGCTGCTAATCTAGAGTCATATACAAAGTAAAAGAAAGCACAAATAACCAATGTCAGAAATGAAAATGGGATCTCAGTGATGATCTTGCAGACCGTAAAATGTAATAAAAAGATTATGACCAATCATATATAAACGCAAGTGAAAGCTGAGACGAAATAAACACATTCCAAGAAATAGACAATTTCTCAAAACAGACACAGAAGAAATAACCTGAATTCAATTATTTTTTTCTTCAACTTTTAACTTCAGAGGTACATTTACAGGATGTGCAGGATTACTACATAGGTAAATGTGTGCCATGATGGTTTGCTGCACAGATCATCCCATCACCTAGGTATTAAGGCCAGCACCCACTAGCTATTCTTCCTAACCCTCTCTCTCAATTATTATTAAAGATATAAATTCATAATTGGAAATCTCCCCAAAAAGAAAAATCCAGGTTCAAATAGTAGCCAAATATGTAAAGAAAAAAATAATAAAACTAGAAGATTAAAAAAGAGGAAACATTCCCCAACTCATGTTTATGAGGCCAGCATAACCATGACACCAAGAACTGATGCGAATATTACAAAAAGGAAAATTATAGATCAGTCTAACTCATGATTATTACTTCAAAAATCACAAACAAAATGTTAGAAAAATGGATCCTTTTTAAAAAAAGGATAATCCATCACAACCAAGTTGGGTTTATTTTAGGAATGCAAGGTTGATCTGACAAGTAAAAATTGATTGATGTGGCTGGGTGTGGTGGCTCACGCCTGTAATCCCAACACTTTGGGAGGCCAAGGTGGGTGGCTCATTTTGAGGCCAGGAGTTCACGACCAGCCTGGCCAACATGGCAAAACCCCACCTCTACTAAAATACAAAAATTAGCTAGGTGTGGTGCCGCATGCCTGTAATCCCAGCTACTCAGGTGGGTGAGGCAAGAGAATTGCTTGAACCCAGGAGGCGGAGGTTGCAGTGAGCCGAGATCCTGTCACTGCACTCTAGCCTGGGCGAGAGAATGAGATTCTATCTCAAAAATTTAAAACAAAAATCAATGTAAGTAATCACATTGACAATTAAAAATAAAAATATTTTGATAAAATTCAACATCCATTCATTATAAAAACTCTTAGCAAACTGGAAATAAAAGAGTCTTCTATCATCCAAAAATTTTAAAAAT
Organism: Homo sapiens; assembly: GCF_000001405.40. Taxonomy (NCBI): domain Eukaryota; kingdom Metazoa; phylum Chordata; class Mammalia; order Primates; family Hominidae; genus Homo; species Homo sapiens. The sequence continues at coordinate 115,593,290 of NC_000005.10, forward strand.
TACCAAAACTACTAAAAGATAAGCAAGTTTAGCAAGAAAATGGATATAATAAGATCAACATAAACAATTCAACTGTATTTTTGAATACCAATAACAAAGATAAAAGATAAAATTACAAAAAAAATGTCATTTTCCAATAGATCAAAAAATATCAAATAGTTGGGCATATATCTAACCAAAAAAGGGGCAAGATTTCCACACAGAAATATTAGTGAGATAAAATATAAAAGGAAAGTACTAAATAAATGCACATATATATCATGTTTATTACTTGAAATATTCAATATAGTAAAGATGTCAATTCTCTCTAAATTGATATATAGATTCAATGCAATAACAATCAAAATCTCAACAAGACTTTTTTTGGTTGGGTTTTACCGGTTCAATTCCAGAATTTCTATGGAAATATAAAGAGTAAGAATAGTCAATACACTTGGAAGAATAAGATGGGAGGACTTGTTCTATTGGGCATCAACACTTACTATAAAGTTACAACAGTGAAGACAAGGTAATACAGCAAAATGTTAGACAAATTGCTAAAGGGATGGGATAAGGAGCTCTGAAACAGATCCAAACATATATGGACACGATGTACAACAAAAGAGGTACTGCAGAGTAGTGAGGAAAAGAAAATCTTTAGGAAAAATGATTGTAGACCAGAAAATGATTACATGGTTGATTGTTTTTTTATTTATTCAACTATATACTTTGCTCTATGCGCTTTTGTGTTCTATGTTATTACTATATAAAAACAATTTTCAAAAATATGAGTATCATGCTTGGTCCTTTTCTCTTCTGCCAGGATGTCCAGCCTTTCCAGCTCTGTAACTTCATCCATGCCTGAAATGTGATTCCTCTGACTAAAATGACCTTTGTAACATTATCTACTTACTTAATTTTTAAAAATGATCAAATTAAAATATATTACAATACTTACAGTATGATCCCAATTCTGTGTTCAAATTATACTGAATCTGTGCATCTTTGCATATGCTTGCTTTAAACTGTGTGTATGTATACATACATATTCACATACACCCAAACACACATATGGTTGTGTGCTTTCCTATGCAATACAATTCATGAGAGCACTGTTTGTCTTAGATGTCTTTTTATACTTTTAAATAAATAAATGTATGTAAGTATGTGTGTTTAAACGCCAAATAGCAGAGTTATACATTTTTTGCTAGTAGATCAGTCAGCTTAGGAGACTAAGTTCTGTCATTGGCTCTCAGCCAAGAAATACAAAATTATTCAACTTACTAAGTTTTCCTCAGTCTGAATGGCAGCTTGACAAGGTGTTTATACTGTTTGCCAAAATGTTGTTTTCTAGCAAACAGTTTTCATGCATAACAAAGACATAAAAGTGACAGTGGCTAGACCTGTTAGAAAAAAAATATATGATAGATGTTTTGGCTAAAAGTACTTTCAAGAAATGACCACAGAAAAAGAGGATACAAATAGCAGGCAATTAGGAATTGGTGAAAATCCTTTGGCATTAAGAAGGCACCATAAATACCCTTGCAGCCTGGGAGGAGGACTGACTTACAATTGGATGAACTGAAATAAATGCTGGCTAAAGGCGTATCATGACTTTAGGAGATTTTTTTTTAGGAGACAAGCTCATCCCCATCTGAGATGATGGATACAGACTCAATTCAGTCTGTGAGTTGTTTCCAAACAGCACTCCCTTCTCTAGGTTTGTAGCACCCCTGACTCTGCACACTATTCTGACATGATTCCAATAGAGGCTGGGCCACAAGAACTAATATGAGTGATAGATATCAAACTGGGCTTGGTACAGTCATTCCCTCTGTTGACCAAAGTTTGCTTACTGGGTCAAGCGAATAGTACCTGGGCCATAATAGGTACTCAATAAGCACAGGGTAAATGGACAGATGGACAGACAGATGGATCAATCAATCAATCAATCAGTCAATCAATCTTTCCTCCTCAATCTTCTCTGCCTTGGTCAATGATACTAATATCCTCTCTACCGATTACGACGGAAACCTACAAATTATTCTCATATTCTTTCACCCATTCAAACAAACCCTCCCCACAACTCCACCCACTAAACTTTAAGTCCTGCTAATAGATATGTTTAGTCTGCCTCCTAAACATATCTGTCTCTTTTCCCATTCTCTCCATTCCCTGCCTATGCTTTAGTTCAAGACCTATATTATTCCTCCTTAGAGGATTACAAATTCCCATAATATCCAACTAGTTTCATTGCCTCCAGTCTCTTTCCCTTTACATCATTTCTAGATAGATCTTTCTGCAATGGAAAACTGATCCTGTTTTTCTCTTGCTTAAAGATCCCTTTGATAATACCCTAATGCCTTCAAGAAAAACTCTATCTTATTAGAATAACATTCTAGGCCCTTTATGATCCAATCTCTCCTTTTATCCATAAAATTTGCTCCTACCATGTTACTCTTGAGAGTTCTAATATCCACCTATTTACGGTTTTCCCAAATGTCATGTTGTTGCCTCCATGCTCCATCTTAGAATGTACCCTTGCCCAACCATCTACATGAATAGCTCCTCTTTATGATTCAAGACACTACTCAAGGATTGCATTTCCTTTTATCTCCAAGTTGAATTAAGTACTCATCCTCTGTATATCCATAATATCTGGTTCACATCTCTTATAATATGTATTGCCCAGCACTCTTAATTTGTCTTACTTGCTGACCTGGAAGGTAGCTTGCACCTCATTTTCCCAGACTTCTCCATCATGGTAAAAGGCATTATCATTTGTCCTGTTATTACCCAAAACCTGGGGTATCCTTGATACCTTCCTCTTACTCTCCTATTCCTGCACTTCCAAGTGATCACCAAGTCCTGTGTATCTAACTCTAACAGATAATCTCAAATTGTTTCAAGTTTCCTCTCTACCACATTTTCATTCTAGATCAATGTCTCTATCCTGGTCTTCTGCACTGCCTCCTAATTGGTCCCCTACTCTCAATCAGTCTAATCCATTCTCCACTCAACAGCCAGGATGATCTTTCAAAACATCTGATTTGAGTTACTCCCATTTATAACCCTGCATTGGCTTCCTACTGTGCTTGATATAAAAATTTCTTGATATGACAAATAATACCCTGCATAGCCTGGCTCCTTCAGCTTCAACCTCATCTCATGCTTTTCTCCACTTTGTTCCTCCAGCTCCCTGCACATGGGTCTTTATGGGTCTGTAAGAGTTGTCAGAATCAAAGTGGAGTTACTAGTGTTAAAAAACCGGACAATCAGAGCCAGGAAAGGCCATGAAGGAAAGGTTCTTAAATATAAATGCCTAGTAACCAGAACTATCATAAAAGTCTCCCCAAAAACCAGAACCTTGGCTGGGCGCGGTGGCTCACGCCTGTAATCCCAGCACTTTGGGAGGCCAAGGTGGGTGGATCATGAGGTCAGGAGATCAAGACCATCCTGACTAACATGGTGAAACCCCGTCTCTACTAAAAATGCAAAAAATTAGCCTGGCGTGGTGGCGGGTGCCTGTAGTCCCAGCTACTCGGGAGGCTGAGGCAGGAGAATGGCGTGAACCTAGGAGGTGGAGCTTGCAGTGAGCCGAGATCACGCCACTGCACACTCCAGCCTGGGAGACAGTGAGACTCCGTCTCAAAAACAAACAAACAAACAAACAAAAACAGAACCTTGCACAAATGCCATCACAGTCCTATATAAAAAGTACTTCTGCAAGAACAACTGCCCAGCAACTTCCTGTCCAATTTCAGACTGGTGCCACCCTTGTTATTTACCCACAAGCCAAAAATAATTATCTCAAAACAATTATGTAAACCTCCTCATTTTTACTTTGAAAATCTTTGTCTGCCTTTACTTCCCTGAGTACACACAATTTACTATGGCACACATATTCCCACTGCAACGCCCATTTCTGAATAAATATTACTTTCTTTTAGAGAGCCTCTATCTCCCTCTGTTATTTAGGTTGACAGACCTTTTTGTCAGTTTCTCAAACTGGCTTAGCTTTCTCTTGTCATGCAATCTATGGAGATATTTTCTGGCATATTTGAAGTATGAGTTATATGACTATATTTTATTATCATAAGAGATCTTGTACAATCATAAGCTAGTCAAAATTCCATTGGAGGTAAAAATAAAAATATCCAAAAACTGGGGAATGATAATATTAACTATGTCACATTATTCATATGATCGAATCCTATTAAACCATTAAAAATGTTTATGAATGTTATGAACAATTTTAATGACATGAGAAAAACGCTTCTCATGACACGAAAATGAAATGTAATTAAAGAAAAGGAACTGACTGTAAAATAGTATACAGAATATGATCTCAGCTTTGTTAAACAAAATGCAGAGAAAATAGATTAGAAAGAAGTACTGTCGTCTCTTGGTATACTTAAGGGTAGGGAAGACTGATTCCAGGGGTTCCAGGACCCCTGCATATACCAAAATCCAAGAATACTCAAGTCCCACAGTCAGCCTGCAGAGCCTGCGTATACAAAAAGTCAGCCCTCCGTATGTGTGGGTTTTGCATCCTGGAATACCGCATTTTTGATCCATGTTTTGTTGGAGAAAATCCACATATGAGGGGACCCACATAATACAAACCCATGTTGTTCATGGGCCAAGTGAATACCAAAAAGGTAACATTGATCCTCTGTGAATGGTATATGCATAAGAATATATAAATGTGTATATATATGTATTCCTTCATATATATGTGAAGAACTCACGTGTTCTTCACATGTACACATATATACACATACATGTTCACCTTTTGAACAATGATCACACAGTCTGAAAAAATAGTTTTTTAGTAAATAAAAATTCATTTTCTAGGCTTTATATTTTTATAAATATCAATTAGGTCAATAATTGTCAACAATTATGTCAATTATGTTGATTTGATTTCCATCTAAATAGTATCTTCCTTATATATATCTTTTCCAACACCTTTGGTAAGTGTCTTCCTTACATGCTCTATCTCTACGTTCCAAATGAGTTTAGCCTATCTCCAGGTTTAGCTCTATTTCATCTGTTTTTTATTTATATGCAAATATTCCAAGAGCATGGGTTTGCTAACTCTAAACCAAACAGGGCTTCTCCAACACTCTTCTTAAGTACCAAAGGACAGAACATTCATCTTCATCGTACCTAAAACAGGTCCTTGAGCAAGTAAATGTTTAAAAAAATGCTTCTATCCGATCTTCACCTGGGCACTGCTTTTTCATCTTGTGGACCCTATCTCTTCACTCAGTTGCTAGGAAGCTCCACGTTAATGAGTGCTCTGGCCAACAGACAGAAGCTTATGGCAAGTGTTTTGATACTATTAATAACTTCACTCCTAGTTTCTGCTTAACCCCCCTACTCTTCTCTCTGTTCGATATTCCAAATCTACTTATTATTTAATTTAATTTAATCTTATATTGGAAATATTTATTAAAGTATCTTAAATCCTAATTCTGAAATAAGAAGGAATTTTCTTCTTTTCTTTTACAAGAAGGGGTGATAGTACATACGCTACTGATAACAGAACCAGTTCCTTGAGATTAAAATGAGAAATAAGGATTATAAATTAAACAATCTTTTAGTTGCTACACCTCTTCATAAAGATGAAAATATTGTTTTTCATTTCTACATAGTCCTCAAAAGAGAACTGGAGCCAGATGCAGTGGTATGTGCCTCTAGGCCCAGCTATTTGGGAGGTTGAGGTGGGAAAATTGCTTGAGCCTGTGAGTTTAAGACCAGCCTGGGCAACATAGCAAGACCTTGTCTCAAAAAAAAAAAAAAAAAAGTTCAATTTATATAATATCTTATAAAATCTTCACAACTCTGACATTGGCTTAGTCACTGCAGAACTTAGAAACTTGTATATTATTCTCTGAACAAGTGTCTTTATTTTTCTTCTTCCCATAAACTACCTGCTGCTGGTACCATTCAAAGAGTCTCCAAATGTTAGATTATTGCTTCCTATTTCCTATTGCCCCTATTGGTGGGGGGAGGGGGGCAAAGTAACTGCCCCCCACCAAATATTATTACATATTCTTTTTAGTGAACTGGATATTTTTCTTCCATTTTCTGTATCTAAAAATGAAAACTGATGGTAAAGGGCAAATCTCCAAATCAGGAAGAGATTTTATAAAAACATAGAACTTAAAGGCAAACTGTCCATCTTATCAAAATTAGGCTCAAAAGAAAAATGGTTGTGCATTTTTAATATTAGGGAACTCAAGCAACCAACAATGTTTTAAAGGTTCCATAAGCTTCATGGAATACTAGAGAGTAGCATTCAGTATTTAATAGCAACCTACCGCACAGGCCCAGCAGCAAAAGAGATCTTGCTGCAATAGCACAGTAACCCCTGAGGCAGCATGCTAACAGAGAAGTGAGGGAGTACAGTGTGCAATGGTCTAGCAGACACCAGCTGCAGGCAAAGGCAACAGCAGCACAATCAGTGTTACTACAGTGGAGTGGATGAGAGGGAAGTCAGGAGATGAGTTCAGAGAACTAGTCAGGGACTAGATCACACAGGGCTTTAAAGCCATTGTAAGCCTGTTTTTCTTTTCTTTTTTTTTTCTTTCTTTTTTTTTGTGATTCTGATAAGAAGCCACCAGAAGGTTTTGAAGGGAAATGAAAGTTCTGAGTATGTATGACAAAAATCACTGCTATTTGGAAAAGACTGTAGAGGAGCAAGGGCAGAGGCAGAGACTTCTCAATCATGTAGGTAGGAGAGGACTGTGGCTTAGCTTAGAGAGGGAGAGAGAGGTGGGCAGATCTGGGTAGAGTCAACAGATTTTGTTGGATGCTTGGATGCGGAGTCTGACCTAAAAAGAGAAGTCAAGAGTAAATTCCTAGAATTCCGGCCTACTTGAATGGCAGTAACTGAGGCTGTTTATTGAGATAAGGGAGGGAGCTGAGGGGAAACAGAGGGAGAACTTGGTGAATCTGGCATCAGTAGTTCTATCTGTCCATACTAAATTTAAATGCCTATCAGACTTCCAAGTGGAGATGCTGAGTAAACAGCTGGACATACACATACATCTGGAGCTCAGAAGCGAACTAAAGCTAGGAATAAAATTTTGGAAGTCATCAGCTGATAGATATTATTTATAGCCAAGGAATATGGCTTGGGATACAAATTGTCCTGGGGGAAAGTATGGCTAGAAAAATATGGCCAAGAAATGAACTCTGTGGCATACTAAGATTTAGTGGTGGGGAAGCCTGGAGACACAATGAAGCAGAATGAAATGCAGAATATGGTGACCTGGAAGCCAAGTGAAGAAGAAAGAATATTAGTGAAGAACATTAGTGAAGAAAAAAGAATATTGAGGAGGGAGTGATCAAATGTTACTGAGGGGTCAGGAAAGATGAGAACTGTGCACAGACACTGGATTTCACAAGACAGTCATTGGCAACATCAGGACCATGCAGGGGGTAATGGGGACAAAAAGCCTCAGATGAGAGGGGGTAGGAAGAAACAGGGAAAATGAAAATGGAGACTTAGATTAAATCTTTCAAAGAGGATTTTTGTTTGTTATAAAAAGAAGCAAAGTAGGGGAGCGGGACCTAGAATGGGATGTGTGGTCTAGGGGGGATTAAAGACAGAAGATTTAACAGCAGATATTTGTTAAATGAATACATTTTAAGAATAGCATAAGGAACAAATGACTCAACACAGATGCCCATGATTCAACAGTGTAAACATGGTTTATACTTCAAGTTCCATACGGTAAGGCGTACATGTCACATTTACTTTGCTTCAAATGTAGGTGTCAATATTCTATACCTGCTTATCTATTTTCTGATTTGAATGAGATATAAAGTGGAGTTGCTTAACTCCATTTATAACCATCCTACTACTTCAAAATATTAAAATGTAAGGATTGATGGGCTGATAGGTGCAGCAAACCACCATGGCACACGTTTATCTATGTAACAAACCTGCAAGTCCTGCACATGTATCCCAGAACATAAAATTAAATTAAACAATAAAAAAATAGAAATACAGATTCTGGAAATCAAGCTTACCAAATTAAACCTTCAGAGGTGGGGGGATGCATTTTAAACAAAAGTCCCAAATGCGTCTTACCATCAGGCTTGTTTGAAAAACACTAATCTAAGGAATACTAAACACTTGGAGAAGGACAAGTTCTTCTCCTGTGTAGACGTGCAATGTGGGTTCAGGGGATGACACTTCAACTCTATATAATGGTGTATTTTTACCTCCAGATCATATAGCCTTTCCCACCCTTGCTTTTCAAAATTAAAAGGATAAATTAAAAAATAATAATAAATATGAGAATATTTTAAAATACTTTCTTTAAGAAGTTTACTACCGTGGAAAGCTGGAGAGGTCCTAATACACTGAAAACTAGCTCACAGCTGCCAGTCAAATTATTTTTATCCAAATTAGCTTTGCACAAAAAGCCAAGTAGGAAAACCCATGCCAAAACCTCCAGCACTGGCTCTGTGTGCCTGGCAGGGGCTCATGCAGAGCCTTTAGAGCATTTAAGACTCTGGGCTATTTGCTTATGGTTCTGAGGTGTCTTTTCGAAAATGGGTTTTCTAGTCAAAATGAAACAAAAAGGCAGACAGCTGTGTGGATTTTCCCTTCAGAGTAAGCCAAGTGACGGAAAGGCCTGCCCGCCCCGCTGGGGACAACAGCGCCAGCACCCGCGCCGTCGGGTCGGGTAGGCTGGGGAGGTAGCGCAGGCGGCCTGGCCCCCAGACCACCCCGCGCCCCTGGCGGCCTGGCCCCAGCCCACCCCGCGCCCCCGGCGGCGGCCCCCGCCCTAGCGCCCGGTACTTGCCTGCAGGCGAGCGCCACCACAGTCAGCCCGCGGCTTTTCTGTCTTCCTTTCTGGCCCAGCGAGAGCGCCCAGGGGGTGGGCGTCTTGCCCCGGGCGTCGAGAGTTTGGGGCCGTCCCGTACGCGGCGCGCCGCAACCCAGTCCCCGCGACCACAGCAGCCTGCTCCCCACCGCGCTTGCAGAGCCCGGACGCGCGTGAGTCGGGGGCCCGCAGAGGCCTCACCCTTGGAGGTCGCCGCTTGTCAGGCCTGACTGCTGTTGGCGCCCACCCCGCCGCCCCCGAGGGGCCGCTCGAGGCCGGACTGCTGCTTTGCCGTGGCAGGCCCCACCCGGGACGTGGCGCTGCGGGCCGGGGCGGTCCAGCTGTGAGTCAGGGGTTAATGTGGCGGGATAACTCTCTGCAGAGGGAAGGAGCTCGCAAAGAAGGGTGGAGGAGGGGAAACCGCAATGGGGAACTGTCACCGAGGCTAGTGGACTCTCCCTGCGCTTTTTTTTTTTTTTTTTTTTTTGGCATGTACCCCAAAAGCCAGAGGTCGAGGCCCAGAAAAATCTGGAAAGGAATTCCACCGTGTTTGCTCCTTACAGACCAGACAAACCGTAGATCTTTCAGAGGTACAGCGACTCTCCTGGTTCCCTAAGATAGTCTCGACTTTTCCTTTCCCTTTGCGGCCCTCTCACTTGACTACTGCAGCCAACCATACCCCTGATTAGGGGGTGCAGCACATCAGCCTCTGCCCCCAAAAACTACCCTGCGAAAGATCCTTTTTCTCAGGTTCGTTCTCCACAACCGAACAGATTGGAACTCCACTGAATAAGAGAGAACAAAAAAGCAATTAGTTAAATGAAGCGTAAAGAAGCCTTATAAAGCCCCATTGCTGCCTCAGGCACCCAATCTAGTCATAACCTAAGAGGTCCAGTTCAGAAATCTCCCCTCCCCTTTTAATTCTCAGGCAATCCCTACTCCCTGCCAAAGGAGAACCCAGTTACTGAACATCGGATGAGACCATGGATAGTAAATTGGGAGTGAAGGTCCATACCTGGGTCTCAGAAGCACAGTACAGGTAAAGCTAAGAGTTATTTCCTCCTTCTCTTTCCCCATCCAACAACAGGATGCCTTACTGAAGGTAGGCACTTCAGGTAGTAATTACTTAGTGAAATGCCGCCAATGTAGTCAGAAATACCGTATTATGTACCGTGTCAACACAATTCATTATTCACGGAGTTGATTCTCCAACCACTGCACCTCCCAACAATTCTACCTGAACTCTTTGGGTAAGCAGTGGCCTCCTAAATCCAACTGATACTTTTGTTGCCCTCATTTTTCCTGGGAGTCTCTTTGGCGATTGACAAAGTCGACCATTGTTTCCCAACACTCTGTTTCCTTGATGTTGACAACCCCACTTTGCCTTTATGCTCATCCTGCTTGTTAAAATTCTTTCAGGCCTGTTGGGAGGCCGAGGCGGGTGAATCACGAGGTCAGGAGATCGAGACCATCCTGGCTAACACGGTGAAACCCCGTCTCTACTAAAAAATACAAAAAATTAGCCGGGAGTGGTGGCAGCTGCCTGTAGTCCCAGCTACTTGGGAGGGTGAGGCAGGAGAATGGCTTGAACCCGGGAGGCGGAGCTTGCAGTGAGCCGAGATCGCGCCACTGCACTCCAGCCTGGGCCACAGAGTGAGACTCCGTCTCAAAAAAAAAAAAAAAAAAAAAAAATTCTTCTTTCAGTTTCCTCTGCCTGTTCCTCTTTCTCTGGCAACCCTTCAAAATCAGAGCTTTTCACATTTTCCCACTGAAATACCACCAATGACAGATTCCATAAACACGTACTTCCCTATTCATCACTTAGGTTGCATACATAAAAGAGCCTGAAGTCACTAGTGTCATGGGCAAATTTACTTGAACTGTTCCATCTTCTTGTAAATTGCTCCAAATTTTGCATTGTTCTTCATAATACAGTCACATGTACTAAAAAAAATCTTAAATTGGTTACAAGTTTAATTGCTTAACATTTTCTCTCCAAATGTTCAAGAAAATGCATCAATCACTTACGCCACATATGTTTAGAATATATTCTATGTGCTAGACATTAGGGATATTGTGCGAACAGGAGACACAGTCCTAGTTCTCATGGAGATTTTATAGTCTAATCTGGGAGACAGACAGATATGTAAAGAAGTGAGACAATTTCAGATCCGTGCATTGCTAATGGGGACAGCGAATCTTCCTAGTGGGCAATTTCTAGCTACATACCTGGTTATTCACATTCAAGAAAGGAGGGGACGACATGACAAACTGATAAATATACTGACTTACAGGCAGTGTCTAATGGATTGTCCAGCTTTTAGGTTCTTGGAAAGAACAAAATGGAAAATTTGTAAAAGATCTGTCCGTGAGACTTACAGATAACCCTCTTGGAGTGGTGAGGGCATGTGAAGATATTCATATCCCCCATAAGTGCCTAACAGGATGCATCAGGTGGAGAAGATTTTCAATAATAAGCGGAACAAGATGAATTGTCTGGTAGATGTCAGTCTTTTTCTCCAGCCAACCCAGGGCTTGGTTAATGGGCCCATGTACCAAGTGGCTATCAAAGCAGTGACAGAGGTTCAATAGTATGGTCTTCTCCTTACCTACATTATTTGGCTACTATCATTGCCGAATGCCCAACCTGGCAACAACGTGGAGTGTGACTACATTTCCAAGGCTGGGTTCCTAATATGGCATTACTGTCAATGAGACTTGCTGGCAACCCGGTAACATGATGGTTACATTGGGCAATTTCCATAAGAAATAGGTAGCACTTTGTCTTCACAAAGATAATTCACATTCAAGGTATAAATCTGCATTCTCTGCCTGCAGTGTTTCCACTGGCACTAATATTCTTGACATTTCTGAAGGTTTTATCCATTGCATAGGAATCCCAAAAACATTTCTTCCAACCAGGTACACAGTTTATGGCAATGGAAGTGAATTCAATGGTTTTAACACATGCTTATCTCCTAAAGTAACTAGCTTGATAGAACAGCTGAGTGGCAAAATGAGAGCTCGGTTACAGAGATATCTGGGAGGCAACATCATGAAAAGGTAGGGTGGTGTCCTATAGAATGTGGTACATTAATTTAATAAGCAGTCAATATATGGAGCTGTCTCCCCACTATCAGGATGCACAGGTCTCAGAGCCAAAGGGTAGAAGGAGTGTTTCTGTTCAATAGTATACCTAAGAATCTACGTGAATAATTTTTGCTTCCCATTCCCAAAATGTTGGGCTTGGTGGGTTTAGAAATTCTAGAGTCCAAGAGTAGAACACTTCCTTCAGGAAAAATAATCATGTTTTGATGATTTAGGAGCCGAGACTGGCCCTGGCCTTTTGAGGTTCCTCATGCCATTAAAGTAACAGAAAAGCAGCTCAATGGACTGGCCAGGGTAGCTAATTCCAGTTATCAGAGGAAAACTGTGTTTCTGTTTTACAATGGAAACAAGAAGGCTATATAGGCTATATATGGAAACGAGGAAATTCACTGGAATGCCTCTTAGTGCTAACAGTCCTAGTCAGTGGAAAACTGCAGCAACCCAGTAAAGACAGGCCTATCAACGGCTCAATTCTGTAGAAATGAAGGTTTAGGTCACTTCATTAGACAAAGAATCCCATCTAGTCAAAATCCTGGAGGAAGGTAAGAAGAAGGATTACTAAGCTTGATTATGGTACTTTATTCCCCCAGAAATAAAACCAAAAGATGGTTTACTAGGACGTTCAAAATCAATAAACTTCTAGCCAGATAAGTCAAGAAAAAAGAGAGCAGATGCAAATTACCAATATTAGAAATGAGAGAGGGACATGACATTCCAGTTATTAAAAGGTTACTAAGGAAAGATTATGAACAACTTTATGCCAGCAAATTCAACAATTTATATGAAATGGAAAAAATCCTTAAAAGCCAAACAGTCAAGATGAAACAGATTATTTTAAAAGCCCTAAATCTATCAAAGAAATTAAGGTGTAGTGAAAAATGTTCCGAAAAAGAAAACTTCATGTCCAGGTGACTTCAATGGTGAACTCTACCAAAACATTTAAGGAAGAAATGATACCAATCCTACACATACTCTTCAAAAAAATTCAAAAGGAGGGAATACTTCTGAAATCATTCTATTAAGCCAGCATTAGTATCATACTAATCAGACAAAAGACATTACAAAAACAGAAAACTAAAGACCAACATCGCTCATGGATATAGATGTAAGATTCTAAACAAAATTTGAACAAATCAATGATGGTTGAGAATTTTCCAGAACTGATGTATCAACCCACAGATCTAAGATGCCAAACAAAGCCTAAGTGGGAAAATACAATAAAATCCTCACGTATATACAACACAATGAAACTCAAAAAAAAAAAATTATAATTACAAAGAGAAAATCGTGAAAGCAGCCAGAGGAAAAAAAAATGGATTAGTCTAAATGGAGCAAAAGACTGACAGGTGACTTCTTCCCAGTAACAGTGGAAGTCAGAATACAAGGGAAAGTTATCTTTACCTTTCCAGATAACCATCCATTTCAAGGGAGAAAAAAAAAGTCCTTCAAAAAGAAGGCAAAATAACGACATTTCAAAAAACAAGAGCAAAGTAAATGTGCCACCAGGTGACCTGCACTAAAGTAAATTCTAAACATATACTCAGGCAAAAGAAAAATTACTCCAGATGGAAGCTCAAAGACACAGCAAGGAATGGAGAGTAAGAAAGGTGGCAAATTTGTGGGTAAATCTAAGTCAATATTAACTATATAAAACAACAGTAATAACTTACATTTAAAGAGATACAACATATGTGACAACCACATATATAAGCTGGGAGGAAAGTAAATGGGATTAAAGTGTTCTAAGGCTACTGCACTGCGCAGAAGTCTGGGCGAGTTTAGGCGTTGATAAGTCAGAGATGCATAATGAAATTTCTAGAACAACCATGAACAGAAATATATACAACATCCCATCTGATAGGTAGAAGAAAAAAAGGAGTAACAAAAACAAAACTATCAAAAAAAAAGTAGAAAAAAAGGAACATAGAACAGATAGGACACATACTAATAGTAACAACAATATGATATAAACGAGACACCTCTAAAAACTAAATATACACAAAGACTGAAAGTAAAACTGTGGAAAATGATATACGACACAAGTGCTAGCCAAACGAAAGCTGGTATAGCTACATTAATATCAAATAAAATTAATTTTAAGGCAAAATTTATTAGTGGAAATAAAGATAATTTTGTAATGATAAAGCTTCTTTCAATTAACCTGGAAAATATAACAATTATACATTTGTATCCCAATACAAAATAGAAAAAGAGAGAAATTGAAAGAATCACACAAACACATCTAAAATCATGCTAGCTACATTTTAACACAATTCTCTTAGTAATCAAGAGATATATACCAAAAACAAAAAAATCATCACTAAGGATACTGAAGACTTGAAAATTAATGAACATGACTAAAATGATTAATGAACATAAATAACTGTAGAACTCTTTTCAAGCATCCTAAAATTTATAAAAACCAGCCACTTATTATGTCATAAAGCAACTGTTAACACATTTCAAAGAATTTAAATCATATAGAGAATATATCATCTGATCACAATTCAATTATGTTAAAAATCAACAATAAAGGAAAACTTAAATATTCATGTTTGGAAATTATAGTTCCAAATAGTATCTATGGATCAAAGTAGTAATGATAATGAAATAAAAAACTTTGCAGTTAGTGAATAACTAAAATGCTAGATATTGAGACTTGTAGAATGGAGTTAGTAGTAGGCAGAATTCTAAGATGGTTCCTGAAATCCTTTCCAAGCCCCATATCCATACCTTTGTGTGGACAACGCCTGTTACATTTAGTAAGAGAATATGGCAAAAGTGAAAGGATTTTGCAGATGCAATTAAGGTGCCTATTTAGTTGACTCTGACTTAATCAAAAGGGAGACTATCCCAGGTGACTCTGACCTAACCAAGTGAACTCTTTCTGGCCTTCTCTGAAACAGATTCTAGTCAGAAGTTCTGCTGACCTTAAAAAGGCATGTCACGTTACACTGCTTATATAAAAGAGCAGCCCTAAGTAGCTGAGGACCTCAGTTCTACAGCTTCAAGGAACTAAGTTTTATCAACAATCTGATTAATTTAGAAGAGAACTGTGAGCTCCAGATGACAATGCAGTTCAGCTGACTTCACTGCAGCCTTGTGAGACCCTAAACAGAGGACCCAGTTAAGCCATGCTGAAACTCTTAACCCCAAGAAATTGTGAGATAATAAAATTATGCTGTTATAAACCAGTAAACCTGTGGTAATTTGTTACCCAGCATAGAAAACTAACGCAAGAGATAAAGTAGCATTATCATGGAAATCTATAGCTTTAAATATGTAAATCAGAATAGAAAGTTGAAAATTTGAAGAGCTAACCATCCACTACAATAATATGACATATTAACATAGAAAAGAAAAAGCTGAAATCAACAAAATAGAGAAAATATAACAAAGAAGAAAAACAAAAATATTGGCTTCTTTGTAAAGCAAAAACAATAAATATGATAAACCTCTAGCAAGACTAGTCAAGGAAAAAAGATACAAACAATCTCAGATGCAATATAAGCAATACAAAGGGTACCATCCTTACAGATCTGGCACATGTTAAGTGTACAGGAAAAACACAGTGCTAACAAATTTGAAAGTGTAGACGTAATGGAAAGATACATAGGAATATGCAATCTACCAATATTACACAACAGAAAAGCTGAACCTTATTAATAAAAAGAAATTGAATCAGCATCCCATAAAGAAGACACCAGGCCCCAAACACACTTCACCTATGATTTCTAATAAACATTCAAGGAAGAAGTAATGTAAATGTTATATACAAGCTCTCCCAGAAAACAAGAAAAGAAAGCCAGTTTCCAAATCACTTTATAAGGCTAAAACAGCCTTGATATTAAGCAAAAATCTTAAAACAAATCCAGCTATTAAAAGCAGTCAAACCACATCGTGGCCAGGTTTTTTTTACCCTAGGAAGAGAAGGTTGGCTTAATAATAGGAATCCAGTTCATGTAACTGACTACATTCAGAGAATAAAGGCAGAAAAATCATGATTTTTCTCAATAGAGCTTTTTGAAAATTCAAAATTTTATATCATTTATGATTATAAAAAACTCTTAGCAAATAAGAATAGGTGGGAAATTTCTAAATTTAATAAAAGTATCATAAAATGCTTAGAGAATACTTTGAAAGCATTCCCAGAGAACAGGAACAAAACAAGAATGCCTACACATGACCTATTCAACATTATACTGGAGGTCCCTGCAAATTTAATTAGGCAAGAAAAAGAAAAGGACAATAGAAAGACAAATTTGTCATTACTTATAGAAAGTCCAAAAGAATCTACAGATAAATTACTAAACTTTAAAAAAGATTTTTGCAAGGTTGAATAGAAAAATCAATTTAAAAAGTATCCCCACATACGAACAAAAAATTAAAAACTTAAAAGATATCATTTATGATAGCATCAAAAACAAAAAGATATAAGATTAACAAAATATATGTATGCAGTATTTCTATGAAGAAAATTTTAAGACTTTATTCAAAGATACAATGGAAAGACAACATTAACTCACCAAAAAATGCACTACTATAAAGAATTTGTTCACAGATACAATACAATCCCAATCAAAATCCTAACAATTTTGTTTTGTTGAAATTCTAAAATTTGTATAAAAGTGCAAAGAACTGATCACAGCCAAAATCTTGAAGAACAAGGTATAAAAAGACTTATTTTACCAAATATCAAGACTTTTAAAAGCTTTAGTAGTTAAGACAGTGTGTTACTGATATATGGGCAAATTGATCAATGGAATAAAAGAGAGCCCAGAAATAGACTCATGTAAATATGAGCATTTCACAGATGACAGAAATGGCATGTTCAACCAAATGAGAAAGATGACTTTTCAAGAAACAAGGGAAAAAAAAAGAACCTGGATACCTACCTCACCCACAAAACAAAATTCAATTTGAGTGGAAGACAAAACTACACATATTTTAGAACACAGTACAGAAGATATTCATGACCTAAGGAGAGGGAAGTATTTTTTAAATAAGACACAAAAACACCAAAAAATAGAGAAAAAGATGGATACATTTCACTAGGAGCAGAACGATAAATAACTGTGAGAAGATATTTGAAATAGTTATTACCAAATGATTAAGTAGTCTCAGTATATGAAGGAATTTTATTAACCAAAAAGTCAATAAAATTTTTAAAAATGGGCAAATGATTTAAACAGCAACTTTGCAAAAAGGGGAAATCCAAATGGTAAATAAATTTGTAGAAAAAATAATTAACCTCATGGAAATGCAAATTAAGCAACGAGGTACCATTACAAGCCTAGATTTTCCAAAGTTTTAGTCTAACAATACCAAATGTGGAACCTTTTAATGCTGCTGGTGAAAGCACTAATTACTTTGGAAAAGTTAGGTATTACCTAGTTAATTTGAAGATATACATATCCTATGACCCACCAATTCCATTGCTGGATGTATTCTCAAGAGATCATACACATGTACAACCTGACATATATACACAAGAATGTTCATAATGGCTTTGTTCAAAATAGCAAAAAAGGTAGAATGATCCAAATGCCTTCATGGAAGAAATACATAGTGGTGGTATGTTAATAATAAACACAGTAACAAAAACTATAGCCATATGCATCATCAGGGATGGCACTAAATGTTCAGCAAGTCACAAAAAAAGTGACATTTCTATTTATTAAATAGAATTTAATACTTTATTAAATTTTATTAATGTTTACTTCTACCTGTTTAGACTATTTTTAAGGAATGTAGACATCAGTACTACTCGAAGTGTGGTCCCATATTGATCCCATATTGATCAACTGTCATTGGCTGATGGAGAGATAAGCACATAAAGTGAGCAAACATGCATAAACATTTAGAAATGCTGATAGTAAACTGACAGTGCCAATGCATTCAAGTACATGATTTTGTATTTACAAAAGTATCATTTTATGATGGTTTAGAAATTATGTTTTAAAAAGTGTGACAACCAGTATACTTAATTGGTAAAAATACAAAGAAAAGATTATTTGCATTACAAGCAGAATATTGGTTCTCTCTCTTGGGGTGATTCAGGAAACTGACCAGGAAAGGATACATAGGAGCTTACTAAGGTATTGGCAATGTACATTTCTTAACCTGAGCATTGGGTATATGAGTATCTGTTTTATAACTTTATTTCTCATTAAATTGTACATGCTGAATGCTCTCTTCTATATGATAGATTTCACAAATGTAAAAGTGTAAAAATTTGTTATAGACAGTACAATACCAATTTCTTTAAACAATACACAAATATCTATAAAAATAACTGAAATACACCAAAACGAATGATGAAATTCTGGGTAGACTTTGTTCTTTGAACCATTCATTATTAATCAAATTCTTATGCTGTTGCCTTTTCAAAATAGTAGTGATCATTAGGAATCATCCAGCACTAAAAACAGAGTATGCCAGACCAGTGTCACTTTTGTATCTAAATTTCAGCAAGGAAGCTGATTCCTAATGATAAAAATAGGATAACATCCTTGTATTTTCCTCCAGAATTTGGAAACTCCTGAGATGGAGAAGTTACTCAGGAGATCAAACATCACCTTTATTGTTAGCAAAATTAAAGAATATGTCTTTCAATCTGTAGCAACAGGGACTGGTTAATACCCATATCCCTAAACTGGAGATTAAACCACTCAATTACTGGCATAGTCACATAACCAGGGCTTCTGCTGTGGGGAGATGATGTAAAACTCCCTAAGAAATAAGTCTTTGGACCTATATATTCTCTTCTTCCTCTAGCACCCTGTAAATATCTTAGACCCTTAGAGTCCACTCTGCTTCATTACCTGTGTAACATTAGTTGCTCATACAGCTATCCTATCTACACCATCTAGGTTATGTTCCTGGAGGTGAGACTACTGTCTTATTCATTTTTTTTTTTTTTTGAGACCGAGTCCCGCTCTGTTGCCCAGGCTGGACTGCAGTGGTGCAGTCTCGGCTCACTGCAACCTCTGCCTCCCGGGTTCAAGTGATTCTCCTGTCTCAGCCTCCCGAGTAGCTGAGATTACAGGAATGCGCCACCATGCCCCACTATTTTTTGTATTTTTAGTAGAGACAGGGTTTCACCATGTTGGCCAGGCTGGTCTTGAATGCCGGACCTCAGGTGATCTGCCCGCCTTGACCTCTAACAGTGCTGGGATTACAGGCATGAGCCACCGTGCCCAGCCAGTCTTATTCATTTTCGAAATTTCTAGCAGACTATTATGTGCATGACAGACATTCAAACACTATCATATTTGTGTCATGTATTGTTCATGTAAGAGCCACATGAATAGAAACCATAGTAAGGACTTTAGGAACTAAAGAAAGATCAAGAGACCAGAATTAGACTAATGATAAAAATATAATTACTAAGTGCTTGTATATGCTAGGCACTGATCCTCAGTGTTTAATAAACATCTCATTTCATTCTCATTATACCAGATGGCATCACCTTAGCAGCAGATGGAAAACAGAAATATATAGTTAATAAAATCCAAAGTCACACAACCATGACTTGAACTTGGCTGTGACTCCAAAGCCAAAGCACTGAACTGCTACTGAGCTGTAGTGAAATCAAGATAGCTAAGCCTTCAGAGATCTATCCTTAATTGGTTTTTTGTAAGGCAATATTGCATAGTGCTTGAGAAAGAGGGCTCTGGAGCCAGACTGCTATGGTTCATATTCAAACTCTGCTAATATACTGTGTGATATGAGATTTCTTAACCCCTCTATTCCTCAGTTTCCTCATCTGTAAAATGGAAATAATACCTTTATTTCATAGAATCATTGCAAAGATTAAATGTGTCAATACAAATACTCAGCACAGCACCTAGCACAAGGTAGGCATTCAATAAATGTTAACCTATATTTATAGTTATTTCCCTGTTGTTTTTGGAGAATTATGCCCAGGAACCAGACTGTCCCCTCTGACTACATTATTAAGAAAAACACTGATACAACTGGGTAATATACAAACTAAAGGTAATTTACTTAAAAATTAAGACCTCTTTAGAGCAACTGATGATTTAACTGCTTTTCACCTACACAAACTTTCAGTAAGGAATGCAAAGAGAAGGTTACAAATTAGGCAGTACAGACGTGGTATTTCTCTTTCACCTTCTTTCTTGGACAGTCCCTCAGATATTTTAATAAAATACCAAATAAATAATCACTCTCATTACAGAACTGTACTCTAGGCTTTAAGTTTATAAGGAGCTTTAGAAAGATTTAAATCCTGACAGAAACAAGTAAAGTCAGTTTGTTGAAAGATTTTTTTTTATTCTACAAGAAATTGATAGGTGCAATCCTGTTAAAGAAATTTCTTTTCAAAAGTAAATGAAAAACCCCTCTGAATTATTTATATATTAATTTTTTGAAAACAATAGTCATAGGGCCTGCTTTGTCCTATTTAACTATAAATGTTACACATTTACAAACTGAAACAAAAATGCATAGTACAGAGATTTAAATGAAATCTTCGAAAGAATAAATTTGCTTTTCAGTCCACTGTATTTTCAAAATTGATTATCACCAAGCTTGGATGAAAGCTGTGAACCACAAACCATTTGTTTATTTAATAGAAAAAAGAATGTGTAGATTATTAGCAAAGTAATGCCTTAAAATGTATCTTCACACAGTTGAAATTTTAGTATAAACTTGTATATCAAGTTGCTTTCCATTATTTATTCTACTTTAAAAATATATACAACTATGATGTTCAAATATGTATTCTGAGCCATTATGTTCAAACATAAATATCTGGGAAATTCAAACTGCTGCAACAAGTTAGGAAAGGATTAAGGAAAAATGATGAGCTACAAATTATGTAGTTGGAGGAAGAAAAAAATGTTACTTAGCATTTATGTCTGGATAGGTATGTATTTTCTAATTTACATACACATATCCAGTTGAGTATAGACAACCATCAAAATGTAACCAGTTACACAGAGACTAGACTAAGCCAACACTATTTTCTATAACAGGTAACAGTAGTGATTTCAAAAATTTTAATATCTCAATAGTTTCACCAAAAATTATTTGTGGTAATATGCTAATATTCTGAAGTTTTGAGAGGCACAGATTAAATGAGTGCACTATCTATGCCAAACTCAGCAAGTCTATAACTTACTGTTTAATTATGGTGTAAGTATCTGAACACAATAGCATAGAGAGGCAACCAGAAAAGGACATTTTACATATGCCCATGCTGATCAATCACATTAACATCAGTGCTTACAACTTTCAAATTTAAATATAAAGGGACACTTGCAAAGCCGCAAGACAACTTCAGTACAAAAACCCAAATTGATAAATCTGCAAAATCTTAAACTTCTTAATCCATTGATAAATATTAAGGAGTAGCTGGTCTTCAAACACCGTAAAAAGTTAAAGGGTTGAAAACATGTTCACCCTTTGCTATACGGTGGCATCTGAAATTATCAGGCATGACAACTTGAATTTGTTTTGCTCTTCCATGCAAGAAGTATATATATGCATTTTAAGATAGCTTAGAATTAAGAGTTAACTTCTAGTCAGTATTGGTAAGTGACTAGGATGGCTATCCAATCAGTATTCTATGGTATCACATACCAAAGTCTCTACAATATGACAGTCTTGTCTTGTTCAGAACTCATCACTTTTGGGTAGGGAAGAGAGGCACGGCAGAAAAGCAGTTGCAATTAAAAAAAAAAAAAACAGCAGAAAAGCTTTAAATATCTATATAATTTTGAATCATCTTGTATTCTATCAGATAATACTTGGAACAAAATCTTATTTCAATCAGCTCAATCTATACAAGTTATAAGATGCAACACAATGTAAACCCTATAGTCTACAGAATATGCACTATTTAATACTCATTAACTAAAGAAAAGTCAATGAAGATTACCAAATAGGAAACACAAAGCATTCTAAATTTTTAAATCACTTTAGGGTAGCTAACCAGAAACTACAGAAATAAAATATGCACGACAAAAAAAAGAAAAAAGGAGAGCAACTAACTTTTCAGTGCATCACATCCATGAGGATAAAATGTATGGCACTTATGTGTGAGACTAATACTAACAATTGTTAATTTAAGCTGGGAATGACTCACAGACATTAAAGTCATATAAGGGCAAGAGCTAGCCAATTAAAATTTTAAAATTAAACATATCACCTTTTTTCCTTGTAAAAGCACTGAAAATGTAATGAGTACGTGTAACTCACTAAAAATTTTCCTATTTCATTTGCCCCCATTGTAGTGTCTTAAATTATTCTGTAATATTTCTACCTGTTACAAAGTCTGATATTTAAGGCCTGTATAAACTCTTTTACACTACTGAAACTACTGTTTTCTGTGTACTACAAATGCCTTTATGAAAAAATAGCATAGCTGGTTTAAATTATAAACCCCAAAAACAAAAGTCTGACATTTTCTAAGCTAGTGAGAAATCAATTTTACCATGATATATCAATATTAACTAACATTCCTATGGTAGATTTATTTTTCCTCCATAAAACTGAACAGTGCAGAATAGGGCTTGGGCTACAGTTCATCACATTTGGTTTTCTTATTAACAATTAAAAGGCAATTTTCTTCCTCCCTAACACATGTAGACATTAAATCTAAAGTTTTTAAAATATCAACTACCTATAAGAAAAGTAGTCTTAAATGGTTAAAAGGAATCAAAATACCAAAGTTTAGTGTGCGAAGAGTAGATATAAACAACTGCGAACAGAGTAGATCATTGGTGTTGAATATTTAACATGAATAGCCCAAAATGAGTTCCAAAGTTTTTCCACCTTTACAAATAAAAAAAGGTGTCCTTTCCACAGTTTGGGAATATGCATTGTACATCCCTCCCAACAAGTGTATGAGTAAGGATTTAAAAATGTTGCCAATATTAAGTTCTTCAGTACCTAAAATTAATTAGAGGACAGCAATATTACAGTGGCAATGGTGCATCAATTCTCAAAACGTAGTTATGATCCAACACGAGTTGTGGTGGTTCTTTTATCTGAGAAAAAGCTTTTCAAAAGAAATACCTGCCCTATGCTAACCACCAGAAGAATGAGGGCTTCTCCTACTGACCAATAGGCCACTCTTGTATTTAGATCCTCTGCTCGGCTTCGGCCTTGAGCTTCTCTTAAACGGAAATGAGTCTGATAATCGATGACAGACTTCAGAGCTTCGTGAATTGAAACACAGGCAGATTCCATCTGCAGAGAAATATTTTCAGTCAGTATGTGTGATACTTTCTGTAGACTTCATCTATCATATTCAGCTTTTCTTTCAATTTGATCTCAATTCCTCTTTTGACTAACATGCTACTAATCTGGCATTCATTCATACATTTATGCCAGTTGTCTTTGCAATGAAACCCCCCTGCTCATTTTCACTGGGACAACTGTTAAGGCTAGAGATCTCATGAAGCAGCTGTTTTCCCCAACTGAGATGTCACAGCCATGGCATCAGTAAGGGGGCAGATGGAACACTAAGCTAACAATAGCAGAAATACTTATCAGCTAAGGTTGGTGACTACAGAATTTCCAGCCCAAGTTCTTTAAAGAAGAATTAGGAAGAAAATGGCAGTGAGCTCACCAATGAGAATATAAGTCAAAGCCCAAATATCTATAAAAATAAACAAAGCACAGTACAAAAAAAAGCTGAATTAGTCAAAGTTCTTTGAACTATGTTTAAAACAGCCACAACATCAAAATCGTTAGTAACTTTTAAATCTGAAAGGGATCTATCAGAATAGGAATGACTTTGTTTTTTTACATTTATCTATTTGTTAAATCAGCCTTTTCCCTCATGCCAGTCAACTAAACCAATATGTATGTTCCCAACAGGATGCAAGTTTCAGTTTCACTGTGTAATCAATTTGTGAGCCTTTAGCTGATAACAGCTTGCCTTTTTATACATTTATTATACCATCTGTTTTGAGAAAGGTTAAATGACTAGTTTTTTTGTATACCATGGTTTAATATTTTTCTACTGCTGCAAACTTAATCCTAGTGGTAAAATATATGTTTTATTATTATTTTATGCAACAAGCCTGTATTAAGAGTTTTAAAAACAAATCTAAGTTTGTTTTAATTTTAGTTAAGGAATATAGAAATTAGAAAATAATGTTTAATGAAGTTCTGCCAAAGTAAGTATGAAAGGAATAATTATTAAAATATTCTATTAAAAGTGCTTTTAAAAAATGTAAGAAATTATGAGGCCAACAAACTGCATTAACCTATTAGAAGAGTCAAATATTTTTGTTGTCCTTGCTTTGTTCAGGCCCCTAGGAATGAAAAATTTGCAAAACTGTGCTAAAATGATTCCTAATTTGTGATGAGGAGCTAGAGAGAGATGTGCTTCTAGGATTTGCTTTCTCTATATTCTCAAAATGGCATATTGCCCAAGGATTCTTCACCTGGAAAGTACACATAAAGGCAAGGAGTTGACCCAAATGCAGAATATTTAGGAACTCCTTCAAGCCTGTCCATGGGGTATGGGTTAAGAACTACTGGATTAGAGAAAATCACAGAAATTAAATTACATGCATTCTACAACTTTTGAGATGTGACTTTTTTTGAGATGGAGTCTCGCTCTGTCACCCAGGCTGGAGTGCAATGGCGCAATCTTGGCTCACTGCAACTTCCACCTCCTAGGTTCAAGTGATTCTCCTGCCTCAGCCTCCTGAGTAGCTGGGATTACAGGTGCACTCCACCACATCCAGCTAATTTTTGTATTTTTAGTAGAAACAGGGTTTTACCATGTTGGTCAGGCTGGTCTCTAACTACTGACCTCATGATCCGCCCGCCTCGGCCTCCCAAAGTGCTGGGATTACAGGCGTAAGCCACCACGCCTGGCCTGAGATGTGATTTTTAAAAAACTTTTACAGTGAAAACTTCCATATATATTCAAAAGTATTGAGAAAAGTACAATGAACCCCCACCATGTCAACAAAGATTAACACATGGCTAATCTTGCTTCATCTACATTCCCCGATTATTTTTAAAGCAAATCTCAGATATTTTATCACTTCAGCTACAAATACTTTTATACTTTATTTCTAAAAGATAACACTTTTTAAAAACATAACCCCAATAGTATTATAACACATGAAATAATCTAAAACAGTTCCTTAAAGTCAGGAAATAGTGTTCAAATTTCCCCTATTGTTTCAAAGTTGGTTTTCAAGTAAGAATCCAAGTAAGGTTAACACAATCATTTGGCTGATGTAAGTGTTCATTAATCTTTAGGCTTTCTTCCTTGTTTTTCCTTTTTTCCTTGCCATCAACCCCTATCCTGTGGCATTTCCCACGTCCTGGATTTTGTTGATTGCATTCCCATGTTATTCCTTTATCCTCTGTATTTCTTGTAAACTGGCATTTGGAGCTAGAGACTTGATGGAATTCAGGTGCAATGTTCTGGGTGGGAACGTCTAGTAGTCAATGTTGTGTACTTCTTACTGCATATTATGATAAGGCACATAATGTCTAGTTATCTCTCCATTTGTGAATGATCATTCAGTCTGATCCACTCAGTATAAAGTTCCCCATCAGCCTTTTACTTAATGGTTTTAGTAGTGACTGCTGATCATTGCCTACTCTAAATCCATCATTTTATCAACAGGTAAAAAATGGTGAGAGTAAAACTTTTATCATTTATTCTGCATTACTAGCTGGTAATTTTGTTCTGAACTTACTAGCTGGTAATTTTGTTCTGAACTTACTAGCTGGTAATTTTCAATTTTAAAGTATGAAAAGTTGCTTTATAATGATCCCTATTATATGATACATTATCTTTTTGAAAGTAGAAAAATAAGACTGAGAAAAATAAAAAATGTAGCATGGATAAAGACGGGTATGATACTAACTGCTTTATTACCATTCATTTCTTATATTTACCCACTTAGGTTTTTAGAACAAGCCACCTTATACAAGTTAAAATTCATGAAGGAATGGATACAGGTTAAGGTAATGGCCCCAAAGAAATATCATTTTACAAAGCAAGGTGTCCTTCACACAAGACCTTAAAATAAAGAGAACATTTCTAAAATTAAGAGTATTTGAATATATCTTGCTAATTCTAACAACAGGTTTATGAATTAAGGCTTTTACACATTCTTAAAGCTGTTTCTTTCACCATGACTTTGGCCAAGAGACTAAATAGAACCTGGGAACACTAAAATACCAGTTTAAGATGTTAACGAATAAGTGGTAAATAATTCTTTTTCATGCCTAATTGAGTAACTTTTAGATACGATCTAAGCCCATACAGGTTGAGTATCCCTTATCCAAAATGTTTGGGACCAGAAGTGCTTTGAATTTCAGATTTTTTCTGATTTTGGAATGTCTACATATACATAATGAGATATCTTTGTGATGGAACCCAGGTCTAGACATGAAATTCATTTATGTTTCATATATGCCTTATACATGCAGCCTTAAGGCAACTGTATATGATATTTTCAATGATGTGTCATGAGATCAGATGTAACAATCTTCCACTTGTGTCATCAGGTTGGAGCTAAAAAAAAGTTTTGGATTTTGAAGCATTTTGGATTTTGCTGTATTTGAACTAGAAATAAAACAGTCCTCATCACCTAAGCAATAGTTGTTCACTGGGTTTAAATTTTTTACGCTTTCTCTATGTCTCCAAAATAAATCTGAATTTAGCTTTTGTAACTATTTTTGTGAGATGACTTACCATTAATCTTCAATATTTCACCTAAAGTTACAGCACAAGTTACTGTTACAGCAGCTTGAGTAACACTAAGTAATGGTATAAAGGCTATGATATGGTATTATTTATCTACTAATTTAGGCATCATTTTGCTTCCAGTTACACCAGCCTCCTGAGTATGACAGCAACATTCCTTCAGGGATTAAAGAAAATGCTTCAGAAGATTGGAACACTGCTCAGCCTTCCCAACCTTCTTTTACCACTGATGTTTCTACCTTAGTGATCTTCCTCCTTATTTTAATGCTTCTTTCTCTTTACAATTAAAAGTTCATAAAATCTTTCAACATTATTTTTCACTACAAAAGTCTGAAGTTCTCTGTGAAATGCCTACATGTAAGAATTAAGATAGATTTTAAAGACTGTCAGTCTCAAAATTCCATGCTCATCAGTTAGTGCATGATATTAAATTATGCTTTTTTCCTCCTTTTAAATATACCAACATTATATTGCTGATTTTTTTATTTACCTGGGTAAGAGCACTGACTCGGTTCTCACTAGGAAACAAAGGTGGGTCTTCTCCAACTTGAAAATCAAAATATACAGTTTTATGTGTGAAAGTAGAAAATTCATTGCTGAAGCAAAATTTGTATGTCCCATTTTTGGAGGCTGTGAAGGTAAAACTATCATACTGTTTCTTCATCTCTTTGTATAACACTTTACCATCAGGATCTTCTAATCGACAATCTACATCATAGTGACCACCAGTAATCACCTGTAAGAGATTAAAAAAGAAAAATCACTGTGAAAAGTGTGAAAAATTAATCAGATTTAATCAGATTTCCTATTAAAATGGCAATAAGGTGATGGGCAAAGGACTTTTACTATCTTTTTAAATTTTCACCAGTGGATGGAACTTGGGAGATTTTACTTCAACTAAACTTTACAGAAACTGAACAAGTATTCTCCAACTTTTATTCACTTTGAACTAGCCAGACAACTGTGCTAATTAATGGAGATCTATTAGATCACTTAATTCTCCCAGCAACCCTACAATATACTTTTTTCCTTCCATTTGACAGACTGAAAAACTGATGTTAAATAAGCGAACTATTCAAGACTGTTCATCTAAATTAAGTGGGAAAGGCAGAACTTGAACTCCAAAGTCATATTCTTAACCTCTAAGCTTACTGCCTGCAATATTTTCCTTCTGAAAATTTTCTAACCCACTTTCCTATTAGCATCATCCAAGCACACACACAGTGAAGTAACAAGGTAGGCCAATCCTTAGGATTACACCCCATTCATACTTCTATCATAGAACTTAAGCTCATTTTACTGCCAAATTACAAATAGATTACATTTATTAAGTTCTTTTATAGTCAGTTATATGGAATTTGATATACATTTTGTTTTGAACTACACTATAAGTTGAGTAACGGAGTGGGCTATTCTAAAAGTATATAATCATTTACAACCTTGTTTTGAGGAGAGACACGTAACTGATTAAATAAAATATTGTTGAAACTCTTGTGATTAAAGCAAAAACAAAATAACATGAAGGACAACAAGTCTGTTTATCTAGAAAGCCAGTACTTAATGGCAAACATACTGAATGGAAGCCTGGAGGTAGGTGATATGAGTCTGAACAGAACTGTGGAACTACTTTCCACGGCTTATGCTTAATCAGTTACAATTCCAGCCATTTGGGTTGTACAGAGGAGGGAGAGATTTTTCCTGCGGTAACTGGATAAGTATTGTAAGAGACAAAAGGGGGAAAGGATTAAAGAGAAAGGCTTCCTTACATGAGAAAGAACTGAGTAGGAAGAAAGAGGGAGTGCAGAGAGGTGAACAGAGTGAACGTATACACATTGGGTTGAATGAAGGGTTCCCAAACCACCATGTGATTGGGGAGCACAAGATTGTTATTTTCAACCTTGAACTCTCTTGGTTAGCATCCTGACATTCTAGGTCAAACTTTGGATTTAAAAGAAGGATCTGTGTGACCTTTTCTCACTTGAGAGAAGATGACTAATGAACTATGTTACATATCATTTTGATAATCTAATGAAAATAATTATGCACTTATGAAACTGTAAAAATATGTAAATGTTAATATACAGATAAAATGTTTTGATATAAAAGTGTCTTATCAATTGGGGATTTACCAATCCCCATCCTCACCAAAAAGTCAGTAACTTTTTCTCCAGGTGAAAATAACTTCATTTTGCTATACTGAATTATACGTATTTGACCATTGTATTCTGAATAATCAAACACATACATACAAACCGAATAGCACCAGAACTTATCATCACCCCACTTCTCTTCCATCAAACTTAAAACAAGTAATCTCACTTAACAGTATCCCTTTAAACCTGTCCAATCACCTACTATTGAAACTGAGGATCATCCCAAACTAACTGTCCCTATCTATCCATATGATCACACAAATCTCTCAATCTTTTTGCCCCTCTCAAATTCATCGCATTCCGAAACCACAATCCAGACAGGACTATTGCCACAACTTCCTAAAAGGTCTTCCCACTACCCAATATCTTCTCCCTCGAACTCAGGGTTTCTCAACCTCGCATTATTCCCATTTTGAACTGAATAATTCTGTGTTGTAGGAGGCTGTATGGTCCTGTGCACTGTGACACGTTAAACAGCATACCTGGTCTCTAACTACTAGATGCAGGTAGCTGCCCTTCTCCTAAAATGATGCCGAATGTCTCCTGGGAAGAAGGGGTGCCCATCTCCCCATCTTTCCTCATTCCCCATTGAGCAATCACTTAAAAACTTTTTGATAATTACCTGTGGCCTGCAGACAAATCTAAACCTCTTAACAATGGTATACTATTCACATGTTCTTCCTCCCAGGTAGCTTCAGAACCTCTTTTATTCACACCCTTACTCGTTCTATGTTCCTAAAATACCAGACTACCAGAAATTCTCTGAACAAGTCTTTGCTTTACATCTGCACTGACAGTGCAGTTCAACAGGGTTTGCTAAAGAATCACACGGATCAAAATGACAGTGTTTGCAAATCTACAGTTTATTACTGTAGGTTATGTTATAAATCTACAGTTTATAACATTATACGACTATATATGTCTATGTAAGCTCTCTGAGGTCAGAGTCAGTCTCTGGGAGGTAGTATAATAAAGTGGCTAAGAATTTAACTTGGGACTGAAAAGAGCCCCAAAAGGAAAAGAATATAAAACATTACAGCCAAAGGCTGCCTCACAGCAAGAGATCTGAAAAGGTCAGGTGTGGGCTCCTTCGGCTTCCCTTTGTTAGGTGTGTGGCCAGACATATACTCTCTCAGATCTGGAACCACCCAAGTGTGCAAAGAAAACACCCTGGAACCAAGCAACCCAAAATAGAGTCCTGATTGCATTTTTAAATATTTTGCTGGTCACATAGGCATATTCCTGCTACGCAGCTAGTCTCAACAACAGAGCTCTGGGTTGGGGGTGTGGTCTCATGAAGACCAGGAGCAAATCATCAATCTCATTGTTACCAATAAATAATGTTGACAAACTGGTACAAACTGCCCCCAAAGCCCTTGGACTCACAGTCACAAAGCTATTATAATAGCTTCATATTAAAGCTAATAATAATAGTTTTGTGACTATTAATAAATATAACTATAGTCACAAAACTATTATTATTCAGTGTATTTTCAATGCCATGCACAAATGTTAGCAATATAGCTCAGGCTAATTTCAGGCCTGCTGGAACTGTCATGAACATATCTGCCTGGGGCCCCTTCTTCTCTCCTCTGCCGCCTTGTAGAGCAACGGCTACTTATCTTGCAGACTCACCTCTAACATCAGCTCCTCAGCTAAATGTCCCCTGATGATCCTTCTGTCTCCTGCCAGCACTATACCTAGTGTGTACCTTTATTGTCACATTTAACATTTTATGACTATATATGTCTGTGTAAGCTCTCTGAGATCAAAGTCAGTCTCTGGGAGGTAGTATAATAAAGTGGTTAAGAATTTAACTTGGGACTGCGTTACTGATTTAGCTACTTCTACGTTTTATGCCCTTGGTTCTTAGCCTATCTAAACCTCAGTTTCATCAGTAAAAAAGGAGTAAGAGCTATAACAATTTCATATCGGGCTTTCCTGAGAACATACCTGAAATGCTTAACATACTGTCTACACATAACAGATGCTAATTTGTTAGCCATTGTAGTAGTATCCTTAGCACTAATCACTGAGTCTGCATACACAAAAATCCAGGAAATGTTTATTAAATTCAAACAAAGAAAATGTCGGCTTATACTTTTTATCACAATTCCTGCTATCTTCTTTTCTGTCCCCTGGTGCTAATCCATGAAGGTAAGTAAGCCTAAGGGTCATCCTTGGCCTCCCCTCCCTGACCCACTATAGCCAAATCATTACCAAGTCCTGTTGATTCTACCTACTACCTTCTCTCCAATCCTTTCACTTTTCATTTACCCCACTGCTATCACTCTACTCTAAGCCACTATCATTTCTTGTCTAGACCACCATAATAACCTCCTAATCAGCCTTCCACATCCGCTCTGCAACATCTTACCATCACTTCTCTACCTGCACAAGTTATTATTAATGCAGCTACCAAGAATATTCTCGTCATATCACTGAACTGCTTATAACCCTCTGATGGCTTCCTACACTTTCAGGAAAAACAAATCCTTAACATGGTCAGCAAGACACTATCTGGCCTGCCCCTGCTGACCCCCTTGCTCTGGCTCCTTATTCCCAACCATATTGGACCTCTCTCTATGGCCCTGAAATTCTCAGTGTTCACTACTACCACAGGCTATTCCCCCTCCTCCCTTACCAAGGTGTTTATAGCTCATCCTTTAAAGTTCAGCTTAAAATAATTTTCCAAAGGAAGTCTTCCTTCATGGATCCTACTTACTGCTCTTAAGGCACAGTTCTGATGAATGAGCAGATACCAGTTAAGAAAAGCAGGGTGAGAGGGGAATCATGAATGATGGCAGTGACCCTATCTGTTTCGACCACTTCTGTACCACTGGCACCTAGTATTCAATAGCTACTCAAATGTTAAATGCGCCTACCAACCAAAATTGAAGCTCAGTAAAGACTGTTCTAACCAACCGAATAAACCACATTCTGTTAAAGTTTCTTTTTTATATAATCCCAAATATCAGAAGGGGCCTCTCATTTATCACAGCAATTCTTTCTACAACTCCCTTGGCAAATGGCCGTTCAACCTGTAATGGAGCTCTTCCAATGACAAGGACCGTATTAACCAACAGTCCTAATATTGGTAAAACTGAAAAGCAATGAAGTTAGACATTGGCAGCACTCCAAATCCAATTAAATTGGAGGTGTGGATTAGAGAGTAGAGGGTTGACACTGGGTACTACAGAGTATAAATGAT
Organism: Homo sapiens; assembly: GCF_000001405.40. Classification (NCBI taxonomy): domain Eukaryota; kingdom Metazoa; phylum Chordata; class Mammalia; order Primates; family Hominidae; genus Homo; species Homo sapiens. The sequence goes on from NC_000005.10 coordinate 115,625,309, forward strand.
TTTCTTTAAGGGAATCTTTTAAGGAAGAAAGTTCAATAGGCCTTAAAAATGAGATGGAAAGAAATGCTAAAGGGAGCATTTCTGGAATTCATATATTTTAACACCCGGTCTTAACATCTCTCACCCAAGGTTTATTAGAGGAAAGTCAAATGCTGGGCATCAGCTACCTAGAAGCGATTTTTGAATTAGCCTAAGAACGGGGAAACACGGACAGGAAAGTGCCATCCCTCAAGTTACACCCCCAATCCTGGAGCCGCGAGTTGGGGCCCAGGGACTGCTAGGCCCCTGATACCTGGAACTCCAGGGTGCACTTGGTGCCCTGAGCGATGTCCTCGTAGAAGCACTGCTTGGCGTTGTCAGGAAGCTCGAAGGTGATCTCAGAGGCGCCGCCGGGTCCAGGCACCAGTAGCAGCAGTGCGAGCAGCCTGCACCCCCAACGGCCCGCGACGGCCGCCCAGCGCTGCGCGGACCCCGGCCGCGGCATCCCGAGAAGGCGGCGGCGGCCTCAACCGAGCTGCGAGACGCAGGGTCAGGTCTGCGCGGACTCACCGCGCGCGGCAGGCCTCAGCGCAGGCCACCCCGCAAAGATACACAGCAGAGCAGGTTCACGCCTGTGGGAGATTCGGGATCAGAGCGACCCTCCGGCTTCCTGTGAGGGGCGCAGACGGGCGGACCTGGGGAGGTAAAAGAGAAGCGGAAAAGGCCTGAGAGGGTCGGAAGTGGGGATTAGCCTTTCGGGGGGTGAAGGGGCGGAGCCTGAGACACCGGCTCCCGTGACCCGGATGCGTTCTTCTCCGGGAACACGCGTTGGAGTGCGTACGTGGAAGCCCGCGAGGCGTTGGCTCTGCCTCCGTTGCAGCCTGGGACGAGGGGCGGGGCCAGAGTCGTGGGCGGAGAGGGGCGAGACCAGGAAACGGGGCGTGGCGGCCGCCGTGGTTACAGGCGGTTGGCGAGGGTAATTACGCTCCAATCACTGGCTTTTTTTGTTGTTTTTTTTTTTTTTTTTTTGAGACAAGAGTCTCGCCCTGTCACCCAGGCTGGAGTGCAGTGGCGCGATCTGCGCTCACTGCAACCTCCGCTGGGAACTTAGCGCTGGGGAGCATCTAGGGAGTGGTAAAGGGCTCATTTTGCCCTAGGGTGCTAATCGTTGGTGGTAGAGCGCTTTGCAATTTGCGGAGTTTTCTCATAAGTAATAATAAATATTTGGGGGAAGCAGCTGGGCAAGGAGCGCGAATTCTAAGAGCAGACTGCAGGAGTGCTTAATCCCTGCTTTGCCACGTACTGGCTGTGTGACGTCCGGCCACTTGCTTAAATTCTCTGCCTCAGTGTGTATCTGTAGAATGGAGATAATAGCACCTACCATAGAGAATTATTACAAAGTACCAATATTTGGAAAAAGTACCTAGAAGTGGTTGGTACATAGCAAGCACTAGATGAACTTTTGTTAAATTAAACGTCACAGTGCAATCAATACATTACATACCACAAGATAGGCAAAAATTTTAAGTGTAACAATAACAGATATTGGTCGACTTATAGAGCCACAAAACCTCTTATACACTGCTAGTGAAAAAGTAAATTGGTTAATCAAGTTGGAAAACAATGTGCCATTATCTAATAAAGTAGAATATATGTATACACACACAGAACACACACACCTATATACAGTGTGTGTGTGTGTGTGTGTATATATGTATATATATATATATATATATAGCCTGGAATATGTAGCCACAGCCTGGAAATTCCATTTTACATATATTTATGGAGTATATGCTTTAGAGCAGTGGTTCTCAAGTGTTGCTCTGAAGTCCCCAGAAGCCTCCTGAAACCCTTTCAGAGGGTATGTAATGATCTGTATGAAGCTGGATTTTCATTATATATTTCAACCAAAACAGCATAACAGATTGAATATCAAAGGAAATGAGCACCCAGCTTCTTCCTTAAATCTAGATATGAAAGATTTACAAAAATAAGGTCACTCTTCTTGCTAAATTTTTATTTCGAAAATATTTTTATTAAAAGATGTGTTATTTATGTAAATGTGTGCAGTGAGTTGAATTGTGTCCCCCTAAAAAATACATGTCCAAGTTTCAACCCCTCCACCCCTGTGAATATGATTTTATTTGGAAATAGGGCTTTTGCAGATGTAATTAAGTTAAGGCCCTCAAGATGAGGTCATCCTGGGACTTAGGGTGGGCCCTAAATCTAAAGACTGTTATCCTTATGGTATGGTTTGGCTGTGTCTCCACCCAAATATCATCTTGAATTGTAGTTCCCATAATCCCCACATGTCACGGAAGGGACCCGGTGGGAGGTAATTGAATCATGGAGGCAGATTTTTCCCATGCTGTTCTGGTGATAGTGAATAAGTCTCATGAGATCTGATGGTTTTATTGTAGTTCCCATAATCCCCATGTGTCATGGGAGGGACCTGGTGGGAGGTAACTGAATCATGGGGGCGGGTTCTTCCCATTCATTTATGTTTCCCATAAAGCAGTATTGTGTTTATAATGCATTATTTGTGTTTATAAACATATAATGCACGTATAATGCATTATTCATGTTTATAAACATTGTTCATGTTTTATAACAGGTAGTTAGCTACATGAGATCTCATGGTTTTATAAAGGGCAGTTCCCCTGAACACGCTCTCTTGCCTGCTGCCATGTAAGACGTGCTTTTGCTGTGCCTTCACCCTCCACCATGATTGTGAGGCCTCCCCAGCCATGTGGAACTATCAATTCATTTAACTTATTCTTTGTAAATTACCCTGTCTTGGGTATTTCTTCATAGCAGTATGAACATGGACTAACACACCTTATAAGAGGAGGGAAGATTTGAGATGCACAGACACAAAGATACAGGGGCAGGGTTGGGGGAGGGGAATGGCATACTGAAGACAAAGATACAGATTGGAATGAATGATATGTTCACAAGTCAAGGAACACCAAGGATTGCCCATCGCTATGGGAAACTAGGAGAATGGCTTGGAACACCTTCTCCTTCAGAGCTTCCAGAAGGTATCAACCTTGGCAATACCTTACTTGCAGACTTCTTGACTCTCCAGCTCTGAGAGAAAAAATTTCTGTTGTTTCAAGCCATCACATTTGTAGTAATTTGTGACGGGATCCTCAGGAAACTAATGCAATATGTAATGGGTTTATTGTTTATTTTAAATGAATTATCAAATATTTTTAAATATCTCAGATCTCAATAACCTTTATTGGACATTTTTTAATTTGAAAATTTTTATTTAATCTTTAATTTTTACGATTCTGAGGCCCAGCTGAGCATGGTGGCTCACGCCTGTAATCCTAGCACTTTAGGAGGCTGAGGTGGGAAGATTGCTTGAGCCCAGGCATTCAAGACCAGCCCGGGAAACATAGTGATACTTCCTCTATATAATAAGTTTTTAAAAATTAGCTGGGCATGGTGGCATATGCCTATAGTCCCAGCTACTTGGAAGTCTAAGGCAGGAGGATTGCCTGAGCCTAGGAGTTTGAGGCTGTAGTGAGCTATGATCATACCACTGCACTTCAGCCTCAGTGATAAAACCAGATCCTGTCTTTAAAAAAACAAAACAAAACAAAAAAAACCTCTGAGGCTAAAAAGTACGAGAATCACTACTTTCAAGAAGCTCATGCACAGGTATACCAGAATATGTATACAAGACTACTAAAATCCAAAGCCTGGTAACAGTCTCAACTGGAAATACCCCAGATATCTATAAATGTAGGTGTATGTAGGTATATTAAAAAAATGGGACATAACATAACAATGAGAGTGAACATTATTATACCTACACAGCACAACATTGGAGAATCTTACAAGCATGATGCAAAAGAAAGTGACAGAAAAAAATCAGCATATAAAGGCTGACAACAAGCAAAACTGAACAATCCCATTTTCCCTAATACATGGTAAAGCTATACAAAAAAGCAAGAGAATGATTATCTCAATAGTCAGGAGAGCAGGGAAGGATGGAGTAATAAGTGAGAGGCAACACAGGGTGGGGAAAGTGGGGGGCTTCCTTGGTGCTGGTGATGCTCTTTTTCTTGACATAGGTGGTGGTTACATGTATGGTCACTTTATATTTACTTATTATTATATGGTTTATGTACTTTTCTGCATGTATATTTCACAGCAAAAGAAGGAAAATTTAATATACTGGATGCATCAGTAGTTAGTCATTATTGTGAGAAAAACACATCAAAACTTGTAGCTTAAAACAATCTGCATTCATAGTTTACCGCACATTAGAGCCCAGGTCAGCTGAGTGGGTCTGGTCTCACCTGGGCTCACTCATCCTCAGAGGTCCACTGGGGATTGGACAGACAGCTTTGCTGATCTTGGCTGGCTTCATTCATATTTTGGCAGGACAACTGGCTATAGGCTGGTCTAGGATGGTGTTGGCTGGGAAAACTGAACTCTTCTCCATGTAGGAGTCTCTCATCCTCTAATGAGCTAGCCTGGGATTAGTCATATGATGATCCCAGGATTTCAGGAGAGAGAATGTGAAAGGCCCCTTGAGGGCTAGGCCCAGTACTAGGCCCTGTCACTTCTGTCTCATTCTATTAATGAGAAGTCACAGAAGTCACAAGGTCAGTCCAGATTCCAGGGATAAGGAAGAGTTATGTCTGTCAGGGTTTCACTAGAGAAGCAGAATCACTGGAAGGCTAAATAAATAAATAAACAAGTACATAGATATCTTTGTATATATGTCTATTATATAGCTGATTAAACAGTGTGTGGGAGGCTGTTGCTTCTGTGTCTGGTGCTAGAGCCTGAAGTCTGAAGATAATGACCATAGTCAAGAAGGAAAGACGGATGTGAAGTGGAAAAATAAAGAGAAACTAGAGCCTGTGAGAATGGGCCACAAGTACAGCCATTCCTCACTGCCTCCAAGCCCCAACCTTCAGTGATAGGTGAACTGCAGGAAAAGCTGTCTTTCTTCTTCATGGAACTAAACATATACCTGGCCTGGGAGTCAGAAGACTTCAGGCATAAAAAAGAATATCGCTGCTGCTTCCTTACTTCAGATACACTGACCTTTGTCTATGCAAGGAATAGAATTCTAGGAAACAGTAGCTCCGAATTAGCTAACTTAATATAATACAAATCCACCAGACACTTTGCAAAGGTGGGTATGGGGCCAGGGAAGAATTTTGTTCATTTTTGCACTCAATTCACTCTGCCAGATAAAGACAGAAAATGAACTAAACAAGATTCTTGCCCTTGGAGGATTCATAATCTGGAGAATATGAATTTAATTTTGTTCCAGATTTTTTGTTTTTTTTCCTTTACTTCCCTGGATTATTATAAGGATCAGAAAGAACATATATGTGAGAAAGCTTTATAAAATACACAAATTAATATAATCTTTATGTAAAGTACACACTTTTACTAAGGACTACAAAGTATTACAAGGAAAAAAATAACCCATAATTTTGTCAGTTTACAGTGAAAACACAGCGATGGGAATTTTGACCCAAACGTAATCTTTGAGACTAGATTGTCTCATATCCCCTACTAATACATAGGGTTGGGCAAATTACCTAACCTTTCTAATACAGTTTCTTAATCTATAGAACAGGATAATTGTAGGTGGCTGAAAGGATTGAATGAGATAATGAGAAAATGTCTGTACAGCACACAGCACAGTGCTTGAAATACAACAGGGACTCTAATTATTCCACAAAAGGCCATTATTGAAACAAAAACTATCATTTTATTCCTATAGATATGGGGTTTCCTATTATTTCTGTATGTTAGAATATTAGATTAGGTTAAATAATATTATAACTAACATAAATATAAGATAGAGAAGTTTCAAAGGACAAGGTTTAGGTGGAGGAAAGGAACATAGCCATGACCTCCTTGGTGTCAGCATCAGATGCACATAAGGGAAACTCTGAGATAAAGCATTTGCCACCCAGAGATGGAGATGCCCTATTTAGGCAGCTCCTGACATAAGGGAGTGAAGACTAGAAATGTCAGCATCTTTACTATTACACCTAGAGCCTACACTCATCATTATCTGAATCTGAGATATTCCTGAAAATATTTTGGACAGCAATTTTGGGAAGAGTTAGCCTATATTCTATTTCCTATTCTTTAAATAGGAAAAATAATAATCTATTCCATATTCATGCAAAATATCTAACCAGTTGTCCTAAATATCACCAACAATACTCTTTAACTTATATAACAACTCAAGTATATCTTCATAATATAGTAATGTGCTGCATAACTATACTTCAGTCAACAACAGACTGAATATATGACAGTGATTCCTTAAGATTATTTTTTAAAAGTTAATGTGTGCATTATAGGAAACTGAAAACATGAGAAGCAAAGAACAAAGTCACCCACAATCACAAGCAGTTTTCTAAGATTATAATACTATATTTTTACTGTACCCTTTCTATGCTTAAATACACAAATATTTGCCATTGTGTTACAGCTGCCTACAGTATTCAATGCAGTCACATGCTGTGCAAGTTGGTAGCCTAGAAGCAATAGTCTACACCATGCAGCCTAGGTGCATAGTAGGCTATACCATCTGGGTTTGTGTAAGTATACTCTATGATGTTCACACAACTATGAAATCACCTAAGGACACATTTTTAAAAATGTGTCTGTCATTAAACAATGCATGACAGTATAAGCATTTAAAGCACTAATTATCTAATTTCCTCAACACATAATGAGCTCATCAATGGTATATTCATATGCAGTACTCAAGGATACTCTACAGTATCAGATATAAATTATGTTTTCCTTCTACACTGCAAAGGATATCCACTGTAATGTAAATAAACAAGGACACACTATGTTAAAGATACATCATAACACTTAGCAAAATAACTTGATAAAACAAGGCAATTAAGAAATACTTGTTCGGGACCAGCCTGGGCAACATGGTGAAACCCCCTCTATACAAAAAAAAAAAAAAAAACAAAAATTAGCCAGGCGTGGTGGCACGTGCCTGTGGTCCCAGCTACTCAGGAGGCTGAGGTGGGAGAATCGCTTGAACCTAGGAGGTGGAGGTTGCAGCAGTGAGCCGAGAATGCACCACTGCACTTGAGCCTGAGTGACAGAGTGAGACCCTGTCTCAAAAAAAAAAAAAAAAAAAGGAAGGAAGGAGAAAGAAAAGAAAAGAAAGGAAGGAAGGAAGGAGAAAGAAAAGAAAAAGGAAGGAAAGGAAAGAAAGGAAGGGAAGGAAAGAAAGAAAGGGAAGGGAAGAAAGGAAGGAAGGGAGGGAAGGGAAGGGAGGGGAGGGAAGGGAAGGGAGGGGAGGGAAGGGAAGGGAGGGGAGGGAAGGGGAGGGGGGGGGAAAAATAAAAGAAAGAGAAGAGTTACTTTCTAATTGCCCAGGTGAGATTTGGTAGTGGGAAGAGAGAAAGGGGGCTGTGATCTTGGTAGCAGTTTGGTGATGGGTGAAGTTTGAGGGAGAATGAGCAAATGAAGGAGTTAAGTCATGCAGTACATGCCAGAAGTTTGTCCAGGTCTAAATTTGAGGAGCAGATGAACAGTCTTCTCACCTTGGCTCTCAACAGTCAGTCAGTGACTGAGAAGCAAGGCCTGCAGCAATAAGACAAACCCCAATTGCCTTTTGTTGAATAGGCAATCCTTCAGGATGGATAGCATTCCCTTAGCTTGCAGCTATGAAGTTCCTAATAATAGGATTGTACCTGTAAATGTACTTTGGAGTGTGATACTTCTGCTTATGTCATAATCACTGCCATTTATGATATCAGTCCTTTCCTGTGCATGCTCTAAAGTATATTTTAAACATTGGGCACTGAGTATTCAGGATTGCTCTTCTTTTTCTTCCTCTTCTGATGACCAACAGTGATTATTGTTGGACAAATTTCAACATATTCCTTAACTATAGACACACGCGCACACACACACACACATTATAAACCTTGGCAACTTCTGTGATTTTTTGTTTTGAAATTATGACTGCCCCAAAACATTGTTAGTCAGCAACTAATTGCAGAATCGATTTTCTAGAAGATATTTAATAATATGGAGAAGATGAGATCTATAATGTGCAACCCATTTAAATGATGAAAGCACCCACTTGGGAAAAGGTTGGAACTAGGTCTGCAGTGTACTCTGCATCCTCTCCTCTAGATATCAAAGATAATATACATGCTTTGGCTGACAGATGCATGGCAGATTCATTATAGCAGGCTTTGATTCAGAGTGAATTTGCAGATAAATTGTTTGCAATCTTTAGATGATGAGAATTCAGAAAGTGAAAGATACCTATATTTTTGCCCAGCTCCACAGATTGCTCCATAGTAAAGACTTGCCTGATATCCCTGATATTTAAGAGAAAGCCAAATAGACACATCAATGCATTATTTTTCACAGTTCCTTAATCTGTTTGAGGAGATGAACACAAAGATATACACAAAGGACACATTTTCAGACCTTTGTGAATTCCCAAATCTATGAGTACTTCTACAGCATATGATTTTTCTTTTTTTTTCTTTCTTTTTTTGAGATGCAGTCTTGCTCTGTCGCCCAGGCTGGAGTACAGTAGTGTGATCTCGGCTCACTGCAACCTCTGCCTCCCAGATTCAAGCTATTCTCCTGCCTCAGTCTCCTGAGTAGCTGGGATTACAGGCATGTGCCACTACACCTGGCTAATTTTTGTATTTTTAGTAAAGATGGGGTTTCACCATGTTGGTCAGGCTGGTCTTGAACTCCTGACCTCATGATCCGCCCACCTCGGCCTCCCAAAGTTAGCAATTTTGGGAATTACAGGCATGAGCCACTGTGCCCAGCCTATCCCTGATATTTAAGAGAAAGCCAAATAGACACATCAATGCATTATATTTCACAGTTCCTTAATCTGTTTGAAGAGATGGACACAAAAATATACACAAAGGACACATTTTCAGACCTTTGTGAATTCCCAAATCTATGAGTACTTCTGCAGCATATGATTTTTCTACAGCAGGCAATGCATTTGAAGTTTAAAAATTAATGTGAAATTTTCAGAGCCTTACTAAGAGTGATTGCCAACTTGATAGTGTATTGAATAGAAAGCAAAACCACAAGGAAACCCTGATGTTGGCCAGTAACGCAAATCATATTTGTGTCTCAAGAAAAGAACAAATTCAGAAGCCACTAGTCCTCAAAAGCCACTTACCACTTACCAGTTTCAGTTTCAGCTGAAACTGAAAACGCGAAATCTCTGGAAACCAGGAATCCAGGCTACTAGATTGTCAGCTCCTCAGAAACCTCTGTAGTTGGACCATGTTGCTCACCTTCCTGCAGAAATTCCTCAACATTATAAAGATTTCAGATTATAAACATAATATTACGGGGCAATATTTTAAATCCTCATTTAAAATGGAAGTTGAAGACAGTAACAAACACACCACCTTCCTTAAGAAAACCAGTTTTGCATTCTCCAAAATGTAGGGAGCAACAGAGAAAGAAGTTTCTCTTGTAAATGACCAGTGAACCGGAAACCACGCTGTGGCTTTCATATTCATCGGCTCCCTTTCAACTCTCCCTCCTACCCCACCAACACCAAGCTGGCCACTAGGCGGTGCTGCTCCCATTCTAATATTACTGCCCAGGCACCAATAATGGATTGTTCCTTTTTCATCTGAGATTTATAGTAGCACAGCTACTATATTTTGTGAAAATATAAAATATTTTTAAAATACTTAAAATATTTTAAATATTTTATAAATAATTTGTATAAAATATTTTAATTTATTTATATATTAAATATATTTAATATACTTATAACTATCTAAATATTTATAAATATATTTAGTGATATATTTATAAATATGTTGTAAATATATAATATTTAAAATATTTTATAAAATATTTTGAAAATAAAATTTTTTTTTGAAATATTTGAGCGAAATTTTGCTGAAAGCACCAGGATAAAAAAAATAGAGATGAGAATGAAAAGTTATTAGTGAATGGATCACAAAATTACATTGACAACTACTTCTGAAAGGTCATGTTGTAGGACATTTGGGCATTTTCCTAGGGCAGTGCAGAACCATGGAATAACCTAACTTCTATTATCAAAAGAGCATTCTGGCTGGCATATAAAGACTAAATTAGGGAGGTGTACTACTTCTCCAACTCTCTGACATCAGCTGGGTGTCCAATAATTCTATTCAATTCTGATGCTATCTACCTGGAGTTATAGTCAGTTCCTACAGGTTAAAAAGCTTAGTCCCAGAAGACTACCCCCACGTCAGACACCAACACAAGTTCCGGGCGACCTGTACTTCTGACTGACCATCTATAAATCGGACATTCCCGCAACTCGCTGCTCAGGTTTGGCAGTTCACTAGAATAGCTCGCATTACTCAGAAAGGCACTTTACTTACCATTACTAGTTTATTATAAAGGATGAAACTCAGGAACAACCAAATGTAAGAGATGCATAGGGCAAAGAAGGGAAGGGGATGCAGAGCCGTCATTCCCTCTCCAGGCACATAAACCTCCTAGCATACCACCGTCCCGTTACCTCGAGATGTTCACCTACATGAAAGCTCCGTGAACTTTGTCATTTGGCAGTTTCATTATGTAGGTATGAGTGGTTGTTTACATCTTTGGCCATTGGGGATTAACTTAAACTCTAGCCTCTCTGCCTTCCCAGGAGATTTGGGGGTTGGGCTGAAAGTTCCAGGTTTCTAATTAAGACTTAATCTTTCTGGTTACCATCGCCAATCTTAAAGCTATATAGGGGCCCACCAAGAGTTACCTCACTAGAACAAAAGATACCACCATCTCCCTTATTACTCAGGAAATTCCAAGTGTTTTAGGAACTCTGTGCCAGGAACCAGGGACAAACACCAAATATTTTTCTGTGGCACCACAGCCACTATGCACCTGTGCTCTGATTGATGAATCATAGTGATATTTGGGGTTCCAGGAATCAGTGTTAGTCAGGACATAATAATCTTGAAAACTGAAGTTATTTCTCCAGTGCATGATTTCTGAGGTAAAGGGGTCAAAAATCCCTTGGGGGAAGGCTAGCAGTATGATCATGGAAAGGGCCTTTCTCAAGAATATCCAACATCTTTTTATTCAAAACATTCTAGGTGTGGAAACCGACTCAGGTCTGGAACTGGATGGAAGACTGGGATTTTCTAATGCGGAGGTTGAGAGCAGATTTCTGTTAGCCTTCACCTTACTTGGAGTTCTGTGATTGTATAAATCAAGGACTTTAGTAAGTTGCTTATCAGTTTTATTCCTGTAGAGTCGACAAATTAGTCACAACCAGAAATCTCTGCATATTACCCCTTTCTTTAGGTCTAATTAACAAACCCACTCTGCTGCCTTTGGAAATAGCAGAATCACATTCTTTAGGGCACTGTTCTGGGGGATCCTCTTTATTCCCCTGAGTTCAGGGAGCCCATTTTTATTCAGCTTTTCCCTCAAGCCCTTCCAGCTAAGGACAGACAATAAACCATGTGTTAATGATTCAAGTGCGCTCCTCACCAATCTGATTATCATGGCAAGAGTGAAAGGAGAGCCTTCTGGGCTGCAGGATGGTGAAGGTGGATGGGAGGGATGCTTATCATATTCCATTCAACATGGATGTCCTCTGAAGTCTTCAAATTTCTTCCTCAACCTCATGCAAAGGAATTTGCTGCCTTGTAATATCACTTAATGAGCCATTCATTGCAGGCTTGTATTTGCTGGTTCAGCCAGCACACTTTTACAATCACAGTTGATTGCCTGAGTCAGCTCAATGAATGGCAACACCTGCATCAAAACATAAGCTATCTGAAAAATTCCCTCCTAAACAAAGAAACTTCAAAATCTATTTTCATTAATATTATCCAGATTTTTTTATGGCATGACACGAATTAGTAAATGCCTGCAATTCCTTGTGAATGGAACTCTTTATTTTTTTTTTTTTTCTACTCTGGTTCTGTACTTTATTTGTTTTGAATTCTGGTTACTAGCCAAGCTACATATAAGACTTAGGGCGTGATTCTTAGCTTTCTTCTGCAAGGGAGGTGAGCTACCATGGCAAAGGCAAGCAGTGGCGAGAATTTCAGAAGATTTTCAGGGCTCTGAGGGTGCCCCAGTGTTGCTCTTCTAATTGTCAGGATCCGAATTTTTCTTGATGATTGTCCTAATGTACCCATGAGATACAGTGAAGTTTTAAATTCAACCAACATTGTAATAAGGCAGCCCAATAAGTAATCTCTGCGTTTGGTTTTCAGGAACCTCAGGCTCTAGCAATCATTGGAAAGGTTCTGAGTATTGTGCTGTGCTTTTGGGGAAGAATTTTAAGATTTGAACATGCCTTTCTTTCATTTTATTAGCTACCGCCTTCAAGACCAATTCTCCTGCCCCCATACACCAGAGATTTGCAAGGGAATACAAACCCTCAGAGATGAGCCGTCTCATCACTACCTGCCATGGGTTGTCACCTTCACATCCTGGAATCTGCACATAAGTTTTACTGCCTTTTGTCTCATTGCAGCTTCTTCCACAAGCTTTTCCAGTTATTAAGGACAGCCAGTGGAGCACATTTTAGTGATTCCAGTGCTGCTCTCACATGAATCTAATTATCATGGCACGAGAAAAAGGAGAGGCTTCTGAACTCTGTTGTGATAGTAGTGAGAGGGTGAGTGGCAGGGATGCTTATTGTAGATCCAATCCAACATGACTGTCCTCTGAAAATCTGGGAATTTCTTTCTTAACCTGATGAAAATGAATAATTGAAGTTTAAAAAATATCATTTAATACAGTCAGTCCTTTTGAAACCACCATGTTTCCCAGAGGCACTATTGCCTCCCACTAACTCTTTGATACTAGTATTTGAATTAGTCAGAGTTCCTTGGCTGCAAGCAATAGAAAGCAGCTTTGGCTCACCTAAGCTGAACAGGGTATTTGCTGAAAGAATACTGAGTCAAAACACTACTCAACCTCAGGAAGGACCAGAATTGGGGAAGCCCCACTTGACTCTGCAGATGTCTAAGTGTTCCCATTGGATGACTCAGGTCCAACAGTCTTCAATTCCTATGTCCCCACCCAAGATTCAAATTCTCCAGAGGATATGATAAGCCTAGCTTGGAGCATCCACTATTGTGGCAGGGTAAAGGAGGGGAATGTCTCATGATTGGTACATTTCAGAATCAGAAGCCAAAGATGTCCTCTGAGTTAGGTCCCTGCAGTGACCAGGTGGCACATACATGTGAACATATACACACATCCACATGCATGCAAACAAAATAGTGGCCTTTTAACTTTCCACTTTAAATGCAAAGATTAGAATACTCATCATGTACTTTCTGTTACATGGTCGATCAGAAGTAATTTTGGGAAAATATTTTACAAAGACAAAGGATTGAAATGTATTTTTACCTTATACTTCAGGTTGTTGGTAATCTAATTTACTATTACCTCCTACCACCCCTTGGGCAATGGTACAAAGAGGGCAGCCAATCTCTGACTTGCCCAGCTGCTAGAAGTTTAGCCCATAACCACTATATCTCCACCCACCTTGCCTGCTGGAATGTTACGTGCTGAGACTGACCAATGAGCTTAGCACAGTGGCATATTGAGAATCATCCTTCCAGTTCTGCAAAAGGTAGCCCTGACTTAAACAAAGGAACTGACGGCAAGACAAGCCTGGCTAAGGGATTCTGTGAGGCTATGATCTGCTCAGCCCAGATACAGGGGTTCCTGAATTTCCTTGCTTTGTTCAGCTCCTGTGTTTGTAAGGCTAGACCTGCAATGATTGTTCAGTAGATTTAGAAAAAGAAGGGGCTGCTGATTCTACCACATCCCCTATCTAGCCCTTGAGACTACCCTGACAGTCTGAAAAGGCCTCTAAAACTGGGCCCCACCTGTATTTGATGCAGCTGGTAGTCCTGTAGTTACAAGGGGCTTCTTAGTGGACATAAATCTGTAATAATTTAACTAGTGGAAGATCAGGATTGTTAGTTTTGCTTTTAGCAAATCTTTAATTTTACTTTTTATTTTTCAGATCTTGTTGCAAATCTTTAGAGAGAAAAAGTGAATTCCCAGTATCTGAATGGGTGAGAGCAAATCATGCTAAGATTGGGACCTAATTTTAACCAGCGGGAGTTAGGCAAGAAAACTTCTGAGTAGAGACTGCTCTAGATAACATAAATGAATGAATGGAGTCCCCCTGTTTCACTCTGCTAATCCTGATACTTTCCCTCAGGGGCCTTGAGCACAATCACAACTCATTAATTATTTATCAGCTTATTGGTCTTATGCCAGTCTAATATGTTCTAGCTGGCAAGCCCATGGGAGTTGGGACTTTTCTACATTTACTCACCATTGGATCACCAGCACCCACCTACTGCCTGGCACACAGAGGGCACTCAGTGAATATTTCTTGATTGATTATGTAGCAGGGTTATACATTGAACTCACACTGGATTTAAAGGTGCAGAATTGCTGCATTTTCTCAAACTGTTCTGCTCTGGCCTTCCTCATGAACCCCCCCATCCTCTTGGGTAATACCTTATCTAGGGTACGAAGATACCTTAGATGTGACAATTGAAAGATGTTGCTGGGCACGGTGGCTCAAGCCTGCAATTTCAGCACTTTAGGAGGCTGAGGAGGGTGGATCGCTTGAGGCCGGGAGTTCAAGACCAGCCTGGCCAACACTGTTAAACCCTATCTCTACTAAAAATACAAAAATTAGCCAGGTGTGCCTGTAGTCTCAGCTACTCAGGAGGCTGAGGCACGAGAATCACCTGAACCTGAGAGGTGGAGGCTGCAGTGAGCCAAGATCACGCCACTACTACACTACAGCCAGGGTGACAGAGTGAGAGTTGGCCTAAAAAAAAAAAGAAAGATGTTTCAGTTTCTTTTAGTTTAAATAGTATAAGTAGACAGAGCTGGTTTACATAGTGTGTGTGTGTCTGTGTGTGTGTGTGTGTGTGTGTGTGTGCGCATGTATGCCATCCTCTTTAGGAAAATGCTTAGTCTTCCTGAGCACTTTGTCCCTTTCCTGTGACCTTGTCTAAAATTATATCTGGGGGTAGGACCAGGTGCTTTGGCAGAAGGATGAAACCATTGAATCCAGGAAGTGTCCTCCGGAGTGTCCTCTGGTGTCCTCAGTGGTGTCTCTTGAGTTCTGGCCACATCCTGCCCTGCAGGCATGAGTGGCTGATGCCTGGGGCTGGTGGAGCTCAGTTTGTGATCCACTGGCCCAGTTCTTCTAGTTGGGTCAGGGCCTGGCAGTGCCTCTGCTGCAGCCTCACCTGGGCTCTTGCCAGTGCTATGGACCCTCTGAGTCTCTGCCACATGCCTCATCCAAACCTCGATCTAAGCAATCTACTGCACAGCCTCTGAAGCAGGATGGCTTCTTTCCTCACCATGCCAACACCCACTAAGGCTGCCTGCTCTCAACACAGCCTTCTTCACAGGGTCCCCTGTGTTGTATAGGAATCTCTGGGTCCTGACACCTGGGAACTAATAGAGAATTGGTAAAGTTAATCCCAGCCCTCCCTCTGTCTAATGAGGCTACTCCCTGTTGGTATGGGGCAAATGGAGAGATAATTGCCTCTTTCGTGTTCCAAACATCAGTTGGATGAGCATCTGCCCCTTAATTCATCTACCACACTTCCAGGTAAAGCCTGTAGAGGAGAACTGGGGCTCCCTGCCTTTTTCATTCTCTTCTCATAATTCCCCAGGCCTAGAGCTTTGGGCTGTCTACTCTTATGTCATATTTTCCTCCAACTTGACTGCAGCCTCATAGCTAAAATAAAATGGCAGACAGCACGCTGTAGAGAAAAAAGTGCCCAAGCTACAGATGAGGAATTTTAAATTGGGAAAGACTAGAAAATTATATATTTTGTAAGTAGATGGCTCCCTTCAGGCTTTCACTAATATTACAGTTTAAACTTTATTTTGCTATAAGATGTAAAATAGATGCTATGAGAGCATCTAATGTGGAAGTGAGTTATTGACCTAGTCAGGGCAGTCAGAGAAGGCTTCCAGGAGGAAGCGAAAAGCAAGCTAAGGACTATAGATTGTGCTAAAAGAATAGGGAAGTGTTTTCCCTGTGGAAGAAACAGCATGCCTAGGTGTCTTGTGGTCAGAAGGTGGCCCTTTACTATTCATTTTACCTTCAGTGATGGTTGATTGTCAATTTAACATATGAGAAGGATATAATCTGACCATAGGCTGAGCTAGGGCGAATGAGGACAAATGGCAATGAAGACATTTTCTAATTACAATCTCCCATATAGTTCCAGTCTAATGGAGAACTATTTGTTAAATTAGTAGAGCTTGGTATCATTTTGTTAAATGATTCTCTGATAATATTAACTTTTCTGCAAACTAGAAAGTAGGAAATTATTTTCTTTTTTTGAAAACAATGATTTCAAGGAGGCAATATTGCTTAAAGCAAAGAAATATTTTTAAATTCATAATAGGAATATAAAGCTGACCTTAAAAATTTTTTTATAGTGCTAAAATTTTATTTTCCTCTTTAGAGACATTGACTCAGTTTGATCTTTACAGAATATGTATGAAACACAATATAATAATCATTTAGATTAAAGAGGCTTATGATTAAAAACAGATGGATAAAATGTTTTATTATTGGGCATTTTGATATTTATGCTGACTAAATATTACTCTTGAACTTGTCTCCAAAGGTCCTGACAAAATGATGACAGCCCATCCCTTGTGAAAATTCAGCCCATCAGACAGTGTGAGAACATGAGCTCAGAATTTCATCTGATAATTTCCCATCTTTAATTCATTTTAGAATATGATACGCATAAGTGGAAAAAAAACAAAACCCAATGACTAGTGATTCATCCTTTTGTTGCCTTTAGCTTTATTCTCACAATAGCTTTTTGGAATTCTGTGACTTGTGTGGTATAGAATCTGACCCCATCAAGAAAGGCACAGAAAGATTATATAACATGTTACTCACCATCAGAATATCAATATGATTAGATAACTGCACACTGATGTTTCTGAAGAGATAAAAGAAAATTTGGTATGTTGGCAATCCTCAGATGACAATCATTTGTTATCTGCCCAATATATAAATTTCTCAACATACAGCTGATTAAGTAAGAGAAAGAAAAATATCCACCAGTAATTCGACATATGTTATATTCAATATTGAGTGTGGATACTTTGCATTTTATGTATTTGCATAATTCCAGTGGAGAATAAGGTAAACTTTTATTTTTGAGGTTATAATATTTGTGATGAAAATGAACCTGTCCCTTATTCCTCACTCACCGCTTACATGTGATGAAGTAGTTAATCTTCAAAGTGGGTGAATTGAGCCTTTTTCTTTTTCTTTTTTTTTTTTTTTTGAGACAGTCTCGCTCTGTCACCCAGGCTGGAGTGCAGTGTCAGGATCTCGGCTCACTACAAGCTCTGCCTCCCGGGTTCACGCCATTCTCCTTCCTCAGCCTCCCAAGTAGTTGGGACTACAGGCGCCTGCCACCAAGCCCAGCTAATTTTTTGTATTTTCAGTAGAGATGGGGTTTCACCGTGTTAGCCAGGATGGTCTCGATCTCCTAACCTCGTGACTCACCCGCCTCAGCCTCCCAAAGTGCTGGGATTACAGGCATGAGCCACCGTGCCCAGCCGAATTGAGCTTTTTTCAGGCTAAACCATAAGTTTATGGCAAAGACAGTTTCTCAATTATGATCTACTATACATGTATATGTATGTATATGTATAGGTACATATATGTATATGTATAGGTACATATAAATGTATATATATATATTTGGTTTGAAAATTCACTTCAGAAATTTGACGTGGGGAAAAAAGGAAACAAGACAAGATAATGTGTTAAAGGTGAAAATGATAAAATGCTAGGGTGCAGAGAATAATCTCACATGAGCTTTCTTAATACTTGGGAATAAAACATAACAACATGTTGTTCTTATATAACTCTGGTCTAGCTAATGGTATGTTATCTGTATATGGCACTACATAATACTGTGTTTTCCCTAAGCCCATGCATGACACTTTACACTAATTTATAAAAAGAAAGCATGTTCCCATAGACCAATGCAAGAATACACACTGCAGTAGGTAGACAAGCTAAGGGGGCAGAAGTCCAACAATGTAGCTCTTTTTGAGGAACTTTGGTCACAAGATGAGGTCCTGCCACAGTATATGACCAGAGCTGCAAACAGTCGAGAAAACTGAGAATCTTGGGGGAAGGTGGTATGCAGAGTTAAGCTTGGGTATGGGTGGCAAACCATAGGATGTGTGTGAGGGGCAACCATGAAGTGATATGTGAGATTTAACTCATGTGCCAAAAGTAAGTGTGATCCTCTCTGCCCTCAATGTTGTAGCCTAAGAAACCAATGTGCCAGGGCACAAAAGATTCTCTTGACCTCCTCCTTTGTTATTACTCAGCATATTCTTTTGAATATACTGGGGTGGAAAATTTTTTAGATTTAGGGGGACAGATGATTTTTAAGGAATTGCCAAATGCCATTGGATGGGGAGTAATTTATCTTTTTTTATTGTATTGCTATGTTTTTTCTTTCTAGAGAAAGAAGGGGAAAGAGAAAGGAGATTATTATAAAATAATGAGGCATTTTCTTGCATATCTTTGGAAAATTTATTTTAAAATATTATGTACCTCATATATGTGTGCTCCTAAGTACAAAGCACGTCTACTCAAAAATTTATAATTACATAACATTACCAAATTGTTCTTAAAACAAGAAAGGTAGCTAATTTCTATCTGGACTACAGGTCTTGTGTGATTGGTTCATATGGAATATGTTCATAGTGCCCATGTCAAGTCTGGGGATGGATAAAAATAGGAAAACAAAATACATGGACAAAGCATAAATCTTGGTGTCAGTATGCATAATAAATGAAAGCCTTAATTGCATCAAAAAATAAATATAGATGTAAGGAGCTGGCACAAACTCAGCACTCAATATGTGCAATCTGTCAGAGGATAGAGCTGCCACAAAAGCTACCATTATGAGCATTTACTATGTACCAGATCTGCCAAATTGCTTTACACATATATCTTGCTTCTTTCTCAGGACGGTCCTATTACAGGGAAATTACTATTTTCCACTTCTAATATAGGGAGGTTTAGAGAGGTTAGATAAGTCAATTAAGGTCACACGGCTAACAGTAGCAAAGCCAGATTTTGAAACCATGTCTGTCCAACACCAGATTCTGCACTCTTAATCCCTTAACTCTCTTTTGTATGTTTTCTGCAAAAGTAAAAAAGGAATTGAAATGAATGTACTCTGCTCACATCGAAACTATTACACCAAAAGTCTGTTCCTTGGCTGAAAAACACACACACACACACACACACACACACACACACACACACACGGCATGGCCCTTACTGACTTATACACCAGCTTACTCAGCTGAATGAGTACTTCCCTATTGTCTTTTATCTTTTGTCTTCCTTTACCTCCCTTCTTGACTGTCATCCTTCCCATCTGACTTTGCCTTAACTCCACTATTCCCATCTCTTTCACCTGAATCCCACCTTTACTTTTCTCCTTTCACAAAGGCAAAGACTTTGATGCTGGGGGTAAAAAGAAGAGAACCCGCAACCCCTAGCTGCCTCATCCTCCCCACCCATAGGCCATTCAGCTGTGTCTGAGGCATCTTCTCGTTTCCCCAACAGCCTGCTTGCCAAATCCCCAAGCCCTTCTCCAGCTCACAGGCAAAGATGCCTAGAGTAATCTCAGTTTAGTTTTCCTCTACATTGTAGTTTATCCTGGTTTATGTCCTCCAAGACATAGCTCCACTATCTGTTTTCCTTTCCTAACGAGGTTAGGAGGAGGGAACATGAGAAATGAGGTGCAGGAAGAAAACTTTTCTACATTTAGATGGTTTCTAGAGTGTGTCACACTTCCAAATTGAAATGAGGCTTGTTAAAAGAGTACTCAGTAAGTGGGGCTGTTCACCTAACATTGCCTCCTCTGGGTATCAGAGTCATGACTGCATCAGTCAGGTGAGGTCCACAACTTGTCTATATTCCACAGTGCCCTAGGAGTTGGGGCAGGCGGAGGGTTCTTTAACTTCACATTTCATTAAAACACTGTATTAGTCTGTTTTCACACTGCTATAAAGATACTACCCAAGACTGGGTAATTTATAAACAAAGGAGGTTTAATTGACTCACAGTTCCACAGGCTTAACAAGAAGCATGGCTAGGAGGCCTCAGGTGAAACTTACAATCATGGCAGAAGGCGAATGGGAAGCAGGCACCTTCTTCACAAGGCGCAAGAGGGCGTGTGTGTAGGAGGAACTGTCAAACACTTATAAAACCATCAGATCTTGTGAGTACTCACTATCACAAGAACAGCATAAGGAAACCACCTCCATGATCCAGTCACCTCCCACCAGATCCCACCCTCAACACGTGGGGATTATGGGGATTACAGTTTGAGACGAGATTTGGGTGGGGACACAGAGCCACACCATATATCAAACACCAATAGCATTTTTAAGTAATGATTACATCAACACTATAAAATAAGAACTGATTTAGCTATGCTTATGTATAAACAATAAACAAATGCTATATAATGTTCCTGATGTAAATGTCCAATTCTTTCATAACTTAAGAATAGCTTTATAACATTGTTGGCTAAGAATAGCTAAGAGAGTCGTCTAATAGTCTCTGTTCTGCTCAAGTAAACATCTCTTCTATAACACATTATCCGAATTCTGCTTATCTTTGATTTTTAATGATTCCCAGGCTGTTCCTGTACCATACTGAGATGTCACCTCTCTGTGTGAGGGCCCCTATTGCTAGCCAGTAAATGATCCCTATCTGCAACTACTTAAAGTTCAGATTTTAAACAACAAAAGTCATTGTCATAGAATTGCCAATGTGTGTTTTCAATATACTCACCAAGATGCCTGGCACTAAGTACTTGTTGCTCCAAGAATAGCGTCAGGCAAGTAATAGGGGCCTAGTAAAATGAGGTTAAGGAGAAAAAAAAAGCAATTTCTTAGAAGGATGGGGATGATGTGGGTAGCTTATAGTTCCTAAAGGCAAGAAACTCAACTAGCCTCCCCAAGTTACTCTGTCCACAGTCACAGGATCTCTTGTTTCCAATTTTCTCTGGGCAAAGGCTTCATTCTCTCTCTTCCAGGCTGGCTCTCTCTGCTTATCCCAGCACACAGGAGGATATAGCCACTGCACCAGCCCTAGTTGTTCTTCCCTTCCAATTCGTACATTCAATAAAGACTTAGAGTTTGTGTGTGCCTAATCCACATTTGCAGGAAAATGAACAGATTGATCAGCAGAAATTGGGTTTCCATCGGGTCCAACACACCAAGGGAGGGGGCCAACATGGGAGCCCACGAGAGAAGGAGGTGAGGAAGGGTTCTCAAAGGAGAAGGGTAGAATGAGGAGAACAATGGGATAAATGGCTTCACTTATTTCTGATCGCTCTGTTCTGCATGCTTTTACACTCTTGGGCAGGACAAATAATTTTTTTAAACCAGAGCCCAAGAGGCAAACTGATCAACCACTGGGCTTAATAATGGATGTTAGGACATGTCCCATATATTACCATTAAACGTGCTCCTGATAATACCTTTTCAAGGATATAGCTGTTTAACGATGGTATCCTCTTGGTTCAGACACATAGAAGCTAAGAGGGGAGAACCAAACCTCTTTGTTCATGAGCCAAGAATGAAAGGAACAGCAATTAAAAGAAGTTAGTTGTATCTTATTCCCCCATTCTAGGTTGTTATCTCTTATCAGGACTTAAATTCTATCCAAGGGAAGCTCTCTTCCTGACATAGTGGAGGCCAGAAGTCAGTCAACTAATTTTTTTAGAGTCAGTTAAATGTGAAATTATAAAAAATACATATATACCTTAAACATTTAATTTAAATTTTTTTTTTTTTTGAGACACAGTCTCGCTCTGTCACCCAGGCTGGAGTGCAGTGGCATGATCTCGGCTCACTGAAAGCTCCGCCTCCCAGGTTGACGCCATTCTCCTGCCTCAGCCTCCTGAGTTGCTGGGACTACAGGCACCCCCACCATGCCCAGCTAATTTCTTTTTGTATGTTTAGTAGAGACGGGGGTTTCACCATGTTAGCCAGGATGGTCTTGATCTCCTGACCTCATGATCCACCTGCCTCAGCCTCCCAAAGTGCTGGGATTACAGGTGTGAGCCACTGCACCTGGCCTAAACATTTTATTTTAACTTAAAACATGTAAAGGCATATTCATTTGCAAATCTTTTGATGCAGCCCTGAGGCCTTTTCTTTGAATATGGAATCATTGTTTGGTATTTTGTTCCACATTGCTTCTCTAAACCACATTTATTTTTTCTGATCTCCAGATATGGTTTATTTAAAGTGGAATGAAGATTTAAAGACTCATAAAAGAGTACAAAACAGTAGATGTTCACTAATTTTTCTCTTTCAAGAACATTTTTTAGTGACTTATCTTCATTGACTTTCTAAAATATTCAATATGGTTGTCATAGAAACAATCATTCCTTTTCTTTTGCCCTCATATTTCACTGGTAAACATAATCATTAATTAAAATCTGTAAATAGAGTGACAAGTACAATTGTCATGAACAGGTGTGAGAACTAGCCCCACAGTCTCTCAGTAAGGATGCAGCTCAGCTTAGGGGAGGGGAGTTTGCAGCGTGCACAGGAGCAGTGTCTTCTCAAACTTGAGTGTGCCTCAGAATCACCTGGAAGGTTTGTGAAAACACAGGTTGCAGTGTTTTAGCAATTCCAGGAGGTCTGGGTTAAGTAAATCCAGGAGGCCTGAGAATTTGAATTTCTATTAACTTATTGGGGCTGCCAATGCTTCTGGTCTGGGGGCCATACTCTGAGAACTACTGTTCTAGTGAGTGACCCAGTAGCTATGAGCATTCAGCAGGTCATGGCAACAGTTTGAATGCTTTTCAGAGTGACTGGAGAGTGCCACGCAATCCTGCAGGCTGATTACATAAAGTTTGTTAGGAGAGTTTGCCCTGTGATTCTTCTCTGTTATTCTCTCATATTGCTTATCCAGGTGACCCGTGTTTAGCTGCTGAGGTTCAGTCACCCTGGGCTCTGGTTCCATCTGCAATGGATGACCATGTAAATGACCATGTGCTCTCGGCTAGCTATTTAATTTTAATGAACCCCAGTTTACTTATCTGTAGAAAACGGGATGATAACTTTTTTAAGGGACAAAGGACCTTGTTACTCATTGCACAGCAGGCAACATGAGCATCAACTTGTTTGTGTTGATTTCCCTTGCCACCAAGTCCCATAGGGTGACACAATATGGGCTATATGGATGCTAGGCACACAGTGGGTTTGTGTTGTAGCTAAGGAACACTGAGCTTTGGGAATCCATTGCTTTATAGCAAGCACTAAATAAGCCTACTCTTGGTGTGGAGGAAGATTGTATCTTATCTCTCAAATTTACCAGCACATAAAATAACCTTGAGAAATTGCCCCATAACAGAGCAATCAGTCTTACAGTCTTGCCACACCCAGAAGAAGAGTGCCAGGGGCCCAAGGAGGACTGGCTGTTCCCGCACTGTGCACTTATGCAAAGTGCAGAATTGCTGTATCCAAGCATATTCCCATTTTACAACTTGACATCCATTGCCAAATTGCCCTTCAAAAAACTTTTACCAAGTTACATTCCCAGCAAGGACCCATTTTCTTATGTTCTTACTACACTGAGTATTATCCTCCTTTTGATCTTTGCAATTTTATAGGTCAAAGACAAATTCTTGTTTCACTTGTGTCTCTGTGATCAATAGTGAGATTGGACACCTTTTTACACTCATTAGTCATTTGTATTTTTTCTGTTGTGAATGTAATGTGCTGATTTTCTCAGAACTGGTTGGCTTGGCTCTTCTCCTTGGACCCATGAAGAATGCAGCCTGGACCTGGTCTTATGTGCTGAGTATCTATTATGAGCAAGGCTCTGGTCTCTGTCCTTGAGCTTCTCCACAGTAGTTGGGAAAATGAACCACACTCAAGTACAGGGGAACTTACGATGCCAGCCTCTGAATCCTAAGGGACGAATGTATAACACAATCATTTATTCAGTCAGCCATCACAGAGCCCCTTCTAGTATCAGGCATTTCTCCAGGTCCCAGAGATATAAGAACCAGACATATTTCTGCTCCTGAGGCACTCACTGTCTGGTAAAGAACAGGCAAGTAGAATACAGTGTGAGGAGGAGCTATGATAATAGGAGTGTACATGGGGTGCTATGGCAGCAAATCAGGAAGTGATAATTTTTATGTTTTCTAATTTATATAACTTTGTGAGTAATGAGAATACAAAAGATAATATACAGCTCAAAAAACTATAAGATGTTATTAGGGATGGCATGATACTATGAGAGGATTGTAGTATTTGGAATCAGACATACAAGAGTTGGTATCTCATTTCAGCCACTTTCTAACTATGTGATCTTGAGGAAGTTTCTTAATAATATCTTCTTCATAGAATCACAATGAGTCACAAAAATAATACAAAGTCCTATCTATTTGTGGGGCCTGGAGATCTACATATCATATTTATAAATAGTTAAAAGTTTAAATCAAGTTAGTGATAGATCGAATGCAATTTCTATCAAAATTTCAGTTGCCTTCTTTGCATAAATTGACAAGCGGATCCTAAAATTCATATGGATATGTAAAGAACTTCAAATAGCCAAAATAATCTTGAGAAAGAAAAACAATTGGAGGATTCACACTTATCACAAAACTCACTACACAACTACAGTAATCAAGACATAAAAATCAAGACATTAAAAATAGACATACAAACCAATAGAATGGAATTGAGAGGCCAAAAATAAAACATTACGTTTACAGCCAATTGTGCTAAGACAATTCAGTGGGGGAAAGAGTAGGCTTTTCAATAAATGGTGCTGGTACAACTAGATGAAGCTGAGACCCCTTCCTCACACAAACATAAATGAACTAAAAATGAACTATAGATCTAAATGTAAGAGCTTACACTATAAAACCTTCATGAGAAAGCAAAGGTGTACATTTTCATGACTTTTGATTAAGGAATCTTTTTTTTTTTTTTTTTTTTTTTTTGGAGAAGGAGTTTCACTCTTGTTGCCCAGGACTAGAGTGCAGTGATGTGATCTTGGCTTACTGCAACCTCTGCCTTCCTGTTTCAAGTGATTCTCCTGCCTCAGCCTCTGGAGTAGCTGAGACTACAGGCGCCTGCCACCATGCCTGGCTAATTTATGTATTTTTAATAGAGATAGGATTTCACCATGTTGGCCAGGCTGGTCTCGAACTCCTGACCTCGTGATCCACCCATCTCCGCCTCCCAAAGTGCTGGGATTACAGGCATGAGCCACCACGCCCAGCCTAAAAAATGGTCTTTTAAATATGAACAAAAAGCAGAAAGCAACCAAAGAAAATATAAATAAATTAAACTTCAAAGTTAGAAGTTCTTGTGCTTCAAAGGACACTACAACAAAAATATAAGGTCAACCCACTGAATGTGAGAAAACATTTGCAAATTGTCAGGCCTCTGAGCCCAAGCAAAGCCAGCATATGCCCTGTGACCTGCACGTATACATCCAGATGACCTGAAGCAACTGAAGATCCACAAAAGAAGAGAAAATAGCCTTAACTGATGACATTCCACCATTGTGATTTGTTCCTGCCCCATCCTAACTGACATGATATAGTCTCCCCTGCCCTTAAGAAGGTGCTTTGTAATATTCTCCCCAGCCCTTAAGAATGTACTTTGTATGCCTATCCCAAACCTATAAGAACTAATGATAATCCTACTACCCTTTGCTGACTTCTTTTTTGGACTCAGCCCGCCGGCACCCAGGTGAAATAAACAGCCTTATTGCTCACACAAAGCCTGCTTGGTGCTCTCTTCACACAGACGCGTGTGACATTTGGTGCCAAAGACCCGGGACAGGTGGACTCCTTTGGGAGATCAGTCCCCTGTCCTTGCCCTCACTCCATGAGGAGACCCACCTACAACCTCGGGTCCTCAGACCAACCAGCCCAAGGAACATCTCACCATTTCAAATCAGGTAAGCGGTCTTTTCACTGTTCTCCAGTCTCTCTTGCTACCCTTCAATCTCCCTGTCCTTCCAATTCCAGCTCTTTTTCCTCTCTAGTAGAGACAAAAGAGATACATTTTATCCATGGACCCAAAACTCCAGCGTCGGTCACGGACTCGGGAAGACAGTCTTCCCTTGGTGTTTAATCACTGTGGCGATGCCTGCCTGAATATTCACCCACACTCCATTGATGTCTGATTACCGTGGGGACGCCTGCCTTGGTCATTCACCCACATTACCTCAGTGGCAGGTCAATTGCGGGGACACCTGCTTTGGCTGCTCATCCACATTGCAGCCCAGGGCTGCTCACCGCCCCCCACTGCCCCTTCTCCGTGTCTCTACCTTTCTCTTTAAACTCACCTCCTTCACTATGGGCAACCTTCCGCCCTCCATTCCCCCATCTTCTCCCTTAGCCTGTGTTCTTAAAAACCTAAAACCCCTTCGACTCACACCTGACCTAAAACCTAAACACTTTATTTTCTTCTGCAATACTGCTTGGCCCCAGTACAAACTCGACAGTAGTTCCAAGTAGCCAGAAAACGGCACTTTTGATTTCTCCATTTTACAAGACCTGGATGATTTTTGTCGAAAAATGGACAAATGGTCTGAGGTGCCTGACGTCCAGGCATTCTTTTACACATCAGTCCCTCCCTAGTCTCTGTTCCCAATGTGACTCATCCCAAATCTTTCTTCTTTCTCTCCTGTCTGTTCCTTCAGTCTCCACCCCAAGTTCTGAGTCCTTTGAATCCTTCTTTTCTATGGACTCATCTCACCTCTCCCCTTCTCGCCAGGCTGCTCCTCACCAGGCCGAGCCAGGTCCCAATTCTTCCTCAGCCTCTGCTCCCCCACTGTATAATCCTCCTATCATCTCCCCTCCTCACACCCGGTCTGGCTTACAGTTTCGTTCCACGACTAGCCCTCCCTCAC
Organism: Homo sapiens; assembly: GCF_000001405.40. Lineage (NCBI taxonomy): Eukaryota > Metazoa > Chordata > Mammalia > Primates > Hominidae > Homo > Homo sapiens. Next base: position 115,652,307 of record NC_000005.10, read on the forward strand.
CTGCCCAACAGTTTCCTCTTGAAGAGGTGGCTAGAGCTAAAGGCATAGTCAAGGTTAATGCTCCTTTTTTCTTTATCCGACCTCTCCCAAATGAGTTAGCATTTAGGCTCTTTTTCGTCAAATATAAAAACCCAGCCCAGTTCATGGCCTGTTTGGCAACAACCCTTAGACACTTTACTGTCCTAGACCCCAGAGGAAGGCTGTCTTATTCTCAATATGCATTTTATTACCCAATCTGCTCCCGACATTAGAAAAAGCTCCAAAAATTAGATTCCAGCCCTCAAACCCCACAAGAAGACCTAATTAACCTCCCCTTCAAGGTGGTATACAATAATAGAATAGAGGCAGCCAAGTGGCAACGTATTTCTGAGTTGCAATTACTTGCCTCCACTTTGAGAGAAACCCCAGCCACATCTCCAGCATACAAGAACTTCAAAACGTCTGAACCACAGTAGCCAGGTGTTCCTCCAGGACTGCCTCCCCCAGGAGATTGTTTCAAGTGCTGGAAATCTGGCCACTGGGCCAAGGAATGCTCGCAGCCTGGGATTCCTCCTAAGCCATGTGCCAACTGTGCAGGACCCCACTGGAAATTGGACTGTCCAACTCGCCCGGCAGCCACTCCCAGAGCCCCTGGAATTCTGGCCTAAGGCTCTCTGACTGACTCCTTCCCAGATCTTCTTGGCTTAGCAGCTGAAGACTGATGCCGCCCGATCTCCTTGGAGGCCCCCCGGACAATCACTGATGCCGAGCTTTGCGCAACTCTTACAGTGGAGGGTAAGGCCGTCCTCTTCTTAATTAATATGGAGGCTACCAACTCCACATTACCTTCTTTTCAAGGGCCTGTTTCCCTTGCCTCCATAACTGTTGTGGGTATTGACGGCCAGGCTTCTAAACCTCTTAAAACTCCCCAACTCTGGTGCCAACTTGAACAACATTCCTTAATGCAGTCCTTTTGAGTTATCCCCACTTGCCCAGCTCCCTTATTAGGTCGAGACATTTTAACTAAATTATCTGCTTCCCTGACTATTCCTGGGCTACAGCCGTACCTCATTGCCGCCCTTTTCCCCAGTTCGAAGTCTCCTTCACATCCTCACCTTGTATCTCCCCACCTTAATCCACAAGTATGGGATACCTCTACTCCCTCTTTGGCAACCGATCATGTGCCCCTTACCATCCCATTAAAACCTAATCACCCTTACCCAGCTCAACGCCAATATCCCATCCCACAACAGGCTTTAAGAGGATTAAAGCCTGATATCACTTGCCTGCTACAGTATGGCCTTTTAAAGCCTATAAATTCTCCTTACAATTCTCACATTTTACCTGTCCAAAAACCGGACGAGTCTTACAGGTTAGTTCAGGATCTGAACCTTATCAACCAAATTGTCTTGCCTATCCACCCCGTGGTGCCAAACCCATATACTCTCCTATCCTCCACACCTCCCTCCACAACCCATTATTCTGTTCTAGATAAACCTAGCTGACCCCATAAATCCTAAATCCTTCCCCTACTCCCCTTTCCATTCCTTAAAAAACAGCCCTAAAAGCTGCTCTCACACTAGCTCTCCCTAACTCATCCCAACCCTTTTCATTACACACAGCCGAAGTACAGGGCTGTGTGGTCAGAATTCTTACACAAGAACCGGGACCGCGCTCTGTAGCCTTTCTGTCCAAACAACTTGACCTTACTGTTTTAGCCTAGCCATGTCTGCGTGTGGCGGCTGCCACTGCTTTAATACTTTTAGAGGCCCTCAAAATCACAAGCTATGCTCCACTTACTCTCTACAGTTCTCATAACTTTCAAAATCTATTTTCCTCCTCACACTTGATGCATATACTTTCTGCCCCTCAGCTCCTTCAGCTATACTCCCTCTTTGTTGAGTCTCCCACAATTACCATTGCTCCTGGCCCAGACTTCAATCTGGCCTCCCACATTATTCCGGATACCACACCTGATCCCCATGACTGTATCTCTCATCCATGTGACAGTCACTCCATTTCCCCATATTTCCTTCTTTCCTATTTCTCATCCTGATCACACTTGGTTTATTGATGGCAGTTCCACCAGGGCTAATTGCCACTCACCAGCAAAGGCAGGCTATACTATAGTATTTTCCATGTTTATCATTGAGGCTACCACTCTGCCCCCCTCCACTACTTCTCAGCAAACCGAACTCATTAATCTCTCCCACTCTAGGTTCCCATGCTGCCCCTAATCCCTTTCAAAGCAGCCCTGAGAACATCACCCATTATCTCTCCATACCACCCCCAAAAATTTTCGCCACCCCAACACTTCACCACTATTTTGTTTTGTTTTTCTTATTAATATAAGAAGACAGGGATCTCAGGCCTCTGAGCCCAAGCAAAGCCATCATATCCCCTGTGACCTGCAGGTATACATCCAGATGGCCTGAAGCAACTGAAGATCCACAAAAGAAGTGAAAATAGCCTTAATTGATGACATTCCACCCTTGTGATTTGTTCCTGCCCCACCCTAACTGATATGACATAGTCTCTGCCGCCCTTAAAAAGGTACTCTGTAATATTCTCCCCTGCCCTTAAGAAGGTACTTTGTAATATTCTCCCCTGCCCTTAAGAAGGTATTTTGTAATATTCTCCATGCCCTTAAGAATGTACTTTGTACGCCTATCCTAAACCTATAAGAACTAATGATAATCGGGCAGGCACGGTGGCTCACGTCTGTAATCCCAGCATTTGGAAGGCCGAGGTGGGTGGATCATGAGGTCAGGAGATCAAGACCACGGTGAAACCCTGTCTCTACTAAAAATACAAAAGAAAAAAAATTAGCCAGGCATGGTGGCGGGCGCCTATAGTCCCAGCTACTCAGGAGGCTGAGGCAGGAAAATGGCATGAACCCGGGAGGCAGAGCTTGTAGTGAACCAAGACTGAGCCACTGCACTCTAGCCTGGGCAACACAGCAAGACTCTGTCTCAAAAAAAAAAAAAAAAAGAACTAATGATAATCCCACCACCCTTTGCTGACTCCTTTTTGGACTCAGCCCACCTGCACCCAGGTGAAATAAACAGCCTTGTTGCTCACAGAAAGCCTGTTTGGTGGTCTCTTCACAAGGATGCGCGTGACACAAATCATACATCTGACAATGAGATGTATTGTCAGAGATGTCAATAATAAATCAAATAAGCAACTGTTAAGTAAAATACGTTCCATCCTCTTATTTGACAGAAATAAAAAAAGAAAGAAAAAAAGAAAAACATAAAGAAAAAAGACATAAAGAAAAAAAGAAAAATTTGTGTTTTGTGTGGTTTTATGTGACTGTTAAATATTAAACAAAATTTAATAACGATGCATAAAAGACATAATTCAGAAAGCATATTTATTTCATAAAATTTATTTTTTCTTGCTGTCATTTCAGCAAAATCATTATTATTGCTGTTAAATTATGTACATAATTTATCTTCTGTTGAAAGTAATGATTCTGAAGGATAAAATTTAGTTGTATTACAGTGTATGAAATGTGAATATATTTTAATGAGGAATGTAAAGTAAAATAAATGTAAAAATCAAAACATTTAATTTAATTGTTGTCATGTTTTAAGAAGTTTCCTTCTGAAATATTTAAAATTATGTATTAGAATTTCAAGCAAAATAGAATGTACAGTGTAGTTAATATCAAAAATGTAGATCAAAAGCACTTAAAGTAAAATTTTTAATTTAGTTTTTTGAAAATGTAATTATCATCAAATATTATTATAAAATCAGAACTATTTGCATTTTAGCATTTACTGTCTATCTAATTGCCAGTATAAACCATCATTAAGAGATGTTACAGTTTAAGCCTAAATACCTGCAACTTTAAGAGACTATGAATTGTTTAATATTGCAAAATATTTCTCAGTTGATCTTTGCTCAGTGCAACTTTGTGAGTTTCCCGTTTCACTGGTACCTCTGGAATTGTGAATTGAAAGATAATGAAAAGGAAGAATATAGATGCTGTTTGACCTTACTGGGAAAGAATACTTCTACATAAAAGAATCTATTTTATTCTTGCTAAGAGGACAGTGTGAAAAGTTAATTAATTTGTCTTTTGTTTTTAAACTGTTACTACTGTTTAAATCTTCCTGCATTCTGAAGCTGTTTGTTTCTCTGATGTCAGCAGCAGTACAAACCACAAACCTTCAAGTTTATGGACACAGTGACTTTTTGTTTTAAGGACATAGGGGAAGAGAGGTGGAGAAGAATTTCCCTATGACCAGAATGATCCTGAAGGGTGACTGATAAGTGAATTGTGTGTGTGTGTTTATGATATGCAGAGCCCTCTACTGTGTGGATCCCAGGGCAGTGGCCCCTCTAGCTCAGGTGTAAGGATGGTCCTGTAAGGGATGACATATGGCAGAGGAGAGGTAATGAACATTTTCACTGTTCATCCTACTTGATTATCAGAGGGTTGAGCACTGTAGACTTTCATCGTCTTGAAACACCTTTTCCTTGTCTTTTGTTATACCACCCTTTCTGACTTTCTTCCCAACTCCTCAGCTACTTTTTCTCAGTCTCCTTTGCAAGACCATCTTCCTCAACCCAATATTAATGCACAACGAGGCTCAGTTTATAGGCCCTCTACACCCACAGCTTTAAATATGGTCTATTTGCCATTGATGACTACTCAGCATCTACATTTGGACATCTTTAAGGAACCACAAATTTTAACATTATTAAGATCCAATTCATATTTTGCTTGATATTTTATGATTGCCCTTCTAGATCCACTCTTCATTCCTTTCCATCCTTATGTGTGTCCTGAGAGGGTATCCTGTGGGTATATTCTACCTCAACAGACTCTCTTGTTGTATAAATTTCCTTTGCATTTGGATTTGGGTTTGAAGATTCCTGGTAGAAAATCTGAGGGAGGGCAAAAAGTAAGGTAGAGGTATTTGTTCCCTTAGCTACCTCCATCCAGGGTTGCCTAGGCCTGGGAGCAGAACCTCTTGCCCAAATATCTTATCTCCTATCATGTGACTTCCTAAACTAGGTTCCCATAATTGCTCCTTCTCTTTGCCTTTTGGAAATTCTACTATTTACAGTCCCAGAGTATTGCACTATTTCTCATGGTTTGTCCTACTCTGATTGCACTTTTATAAATAGTCCCTTCAAATTACCCAATTTGACTGCACCATCTTTTTCCCACTGGGAACTTAATTGGCACAGTAATTGATACTGTGACTGGTCCCAGAAAACAAAGTAAAATCCTTAAAATCCTGGACTGGATTGTGCAATATTTGAAGAGTACAGGGGGAATGGGGTATGGACAATCCTTGACATATAGTAGTATCACAGTTACTCAAACTGTCACTGGTGATGACACAGGAGGTCAAGGTTTTGGGAAATCAAGTAGCGGTAAAACTTGATTGCTACGAGTTCTACAGATCTTAGGAACTATAGTGTCATCTGGGTTGTTCTAAAGGCCCTAGGGAGAATAAGTAGGGACAAAGAGAAATGAAATTGCCAGATGAGAATTTATGTGGAAAATCAGAGAGCCCTGAATGCAACTTTAAAAGCACATCTTATTTCCAATAACTGCAGGAGGAGGTAGTTGAGAACTAAGCTTAGGATCTGATTATAAGGGTTGCAGCATTAATTAAATGCTCAAGTTCATGAGGCTTATTATATTAAAATATAGACACTTAGGGGGAATGAATGCAACCCTGTCCCCTGAGTCATGGAATGATTCATACTACTGCAAAGAAAGTATGACAATGCGTTCACACCACTGGAATTCACTAGTCTTGCCCATCTCCAAAAAGGAGCTGGATCACCAGAAGAGCAGAATAGCCTGCTGACCTCACAATTTTGGCACCAGCTAAAAGAAAGCACCTTCAAGGTTAGGGGGCTATCCTGCAAGATACGGCAAATGCCTTAAATGAGCAACATCTCTCTATATCTTTCTCTACAGGTAGAATGAATGGGTCTGGAGACCAAGCAAACATGTGACATTTGCAAAAATGTATAGTGTACAAGGCTACAAAACAAGGCTTAATAAATTCCTAAGAATGGATGCTATACAGCTTGTTCTCCGAAAAGAGTGCAGCAAAATTAGAAACCAACGTTAAAAGGAGATTAGAAACCCTCATATGTTTTGAAATTTTAAAAAACACTACAAAAACATTCATGGGTACAATATGGCAAGAGAAAAAATAAAAGGTATAGCGTTTGGAATGGAAGTAATAAAATCGTCATTATTTGCAGATGACATGAATTGGAAAAGAAAATGAATCTTGATACTTTTGTCATGCAATATAAAAAATCAGTATAAAATGGATCACAAACAAATGTAAAGGTAAAAGAGTGAAGCTTTTAAAAAATACATAAGAGAATCTTCATGGCCTTGAGGAGGGTAAACCTTTCTTAAACAGGACACTAAAAGCACTGCCAATGAGAGAAAAAAAAAGATTTCATTGAAGTACAAACTTTTGTTAATAAAAAGAGATTATTTAGAGAGTGAAAAGACAAACTACCAACTGAGAGAAGAAATTCACAATACATATATCTGTTAAAAGACATATGCAGAATATGCAAAGAACTCTTACAACTCAATTATAAAAAGACAATAATGCAATTTAGAAATCAGAAAAAGGTTTGAATTAACATTTCATAAAAGAAGATATGCAAATGACCAATTAGCATATAAAAAGGAGTTCAGAATTATAGTCAGCAGGTAAATGAAACATGAATGACATTAAGGTACTACGCTTCACACCAAAATAAGTAAAATTTAGAAAAAAACTGACAATACCAAATATGATGGAACGTGGAATGACCAACTCTCACACATATACTGGTGGGAGTGTAAGTTGGTAAAAACCACTATGAAAAACAATTTGGAAATATCTAATAAAGCTAAATATATGTCTATTCTATAATTCAAAAATTCTACTGCTAGCTATATTCCCAACAGAAATGAGTAAAAATGTCCAGCAAAAGACATTTATAAGAACTTTCATACTAGTTTTACTCATAATAGCCCCACACTGGAAGCAATACAAATATGACTTGAGAGTAGAATGGACAAATAAGTATATTCATTGTCAGTAATGGAGAGGGGGAAAAAACCTGTTGCTTTAATATGAATAAATCTCACAGACATAATGATGAGTGAAAGAAATCAGTCACAAAATGGGACACATGGTTCCTTCTAGATGATATTAAGAAGAGGTAAGACTAATCCATGGTATTAGTCAATAGCGGTTATCTCTTGGGGGGTATTTTGGGGAAAGAGGTATAGAAAAGTTCTTTGGGTTGCTGGAAATGTTTTATATCTTGATCTGGGCAGTAGCTACACAAGTGTAGACATATGTAAAATTCACTGAGTTATTCACTTAATTATGCACTTTATATATAATAAGCCTTCATAACAATGTTTCTTAAGTCACAATAAAATTTTAATGAGAATTATAAAATATTTAGAACTGGATGACATAGAAAGCACTGCATGTCAAAACTTGTGGGATACAGCTAATGCAGTACTTAGAAGGCAATTTATAGCCTTAATTGCATATATTACAAAACAAGAAAGATGAAAAATTAATGAGCTATTCAACTAAAAAATTGCTAGAAGAAGGACCATAGAGAAACTCCAAACAAAATAGAAGAAAGAATATATGTTGAAAGTAGAAATTAATACAATATAAAACAAAAATAGTAGTACAGAAGATGACAAACACAGAAAGAGAGAACGATAAATAGAAACTATGAACAAATGAAGAGCAGAAATGAGTTAGTAGCTACAAAAACAGAAGAAACAGAAGCACCATAATGGTTGGATACTACAGGAGGAAGCATGCCAGACTCTAAGACTCCAAGATGTGGCAAATTTTTAGAGTGGCTATTTTGCTCCAGAGTTGCAGTCAGACTGCTGGAGCTACAGTTGTGTAGGAATTATGCTGCATTTCTCCATGAAAATGGTTGAGACTATTTCTCATCTACTTTATTTCCACACAAATGATTGCAATAAAATCTTGACCCTAGATATAACTTGAACTTTAACTCTTGCAACCTGTTACATTTACCCAATTGACATCCTTTCTCTCTTCTTTTGCTAACCGCATACAATTCAGCATTCTGGGATGCACCCCCCACATTTTATGATTACATATGAGTCTTGTTTCCTGAGATGCAGGCCCGACCCCCTTCCCAGCCAAGCCAATCAATGTCATTCCTATGGATGGCTTTTCCTAAAACCACTGGGAAGAAGGCAATCTTTTTTTCCTTAAGGTTACTAGCTGGGTCGAATTAGACCCAGAGTTACTGAAGACTATCTTTCCAAAACAACGAAAATAATGCCTTGCCTGAGAATGAAGTTGACATAGAGGAAAGCAGAGCAGAGATGGGGAATGAGGCAGCAAGGTGTAAGAGAGACTGATTGCTAACAATATTGTTAAGGCCCTGGATCCAGCCATGGCTGGACCCATAATCAATTGCTTTTTTGCTTAAACTAGTTTGTTTTAGATGTCTGCACTTGCAACCCAAATTGCCCTAATAGCAATAATTGACCAGTATTAAAAAAAAAAATCTGTCTCAACATTTTTTTTTAAATCTCACCTGCTCACAGGATCTTCATATAGGTTTCCCTTAGTGTTACACTTACATTTTCTGTTCAAATTAGTGCCTGTAAGATGGTTCTATATTATGCATCAACATATTCAAAGTCTTTGCTAAATTGCAGATTCAAAGTTTTTGCTAGATTACAAGTTTTAGAAGATTCACTCAATGGGTTTAAGTTTAAATTTGAGAGAAGAATAAAATAATCTAGCAAAGCCCATGTTCATTCAGTACAGGTAATACAAATAGAGCTTTTCTGAGGAATCATTGTCTTCTGTGGAGCCTCTGTGTGCAGGCTGCTAAAACGAGATTTACAATTACTGGCACAATCAAAACGCTCAGAATGATTGGGGCTCTTAGAAACTGTTGAACTCTCACGGTTTTCCAAATACTTGGCATTCAACTCATCTGAATATCACCCTCAATTTCCCCCACAGAATCTAAGAGTAAAGAAAATAAAATCTCATTGCCAACAGAGCCAGCAGAATGAGTGCTGAGCTAATCTCCATTTCACCCTGTGACCTACCCCCAGACTGAGCGAGCCCTCAGCCAACACTCATAAATGTGCTCTCCTCCAGAGAAAAAGCTCAGCATTCCTACACTAGAGATTCTGAACAGATTTTCTGGTGCTTTCAAATAATACAACATGGCTCTAAGAAAGCTTAGAGTTTTTATTGTTACAGTTTTCAATTCCAATTTTAATAGAGTAAATTTTGACAGCAAATCTTTCTTCTTAGTTAATGCTTACCAGTGGTTAATTGGACATAATTTTAGAGACTGTAGATGACTGGATTACTCTTCCCTCAAAAGCAGAATCTTAACTAATGAAATGTACAGCTTCCTGAAGGAGGCTATTCAAAGAAAAACCCTGCAGTCTCCAGGCAAACAAGTCCTCTCACAATGGCTTTGATGGATTTTGTGTATAGAATTTTCCTCTCTGACTGGACTAAGCAAGTCGCATTCTTTCTTAAGAGATGCTGAAAACTAACTACTTTTCAGTAACAACCAATAGAAGTATTTCTTTCAGCTTGCTGCCTTGTTCATTTTATTTCTAAAAACTGATAGCACAGTATCGATATAAGGCTCTATACTGAATCCCTTTTACAAATATTAAATTATTGGAGTAAAGTCAGATAAGACTACATATAAAGTTCTACCAAGAGGTGAAAAAACAAGAAGCATATTTGCCTCCTATCAGGAGTATCTGTGACTTAATACTTGTAAGTAAACTTCTGCAAAAAAAAAAAACCAAAAAAACATTTTTTTTTCTTTTGACCAAGGCTCATCATTGTATCTCTGGCATCTTATGTCTTTCTTGAGTAAGTGGATTAATGAATGGATAAATTTTGGTTCATCATGGGGTTGGCTTTTAAAAAATTATACTCTGGCATTTAAGATAAATTTATTATTTATTTGTACCATTCTAATAACTTTGGTGTCAAATAGTTTGCAGTTTAATCTTTGCTGTTTGAGGTTAAGTAGAAACCTTTGTTTTATTAGAGCCTCAAGGTGTCTCTTTTAAAGGAATTGTTCCCTTCTTAGATTTTTGTCCAAGAATCCTAAAGAGTGGTAGAAAAGGAAAATACAATATTCATCATCTTCCTTGGAACTGGCCGGTAACGGTGTAGCCTGAGAAAAATGTCCTGTTCATTAATCGGTGGTAGTCTTGGGGATGCGTAAACAGATCTTTGCACGATGCTGATCTGCAAAATCGAATTGGTCACAGGGAGTCCAGAGATTTACATTGTTCTACACATCATGTCCAAGTATACTTTCCTCTATAATTTATCCCATTAGTACCACAACGGATTTTAAAAAAAGTTTTTTTCTTTTTATAGAGAAAGGGTCTCACTATGTTGCCAAGGTTTGTCTTGAACTCCTGAGCTCAAATGATCTTCCTGCCTTGGCTTCCGAAAGTGCTGGGATTCCAGGCACAAGCCACTGTGCCTGGCCCTGGACCATGGATTTTTAACCTAGAGAGAAAACTGTCTTCCAGAACTTTTAAGTGATTTGTTCAATTAATAATCTGTCTCTTTTCATAGTAATGATTGCCTTTTAGAGTGAGAATTCAGCCTGTAACATCTAGTGTGGGGGGGGCAGTGTAGGGGGCATTTGTTTATATTGTGTAAGAGCAGCATTCCTTGCTTTAACTGTTTCAGAAACACCCAAAATCCATCTCTATAAGATTTTCTAGTCTCTCAACTTTTGCTAGCAGGTACCCAACCCACTGTCTTTGCAGCCTTCATTTAAAAAACAAAATCTGGGCCAGGTGAGGTGGCTCAGGCCTATAATCCCAGCACTTTGGGAGGCCAAGGTGGGCAGATCACAAGGTCAGGAGTTCGAAACCAGGCTGACCAACATGGTGAAACCTTGTCTCTACTAAAAATACAAAAATTAGCTGGGCGTGGTGGCAGGCACCTGTAGTCCCAGCTACTCAGGAGGCTGAAGCAGAAGAATCGCTTGAACCCGGGAGGCGGAGGTTGCAGTGAGCCAAGATTGCACCACTGCACTCCAGCCAGGGTGACAGAGCAAGACTCCATCTCAAAAAAAAATAAAAAATAAAAAAAATCTGGACCCACCTTTTGATCAGGCTTTAGCATTATGTCTTGATCTTTTTGAAGCATCAGAGTAGCACACTGTGGTAGTGATCATTTTTCCTCTGCTACTATGTCAGGAGCTCCACATTTTCTCTCATCTATTCTCACTCAAGGACAAACTTGATTCCTATACCAAAAAAAAAAAAAAAAAATGCATGAGTTTTCGTATTTATTCCATGTAAATGATGACTTCATTTTTTGAAATAAAGTTACTTTGATGAACTATTAAACTGTTTTCTCCTTCTCTTCCACAACTTCATCACTGCCTTATTCCAACCTCCTGTTCACTCTCTCATGAGGTCTTCCACCTCACCCCTCGATGGCCACCATCCTGAAATACCCACCTACTTGGGGATCACCAATCAAAGAGCCTAGCTTCAGAGTTCGTTGACCTCCTCAGTGCCAGTGATTTCCATCTACAATTCCACAAAAGTAGTTCACATGGGTCATACTCTGGATCATGTCATTTAAAGCTTTTTTTCCAACTGATATCTTTACCATTAATAGCATACCTTCTGTCAGCAACCTCTTATTCTTCTATCTCAGCCTTTCACTCACAATATATCTAATCTTACCCAGGTTCATTTATTTGAACCCCTCAATTTTTTTTCCAGTTTACCAACTTAGATGATGCTTTTGTTCTATCACTGTATTTGCTTACTTGTCTTCACGCTCTTCTATTTTACTGGACTCAAAACCACAGCCCAGATTCCATCCATCATATTTCTCATCTGCTCATACCCATGTTGAGTATAAATGGTGGAAATGACTGTACAATATAAGAGATTAGAAATGCTGGTGAGAGGGGCAGAGCAAGATGGCTGAATAGAAGGCCTCACTGATCCCCACCCTCACCCCCACAAGTACACAAATTTAACAACTATCTACACCAAAAAAACACCTTCATAAGAATCAAAAATCAGCTGTGCACTCACAGTATCTGGTTTTAGCTTTATATTGCTGAAAGAGGCATTGAAGAGGGTAGGAAAGACTGTCTTGAATTGCCAATTTTACTCCTCCGACATCTGTTGGCAGTGGCCATGTGACATGGAGAGAGGATCTGTGGGCTTGGGAGAGGGAGAGAGTAGCAATTGTGAGGCATTGCATTGAACTCAGTGCTGCCCTGTCACAGCAGAAAGCAAAACTGGGCTAACTCAGCTTATGCCCATCCATGGAGGCAGTATTTAAACCAGCCTAGCTAGAGGAGAATCACCCATCCCAGAGATCAGAACTTGAGTTCTAGCAAGCTTCACCACCATGAGCTAAAGTGCTCTTGGGCTCTAAACAAACTTGAAAGGAAGTCTAGGCCACAAATACCGCAACCCCTACATGAGTCCCAGTGCTGAACTGGGCTCAGAGACAGTGGGCTTGGGGGGTATCCGACTTACTGAGACACCAGCCAGGGTGGCTAAGAACATGCTTGCACCAACCCTCTTTTAACCCCAGGTTGCACAGCTTGCAGCTCCAGAACACATCCCATCCTTCTGCTTGAGTAGAGGAGAGAGAATAGTACAGAGGACTTTGTTTTGCATCTTGGATACTAGCTCAGCCACAGTAGGATAGGGTACCAGTCAGAGTCGTGAGGTCCCCTTTCCAGGCCCTAGTTCCTGGACAACATTTCTAGACACACTCTGGGCTAGAAGGGAACCTGCTGCCTTGAAGGGAAGGATTTGTCTTGTCAGGACTCATCACTTGCTAACTAAAGAGCCCTTGGGCCCTGAAAAAACAGCAGCTATAACCAGGTAGTATATTGTAGGCCTTGGGTGAGACTCTGAGACTTTCTGGTTTCAGGTGAGACTCAATACATTCCCAGCTATGGTGGCTACAGGGAGAGACTCCTTGTGCTTGAGAAAAGTGGAGGAAAAAGTAAAGGAGAGTTTGTCTTTCACCTTAGGTACCAATTCGGCACAGTGAGGTAGAGCACCAAGTGGGATCTTAGGGTCCTCAGTTCCAGGCTTTGGCACTTGGACAGCATTTCCGAACCTTCCCTGGGCCAGAGAAGAGCCCACTACCCTGAAGGTTGAGTCTTAGGCTAGGCAACATTCACCACAAACTGACTGAAGAGCCCTTGGAACTTAAGGGAACATCGATGGTAACCTGGTAGTACTCCCTGATGGCTTGTGGTGGTGGTGGTCATGGGGTGAGGCATCTCTACCTGTGGAAAGGGAAGGGAAGAGTGGGAAGGACTGCATATCTTGGTTTGAGTACCAGCTCAGCTGCAGTACAATAGAATACCAAAGAGACTTCTAAGGTTTTTGACTCTAGTCCCTAGCTCCCAGACAGCACCTCTGGACCATGTGGAGCATGAGGTAACTTGCCCCACTGAAGGGAAGGACATAAGCCAGGCTGGCTTCACCCCCTGCTAATTGTAGAGACACAGGGCCTTGAGCAAACATATGTGGTAGCAAGGTAGTGGTTACAGTGGGCCCTGGGAGATATCCAGTGCTGTCCTTGTTTCAATCTGACCCAGTACAGACTCAGGGATGGTGTCCACAGGGGCTCTCCAACCCCAGCTCCAGGAGGTTCAAAACAGAGAGTGAGAGAGACTTCATTTGTTTGGGAGAAAGTAAGAGAAGAGGACAAGAGTCTCTGTCCCATAATCCAGATAATTTTTCTGGATCTTATCCCAGACTACGAAGGTGGTACCTTTGAGTCTGCAAGAACCACATTATTACTGGGATTGGGGTGCCCCCTAAAGCAGGCTTAGCTCACAACACTCAAGACTATTTGAATACTTGGAAAAGCCTTCCCAAGAAGGACAAGTACAAACAAGTCCAGACTGCAAAGACCACAGTAAATATCTAATTCTTCAATGCCTAGACACCGAAGGACATCCATAAGCATCAGACCATACAGGAAAACATGACCTCACCAAATTAACTAAATAAGGCACCAGAGACCAGGCCTAGAGAAAGAGAAATATGTGACCTTTCTGACAGGGAATTCAAAATAGCTGTTTTGGGGAAACACAAAGAATAAAGAAACAAGCAGAAATTCTGGAGATGAAAAACACAATTGGCATACTGAAGAACGCATCAGTCTTCCAACAGCCAAATTAATCAAGCAGAATAAAGAATTGGTGAACTTGAAGACAGGCTATTTGAAAATACACAGTCAGAGGAGACAAAACAAAAAAAGAATAAAAACAATGAAGCATGCCTACAGGACCTAGAAAATAGTCTCAAGAGAGCAAATCTAAGTTATTGGTCTTAAAAAGGAGGTGGGATAGAAAGTTTATTCAAAGGGATAACAATGGAGAACTTCCCAAACCTAGAGAAAGATATCAATATCCAAGTACAAAAAGGTTATAGAATGCCAAGCACATTTAACCCAAAGAAGACTCCCTCAAGGCATTTAATAACCAAACTCCCAAAGATCAAGAGTAAAAAAGGACCCTAAAAGCATCAAGAGAAAAGAAACAAATAACATACAATGGAGCTCCAATACATCTGGCAGCAGACTTTTCAGTAGAAACCTTACAGGCCCAGAGAGAGTAGTACGACATACTTGAAATGCTGAAGGCAAATAACTTTTACCCTACAATAGTATATTGGGTGAAAATATCCTTCAAATATGAAGGAGAAATAAAGACTTTCCCAGACAAACAAAGCTGAGGATTTCTTCAATATCAGATCTGTCCTACAAGAAATGCCAAAGAGAATATTTCAGTCTGAAAGAAAAAGACGTTAATGAACAATAAAAAATCATCTGAAGGCACAAAACTCACTGGTAATAGTAAGTACACAAAAAAATCACAGAGTATTATAACACTGTAACTGTGGTGTGTAAACTACAATGATCTTAAGTAGAAAGAGAACCAATCTTTTTGATGAACCAATCAAAAATAATAACTACAGTAACTTTTCAAGGATACACAGTACAATAAGATATAAATAGAGACAATAAAGTTAAAATGGATGAAGTTAAGGTATATAGTATTTATTAGTTTTCCTTTTGCTTGCTTATTTGTTTGTTTATGCAAACAGGATTACATTTTTATCATTTTAAAATAATGGCTTATAAGGTACTCTTTGCAGGCCTCATGGTAACTTCAAATTAAAAAACATACAACAGATAAACCAAAAAATAACAAGCAAGAAATTAAATCATACCACCAGAAAAAAATTAGCTTCACTAAAAGCAAGACAGGAAGGAAAGAAAGAAAAGATCACTCACTCACACA
The DNA here is from genome assembly GCF_000001405.40 of Homo sapiens. Classification (NCBI taxonomy): domain Eukaryota; kingdom Metazoa; phylum Chordata; class Mammalia; order Primates; family Hominidae; genus Homo; species Homo sapiens. The sequence continues at coordinate 115,667,661 of NC_000005.10, forward strand.
CACACACACACACACACACACACACACAAGCAGAAAACAAATAACAAAATGGCAGGAGTAAGTCCTTACTTGTCACTAATAACATTGAATATAAATGGACTAAACTCTCCAATCAAAAGACATAGACTGGCTGAAGTGATTAAAAAAAAAAAAATGACCCAGTGATATGTTGCCTACAAGAAACACATTTTTCCAGGCTGGGTGCAGTGGCTCACACCTGTAATCCCAGCACTTTGGGAGGCTGAGGTGGGCAGATCACAAGGTCAGGAGTTCGAGACCAGCCTGGCCAACATAGTGAAACCCCATTTCTACTAAAATTACAAAAATTAGCCAGGTGTGGTGACACATAACTATAGCCCCAGCTACTCGAGAGGCTGAGGCAGGAGAATCACTTGAACCCGGGAGGCAGAGGTTGCAGTGAGCTGAGATTATGCCACTGCACTCCAGCCTGGACGACACAGTGAGAGTCTGTCTCAAAAAAAAAAAAAAAAAAAGAAAGAAACACATTTCACCTATAAAGGCACACATAAACAGAAAATAAAGAGATGGAAAAGATATTCTATACCAATGAAACCAAAGCAGAGCAAGAGTATCTGTATTTATATCAGACAAAATAGATGTGAAGACAAAAACTATAGGAATAGACAAAGAAGTTCTCTATATAATGATAAAGGAACTAATTCACCAAAAGGATATGACCATTATAAATATATATGCACCAAACACTGGAGCACCCAGATATATAAAGCAAATATTATTAGAGTTAAAAAAGAGATAGACCCAAATACAATAACAGCTGGAGATTTTAACACCCCACTTGCATAATTGGATAGACCTTCCAGACCAAAAATCAACAAAGAAGCATCAAACATAATCTGCACTATAAACCAAAAGGACCTAATAAATATTTACAGAACATTTTACCCAACAGCTCCAGAATAAATTTTTTTCTCAGTACATGAACCATTCTCAAGGATAGACTATATGTTAGATCACAAAACATTTAAAAGATTTGAAATAATATCACACATCTTCTCTGACCACAATGGAATAAAACTAGAAATCAATAGCAAGAGGAATTTTGGAAATTATACAAACACATGGAAATCAAACAATATGTTCCTGAATGACCAGTTGGTCAATAAAGAAATTGAGAAAGAATTTGAAAAATTTCTTGAAACAAATAATAATGGAAACACACATACCAAAACCTGAGGGATACAGTGAAAGCAGTACTAAAAAGAACTTTATAGCTATAAGTGCCTTCATCAAAAAGCAAAAAATTCAAATAAACAACCTAATAATGCATCTTAAAGAACTAGAAAGTGAGAGCAAACCAAACCCAAAATTAGTAGAAGAAGGAAGTAATAAAGATCAGAGCAGAAATAAATGAATTTGAAATGAAGAAAACAATACAAAAGGACAATGAAAGAAAAAGCTGGTCTTTTAAAGATTAGCAAAATTGGCAAACCTTTAGCCAGACTAAGAAAAAAGGGAGAAGATCCAAATAAATAAAATCAGAGATGAAAAAGGAAGTATTACAACTCACACCACATAAATTCAGTAAAGTTGCAGGATAGAGAATGAAAATACAAAAATCAGTTGCATTTCTATATGCCAACAGTGAACAATCTGAAAAGAAATCAAGAAAGTAATTCCATTTACAATAGCGACAAATAAAATAGAATACCTAGGAATTAACTTAATCAAAAAAGCAAAAGATCTGTACAATGAAAACTATAATACATTGATGTAAGAAATTGAAAAAGATGCAAAAAAAGGAAAGACATTTTTATGTTCATGGATTAGAAGAATCAATATTGTTAAAATGTCCATACTTCTCAAAGCAATCTACAGATTTAATGCAATCCTTATGAAAATACCAATGACATTCTTCACAGAAATAGAAAAAAATCCCAAAATTTATATGAAATTAAAAAGACCCAGAATATCCAAAAGCATCTTAAGCAAAAAGAACAAAATTGGAGGAATCACATTACCTGACTTTAAATTATACTACAGAGCTATAATAACCAAAACAGAATGGTACTGGCATTAAAACAGACATATAGATTAGTGGAACAGAATAAAGAACCTAGAGATAAATCCATATGTCTACAGTGAACTCATTTTTGACAAAGATGAAAAGAACATACATTGAAGAAAGGACAGTTTCTTCAATAAATGGTGCTAAGAAAAATGAGTATCCATATGCAGAAGAATTAAACTAGACTCCTACCTCTTGCCATATATAAAAATCAAATCAAAATGAATTAAAGACTTAAATATAAGACATTAAACTATGAAACTACTACAACAAAACATTGGGAAAACTCTCCAGAACATTGATCTGGGCAAACATTTCTCAAGTAATATCCCACAAGCACAGGCACCCAAAGCAAAAATGGACAAATGGGATCACATTAAGTTAGCACATCAAAGGGCACAATCAACCAAGTGAAGAGACAATCACTGATTGGCTGATATCCAAAAGACAGGCAATAACAAATCCTGGCAAGGATGTGGAGAAAAGGAAACCCTTGTACACTGTTGATGGGAATGTAAATTAGTACAACCACTATGGAGTTTCCTCAAAAAACTAAAAATAGAGCTACCATATGATCCAGCAATCCCACTGCTAGGTATCTACCCAAAAGAAAGGAAATCAGCATATTGAAGAGATATCTGCACTCTTGTGTTTGCTTCAGCATTATTTACAATGGTTAAGATTTGGAAGCAGCTAAAGTGTTCATCAACAGATGAATGGATAAAGAAAAATGTGATACTTATACACAGTGAAGTACTATTACAGCCACAAAAAAGAATGCGATCCTGTTATTTGCAACAACATGGATGAAACTGGAAGCCATTATGCTAAGTGAAATAAACCAGGCACAGAAAGAAAAACATCACATGTTCTCACTTATTTTTGCAAGCTAAAAATCAAAACAACTGAACTCATGGAGATAGGGAGTAGAAGGATGGTTACAAGAGGCTGGGAAGGGTAGTGGAGGGGATGTGAGGATAGCTAATGGGTACAAAAAACAGAAAGGATGAATAAAACCTAGTATTTGCTAGCACAACAGGGTGAGTATAGTCAACAATAATTTAATTGTACATTTTAAAGCAACTAAAAGGGTATAATTGGATTGTTTGTAACACAAGAATAAATGTTTGACATGATGGATACCCCTGTTTTATGTGATGTGATTATTATGCATTGCATACCTATATCAAAGCATCTCATGTACCCCATAAATATATACACCCATTATGTACCCAAAAATAAAAATAAATACAAATAAAATTAAAAATTAAAAACAAAAACATCACAAAACTTCCAAATAAAGACTCCAAACATTTCTAATATTAAGGATTAAAATAAATGTGAGCTATACATACATTAAAGAAAGATGAATAAAAACAAGTATGATAATTATTTTTTTAGAAACTACAATGAGATATAATCTTAAATCTTACCCTGGTTTAAATGGCTTTTATCCAAAAGACAGGCAATAATGGATGCTGGTGAGGATGTGAAGAAACGGGATCCCTTGTATATTGTTGGTGGAAATGTAAATTAGTGCAACCACTATGGAGAAAGAACAGTTTGGGGGTTCCTCAGGAAACTAAAAATAGAGCTACCTTACGATCCAGCAATCCCACTCCTAGGTATATACCCAGAAGAAAAGAAATCAGAATATCAAAGAGATATTTGCACTCCCATGTTTATTGCAGCACTATTCAAAATAGCCAAGATTTGGAAGCAACTTAAGTGTCCATCAACAGACAAATGGATAAAGACAATGTGGTCCATATACACAATGAAGTACTACAAAGCCATAAAAAGAATGAGATCCTGTCATTTAAACCAACATGGATGGGACTTGATTGAGGTTATCATGTCAAGTGAAATAAGCCAAACCCAGAAAAACAGACTTCACATGTTCTCACTTATTTGTGGGAGCTAAAAACTAAAATAATTGAACTCATGAAGACAGAGTAGAAGGATGGTTACCAGAGGGTGTGAAGAGTAGTGAAAAGTGGTGGGGTGTGGGCACTGAAACGGTTAATGGGTATGAAAAGTTAGAAAGAATGGCTAAGACCTAGTATTTGCTAGTACAACAGGGTGACTATAGTCAAAAATAATTTAAGTGTACATTTTAAAATAACTAAAAGTGTATAATTGGATTGTTTGTAACACAAAGGATAAATGCTTGAGGTGATGGATACCCCATCTGCCCTGATGTGATTTTTATGCATTGCATGCCTGCATCAAAATATCTTATGTAATCTGTAAATATATACATGTACTATGTACCCAGAAAAATTTTTTACATCAGAAAACAATGCCAAAGAAAGGAATACTGGCAACTAATGATCTCAAGCCACAATGCTAAACCCTCTCCTAACTCTGTCCTCAGTCAGCAGTTGAGTTTCGGCCTGACTTCACTGAGAAAATCCAAGTCATTGCAGGAGCAAACCCTTAACTGACTCACCCAGCCACATATAAATACATCTCATTTGCAGCTCACCCTCCTTATCTTCTTTTATGCTTTCTCAGTAAAAGAGCTGTCATTCCTTCAGAAAAAGAGTAATTTCTCCACTTTAGTTTTGATCCTGGCCCCCTACCCCACCTGAGGTAGCTTTATTGATCATTCTCTCTTTTCCTCATGACTTGCCTGTTCCACTAACTCATTCTTCCACAGTAAATATTTAGTAAACAATCAATTTTTGTTCCACACCACATTTTCTCCACCTTTTTTTTCTGGGAAAATCTCTGCATTTCTTAGAAAATGCCACCTGTAATGACCAAGTGGCTGTGTCCTCTGCCATGGTCTTATATAATCCTGTATGCTAGTCACAGTTAATTTTCCAGGGAAACATTCCAGGGAATAAAGTGAAGGTGAGACCCCCAAGGTCCTGAGTATTCATTCACAGGTGACATATCTTCAGAAAAATATCAAAGCTCTTCCCCTGAGAGAATCAGATGAGCTGGTTTTTTGTTCTAAACAGAGGAGAGAAGAAAACCAAAAACAGAGAAGAGAATCAAGAGGAGAAACAAGATGAAGACCAGCTAGCACGAGGTGAAAAGTGTGGGCCAAACTCCAAGGTTGTGGAGGAGGGGAGGAGAAGAAGAGGATAAAGCAAGGAGAGAGATGGGTGAAGACTATTTTAAGCACAGAAGCTTATTCCTTTATTTGAAAGTGTTTGTTTACTGTCATATCACTCCTCTGTCTTCCCATAAATCTTCATGAAACATTTTTCTGAGGGGATTTTGTTGTCGATGATTTTAAAAGAGGGCAGAGGCTCACTCACATCTGCATTGCTGTGGCACAGCACAGAGATCTCTCACACAAAAGAGAGAATCAAAGGAAAGAGGTCATGAGATGGTAAAGTGTGGCCCACCTGCATTCCACCCCCAGAAATTTATAGAAATTATGGGAAGAGCTTTGAACTCATGGAAGGCATGGAATCAAGTCAATCTTACTATTTTCTCTAAAAAGACAGAAAGAAGGCTCTGATGATGCTGTCATATGTCCCAGTACATAAATGGTAACTCACAGATAGTTCTAAAGCAGTGATTCTCAAAATAAAATTTGTCAGACATGAATGGGACTTGAGGCTCCTCTTCTTATAAGTCTTTGATTCTTATGGGGGCTAATGTATAATTATATAAACTTATATCACTGAGTAAATACTAAGGATTCCTAAATTGCGTGGTCATAACATAAAATTCGCCAGTTGCCAGAGTTTACTGAAGACTCTATTACAAAGCATCTGGCTGCCACTGAATGCTATAAAATTCTCATTGTGCCTGTTGCCCAGAAACATTAGAATTTCCATAATTCTCAGACTGGACTATATTATCTGTACCATCAATGTTAGCATGAGTGGGTCACAGTTTCAATTGCTGCTATTCCTGAACTAATAAATATAAATTCATAAGTTTTACTTTTGTGGGTCATTTTGTTTTTGTGTAATTGCTGCAACGTTACCATTTTGATTTTAATTTTGGCCCTCTCCAAGTCTTTGTTATCATCAAGTTCTTCTTTCCAGTGGGAGATGGGAACAGCTTGAGTAAGTAGACTGTGGCACCTTTTGTCCTACATTGGCAGAAGTTCAAGCAATTTAAAAGCTACCAAACTGAGTAGCTTTCAGTAACAGCTTTGTAAGCAGTTTTTCATTCTGTGCTTCAAATAGACTGATGCTGGAGAATAGGAAAGTTGTGTTCAGTTTCACTTTGGAAAAGTTGGTAACCACAGTCTGATGCAGCCTTTCATTTGTTTCTCTAGGTTCAGTAGTAATGTCTCCTCTTTTATGCCTGATTTTAGTAAGTTTAGTCTTCTGTATTCTTTTTCTTGACCAGCTAAAGATTTGCCTATTTTTGTTAATCTTTTCAAATACACAACTTTTGGTTTTATTATTACCTTTCTCCTGCTTGTTTTAGATTTAGCTGCTCTTGAGTGTTTTAAGGTGCTTCTAATGGTAAGGCTGTTGATATGAGCTCTTATTTCTTTTTTAATATAGGCATTTATAAATTTGCCTTTATGCATTAGTTTCGTGGCATCCCATATGTTTTGATATGTTATGCCTTCATTTTTATTCATCTTAGAATATTTTTATTTTCTTTTGATTTCTTCTTTAATCCATTGGTATTTGGAACTGTCATTTAATTTCCACATTTTTGTAAGTTTTCCAGTTTTTTTCTGTTATTGATTTCTAATTGTATTTTATTGTGATTGGAGAACATATTTTGTATTATTTCAATCCTTTTATATTTATGTTTTATGGCATAACACGTAGTTTGTACTAGAGAATGGTTCATAGGCACTTGAGAAGAATAGATATTCTGCTGGAGGAGCCAAGATGGCCGAATAGCAACAGCTCTGGTCTACAGCTCCCAGCGTGAGTGACGCAGAAGACAGGTGATTTCTGAATTTCCATCTGAGGTACCGGGTTCATCTCACTAGGGAGTGCCAGACAGTGGGTGCAGGTCAGTGGGTGCAGCGCACCGTGCGTGAGCAGAAGCAGGGTGAGGCATTGCCTCACTCGGGAAGCGCAAGGAGTTAGGGAGTTCACTTTCCTAGTCAAAGAAAGGGGTGACAGACGGCACCTGGAAAATCGGGTCACTCCCACCCGAATACTGCGCTTTTCAGATGGGCTTAAAAAATGGCGCACCAGGAGATTATATCCTGCACCTGGCTCGGAAGGTCCTACGCCCATGGAGTCTCACTGATTGCTAGCACAGCAGTCTGAGATCAAACTGCAAGGCTGCAGCGAGGCTGGGGGAGGGGCGCCTGCCATTGCCCAGGCTTGCTTACGTAAACAAAGCAGCCAGAAAGCTCCAACTGGGTGGAGCTCACCACAGCTCAAGGAGGCCTGCCTGCCTCTGTAGACTCCACCTCTGGGGGCAGGGCACAGACAAACGAAAAGACAGCAGTAACCTCTACAGACTTAAATGTCCCTGTCTGACAGCTTTGAAAAGAGCAGTGGTTCTCCCAGCACGCAGCTGGAGATCTGAGAACGGGCAGACTGCCTCCTCAGGTGGGACCCTGACCCCTGACCCCTCAGCAGCCTAACTGGGAGGCACCCCCCAGTAGGGACAGACTGACACCTCACACGGCCGGGTACTCCTCTGAGACAAAACTTCCAGAGGAACAATCAGACAGCAGCATTCGCGGTTCACGAAAAACCACTGTTCTGCAGACACCGCTGCTGATACCCAGGCAAACAGGGTCTGGAGTGGACCTCTAGCAAACTCCAACAGACCTGCAGCTGAGGGTCCTGTCTGTTAGAAGGAAAATTAACAAACAGAAAGGACATCCACACCAAAAACCCATCTGTACATCACCATCATCAAAGACCAAAAGTAAATAAAACCACAAAGATGGGGAAAAAACAGAGCAGAAAAACTGGAAACTCTAAAAAGCAGAGCACCTCTCCTCCTCCAAAGGATCACAGTTCCTCAGCAGCAATGGAACAAAGCTGGACAGAGAATGACTTTGATGAGTTGAGAGAAGAAGGCTTCAGCCGATCAAACTACGAGATACAGGAGGAAATTCAAACCCAAGGCAAAGAAGTTAAAAACTTTGAAAAAAATTTAGATGAATGTATAACTAGAATAACCAATACAGAGAAGTGCTTAAAGGAGCTGATGGAGCTGAAAGCCAAGGCACGAGAACTATGTGAAGAATGCAGAAGGCTCAGGAGCCGACGTGATCAACTGGAAGAAAGGGTATCAGCGATGGAAGATGAAATGAATGAAATGAAGCGAGAAGGGAAGTTTAGAGAAAAAAGAATAAAGAGAAACAAACAAAGCCTCCAAGAAATATGGGACTATGTGAAAGACCAAATCTACGTCTGATTGGTGTAACTGAAAGTGACGGGGAGAATGGAACCAAGTTGGAAAACACTCTGCAGGACATTATCCTGGAGAACTTCCCCAATCTAGCAAGGCAGGCCAACATTCAGATTCAGGAAATACAGAGAACGCCACAAAGATATTCCTCGAGAAGAGCAACTCCAAGACACATAATTGTCACATTTGCCAAAGTTGAAATGAATGAAAAAATGTTAAGGGCAGCCAGAGAGAAAGGTCGGGTTACCCACAAAGGGAAGCCCATCAGACTAACAGCGGATCTCTCGGCAGAAACTCTACAAGCCAGGAGAGAGTGGGGGCCAATATTCAACATTCTTAAAGAAAAGAATTTTCAACCCAGAATTTCATATCCAGCCAAACTAAGCTTTATAAGTGAAGGAGAAATAAAATCCTTTACAGACAAGCAAATGCTGAGAGATTTTGTCACCACCAGGCCTGCCCTAAAAGAGCTCCTGAAGGAAGCACTAAACATGGAAAGGAAAAACCGGTACCAGCCACTGCAAAATCATGCCAAAATGTAAAGACCATAGAGACTAGGAAGAAACTGCATCAACTAATGAGCAAAATAACCAGCTAACATCATAATGACAGGATCAAATTCACACATAACAATATTAACTTTAAATGTAAATGGACTGAATGCTCCAATTAAAAGACACGGACTGGCAAATTGGATAAAGAGTCAAGACCCATCAGTGTGTTGTATTCAGGAAACCCATCTCACATGCAGAGACACACGTAGGCTCAAAATAAAAGGATGGAGGAAGATCTACCAAGCAAATGGAAAACAAGAAAAGGCAGGGGTTGCAATCCTAGTCTCTGATAAAACAGACTTTAAACCAACAAAGATCAAAAGAGACAAAGAAGGCCATTGGTAAAGGGATCAATTCAACAAGAAGAGCTAACTCTCCTAAATATCTATGTACCCAATACAGGAGCACCCAGATTCATAAAGCAAGTCCTGAGTGACCTACAAAGAGACTTAGACTCCCACACATTAATAATGGGAGACTTTAACACCCCACTGTCAACATTAGACAGATCAACGAGACAGAAAATCAACAAGGATACCCAGGAATTGAACTCGGCTCTGCACCAAGCGGACCTAATCCGCTGTTCTGTAGACATCTACAGATGTCTGTAGATGGTAGACATCTACAGAACTCTCCACCCCAAATCAATAGAATATACATTTTTTTAGCCCCACACCACACCTATTCCAAAATTGACCACATACTTGGAAGTAAAACTCTCCTCAAAAAATGCAAAAGAACAGAAATTATAACAAACTATCTCTCAGACCACAGTGCAATCAAACTAGAACTCAGGATTAAGAAACTCACTCAAAACTGCTCAACTACATGGAAACTGAACCACCTGCTCCTGAATGACTACTGGGTACATAACGAAATGAAGGCAGAAATGAAGATGTTCTTTGAAACCAACGAGAACAAAGACACAACATACCAGAATCTCTGGGACACATTCAAAGCAGTGTATAGAGGGAAATTTCTAGCACTAAATGCCCACAAGAGAAAGCAGGAAAGATCTAAAATGGACACCCTAACATCACAATTAAAAGAACTAGAAAAGCAAGAGCAAACACATTCAAAAGCTAGCAGAAGGCAAGAAATAACTAAAATCAAAGAAGAACTGAAGGAAATAGAGACACAAAAAACCCTTCAAGAAATTAATGAATCCAAGAGCTGGTTTTTTGAAAGGATCAACAAAATTGATAGACCACTAGCAAGACTAACAAAGAAAAAAAGAGAGAAGAATCAAATAGACGCAATAAAAAATTGATAAAGAGGATATGACCACCGATCCCACAGAAATACAAACTACCATCAGAGAATACTACAAACACCTCTACGCAAATAAACTAGAAAATCTAGAAGAAATGGATAAATTCCTCGACACATACACTCTCCCAAGACTAAACCAGGAAGAAGTTGAATCTCTGAATAGACCAATAACAGGATCTGAAATTGTGTCAATAATCATTAGCTTACCAACCAAAAAGAGTCCAGGACCAGATGGATTCACAGCCGGATTCTACCAGAGGTACAAGGAGGAACTGGTACTATTCCTTCTGAAACTATTCCAATCAATAGAAAAAGAGGGAATCCTCCCTAACTCATTTTATGAGGCCAGCATCATCCTGATACCAAAGCCTGGCAGAGACACAACCAAACAGGAGAATTTTAGACCAATATCCTTGATGAACATTGATGCAAAAATCCTCAATAAAATACTAGCAAACTGAATCCAGCAGCACATCAAAAAGCTTATCCACTATGATCAAGTGGGCTTCATCCCTGGGATGCAAGGCTGGTTCAATACATGCAAATCAATAAATGTAATCCAGCATATAAACAGAACCAAAGACAAAAACCACATGATTATCTCAATAGATGCAGAAAAGGCCTTTGACAAAATTCAACAACCTTCATGCTAAAAACTCTCAATAAATTAGGTATTGATGGGACATATCTCAAAATAATAACAGCTATCTATGACAAACCCACAGCCAATATCATACTGAATGGACAAAAACTGGAAGCATTCCCTTTGAAAACTGGCACAAGACAGGGATGCCCTCTCTCACCACTCCTATTCAACATAGTGTTGGAAGTTCTGGCCAGGGCAATTAGGCAGGAGAAGGAAATAAAGGGTATTCAATTAGGAAAAGAGGAAGTCAAATTATCCCTGTTTGCAGACGACATGATTGTATACCTAGAAAACCCCATTGTCTCAGCCCAAAATCTCCTTAAGCTGATAAGCAACTTCAGCAAAGTCTCAGGATACAAAATCAATGTACAAAAATCACAAGCATTCTTATACACCAATAACAGACAAACAGAGAGCCAAATCATGAGTGAACTCCCATTCACAATTGCTTCAAAGAGAATAAAATACCTAGGAATCCACCTTACAAGGGACGTGAAGGACCACTTCAAGGAGAACTACAAACCACTGCTCAATGAAATTAAAGAGGATAAAAACAAATGGAAGAACATTCCATGCTCATGGGCAGGAAGAATCAATATCGTGAAAATGGCCATACTGCCCAAGGTAATTTATAGAGTCAATGCCATCCCCATCAAGCTACCAATGACTTTCTTCACAGAATTGGAAAAAACTACTTTAAAGTTCTTATGGAACCAAAAAATAGCCTGCATCACCAAGTCAATCCTAAGCCAAAAGAACAAAGCTGGAGGCATCACCCTACCTGACTTCAAACTATACTATAAGGCTACAGTAACCAAAACAGCATGGTACTGGTACCAAAACAGAGATATAGATCAATGGAACAGAACAGAGCCCTCAGAAATAACGCCGCTTATCTACAACTATCTGATCTTTGACAAACCTGACAAAAACAAGCAATGGGGAAAAGATTCCCTATTTAATAAATGGTGCTGGGAAAACTGGCTAGCCATATGTAGAAAGCTGAAACTGGATCCCTTCCTTACATCTTATACAAAAATCAATTCAAGATGGATTGAAGACTTAAACGTTAGACCTAAAACCATAAAAACCCTAGAAGAAAACCTAGGCAATACCATTTAGGACATAGGCATGGGCAAGGACTTCATGTCTAAAACACCAGAAGCAATGGCAACAAAAGCCAAAATTGACAAATGGGATCTAATTAAACTAAAGAGCTTCTGCACAGCAAAAGAAACTACCATCAGAGAGAACAGGTAACCCGCAAAATGGGAGAAAATTTTTGCAACCTACTCATCTGACAAAGGGCTAATATCCAGAATCTACAATGAACTCAAACAAATTTACAAGAAAAAAACAAACAACCCCATCAAAAAGTGGGCGAAGGACATGAACAGACACTTCTCAAAAGAAGACATTTATGCAGCCAAAAACACATGAAAAAATGCTCACCATCACTGGCCATCAGAGAAATGCAAATCAAAACCACAATGAGATATCATCTCACACCAGTTAGAATGGCAATCATTCAAAAGTCAGGAAACAACAGGTGCTGGAGAGCATGTGGAGAAATAGGAACACTTTTACACTGTTGGTGGCACTGTAAACTAGTTCAACCATTGTGGAAGTCAGTGTGGCGATTCCTCAGGGATCTAGAACTAGAAATACCATTTGACCCAGCCATCCCATTACTGGGTATATACCCAAAGGACTATAAATCATGCTGCTATAAAGACACATGCACATGTATGTTTATTATGGCACTATTCACAATAGCAAAGACTTGGAACCAACCCAAATGTCCAACAATGATAGACTGGATTAAGAAAATGTGGCACATATACACCATGGAATACTATGCAGCCATAAAAAATGATGAGTTCATGTCCTTCGTAGGGACATGGATGAAATTGGAAATCATCATTCTCAGTAAACTATCACAAGGACAAAAAACCAAACACCGCATGTTCTCACTCACAGGTGGGAATTGAACAATGAGAACACATGGACACAGGAAGGGGAACATCACACTCTGGGGACTGTTTTGGGGTGGGGGGAGGGGGGAGGGATAGCACTGGGAGATATACCTAATGCTAGATGATGAGTTAGTGGGTGCAGCGCACCAGCATGGCACATGTATACATATGTAACTAACCTGCACATTGTGCACATGTACCCTAAAACTTAAAGTATAATAATAAAAAAAAAAGAATAGATATTCTGCTGCTGTGAAGTGTTCAATAGAGTATCTGTTAGGCCTAGTGGATTTACAGTGTTGTGGAAGTCTTCTTGAACTAGTCTGCTGAGATGTTCTATCCATTATTTTTTTCAGAGATAAATGACTTTATTATTCACAGTGCAACAAGCAGCATAAGCATCAGCACATTTACTTTGGTTTTCTGAGTCTCATTTCCCACAGAACAATGCAAAGCAGGTTAGTCCATACTTGCAGGAATAATAGGGTGTGTTATAGGAGAGAAACCCCAAGCTTAGGGAAGCTGGATCTTTTATAACAGGCAGTGAGCCTACCTGAACTTTGCTCCAGAAGGAAACACTATGTTGCTTGTTAGCGAGTAAATAAATTTGCCTTTTGATCCCAGAAAACCATAACTTCTATTTCCCAAGATTATTTTCTATACAAACGTTAAAAAATATATGGTTCTGAACAAAGAAAATTAGAGCCTCTGCAAGACAGGTAGAAGTGTGAGAGACTCATGAAGAACTGTCTCTCAACAATTACCTAAATCTTTCTCATCATTAAAAAAGAAAACACGCCCTGACTCTCTTTCCCCTCCAGTTACTCCTTTGTCTTAATCAGTTTGGGCTGCTATAACAAAAATAACACAGACTGAGTGTCTTAAACAACAGAAATCTATTTCTCCCAATTTTTGAGGCTGAAAAGTCCAAGATCAAGGTGCTGGCTAATTCAGTTCTTGGTGAGAGCTCTCTTCCTAGTTTGCCTATGGAGGATTTACTGCTGCAACCTCACATGGCAGAGAGAGGGATCCTGTCTCTCATGTCTCTTCTTACAATGGCATTACTCCCATTCATGAGGGTTTCAACCTCATGATCCAATTACCTCCTAAATGTCCACCTCCAAACACCGTCATTTTGGGGATGAGGGCTTCAACATATAAATTTTGGGAAGACACGAACATTAACTTCATAGCACGTCGCTATCCTTTTTTTTTACACAACAAAATATCTCAAAGTGTTTCTATTTTTTTAAATCACCCAATCCCTTTGCAAGCCACACATTTTGGATTTCACTGAGACTCCTGAATCCAAGGGATCCTTTGCATTCTTATTTAACTTGTTACTGTCATAAATTTTCACACTCATGACAACTTCCTCCTTCTTGAGACTCTCTATTTCCCCTAGTTTTTTCTAAAACGAAATGCTTGTATCTTCCTTCTTCCTGCTTCTTCCCTTCCTCTTCCTTTTATTGAAATATAATTCATATAACATGAAATTAATCATTTTAAAGTGTATAATTTAATAGTTTTTAATATATTCATTTTATTGTACAACGATTACCACATGTAATTTCAGCACATTTCCATCATCCCCAAAAGAAACCTCATACCCCTTAGCAGTCAGTCTTAATTTTCTCCTCCCATCATCCTTGGAAAATTCTCATCTACTCTCTGTTCCTATGAATTTGCCTATTTCAGATATTCCATGTAAATGAAATTACACGGTATATGTGTATGGTCTTTTGTGACTAGCTTTTTTCACTTAGCATTATACTTTCTAGGTTCATCTGTGTTGTAGCATGTACTGGTAGACATTTCTCTTTAAAGTTGAATAATATTGCATTGTATAGATATGCTATGTTTTGTTTACCCGTTCATCAATTGATGGACACTTGGGTTGAATCTATTTTTTGGCTATCAGATAATGCTGCTATGACATTTGTGTGAATGTTTTCAGTTATTTTGGGTTATACTCATTATTGAAAATAGATTACTGAAGTCTCTGTGAATTATTGTTGTCTATTTCTCCTTTAATTCTGTCAGTTTTTCTCCATGTATTTTGGTCTTTGTTGTTAGGTACTTATAAGTTTTAATTGTTATCTTCCTGCTGGGTTGACCATAAAATATCAATCTTTATCTTTAGTAACATTTTTTTACTGTCAATTTCGTTTCATATCACATAGCCACTCCAGCTGTCTTTGGTTGCTATTTGCATGATACATCTTTTTCCATCTTTTTATTTTCAACCTATTTGTATGTTTGAATATAAAGTATGTTTATTATAGACAGGATATAGTAGGATCTTGTTTTTGATTGGATTGTTTAATTCATTCACATTTAATGTTACTACTGATATAATTGGATTTACATCTGACATTCTACTTTTTGTTTTCTATATGCTTCATCTCTTTTCCCTCCCACTGATCCCCTTAACTGTTTTCTTTTAAGTGAATATTTTTAGTATAACATTTTAGTTCTTTAAAATAATTTTTTAATTTTTTTGCATTATTTTCATAGTAGCAGACTTACCATATGCATTTTATGCTTCAGAATCTACTTCTAGGTTTACACCAACTTAATTTTATCTTCTTCCCCCTTTTTGTGTTATGATTGTTATATATATTACATACATATTATATAATATATAAATGTAATATATATCTATTCCAAGTGTTATCTATCTGTCTATCTATTTATCTACCTGTCATCTATTTATCTGTCTCAGCTTTCCTCTCCCAGTGGATCTATGAACAATGCTGACTTGTCCTGGCATTGATGTGTGACAATGTGCACTCAACTGTAAACCTCTGGAAGACAGAGACCATGTCCATAGTGTTTCCTGCTACAGCCACTGAGTTACCACGCTTAATAAAGCTGAAGCAATAATGCATAGTGGTTAAAAGTGCCACCTACAGTCCAACAGACCTGGATTTACAGTGTCTCTGCTATCTACTAGTGTAGTGACATCCAGCATGTTACATAGCTTCTCTGTGCCTCATTTTCCTCATCTATCTGTGATATTGTAATGCTGTCATGCTTATTACTTGTCTGACATATTGTTTGTGTTCAGAGCTGTTCCCTTTTATCTTATCTGTTGGAGAAGTTAACTGAAGCTTCAGCACAATCTGGCCCATTATTTTACTTTTATGCAATGAATGTTTGGGGTTTTGACCATTTTTTCCTTCCCATTTGGTACCCATTTTTTAACATTAAAAACAAAATGAAACAGAATTAAAGTTTCAGAAAGAAACAAAATTCATAACGAGATCAGTTTTCAGTCGTTTAGTGGTCTTTTGGTCACAGCCAGAAATGCCCAAGCTAAGAGCCCACCTGTGATCACTGACAGCCCCCACCTCAGGCAGCTTGGCTTTCCTCAACCCCGAATCTGGCTCAGGGTCACTGTGTTCTCTAACCATAGAGGGATTTTGTTCCTTTGCTTCACCTGCAAGCAAGCTGATTTATAATTTGTCCCTTAGTATTGGGGGGTGGGAAAAGGACGCACAAGAGCTGACTAGATTACAGCTATTTTTGAGAGCATTTCTCTGTATGTTTAATATTAAATGCTAATGGAGAGAATGCTAAGATGAGAAAATTGCCAAATGTGAGATGCTGTTGTGGAAATCACTCAGAAAGAACCATAGTAATATTCAAAATGAAGATGTCTTCTTCCAGTCTTCTGGTGCCATAACTAAACCAGCCCAATTTGGTAAGTAAAAATTGGGATCTTGTCATATTAATTTGTATTTCCATGACTACTAATGAGGTGGAGTGGATTTCGATATATTTATTGGCCATCTTTTCTCTCCTATTAATTATCTGTTTATATTGTTTGATTCTTGCCCATTTTTCTCTATTGAGTTTGTCCCTGTTGCATTTGTTTGATCACTACTTATGAATATATTCAGAATATTTCTTTTTCTGATCTATAAAATATAAATATTTTTCCTGTCCGTTAACTTTTAACCTTTTCTTGCATCTGAATTTTCCTGAGGATATTGTCAATACTAATTCTAAGTCTCATTTAATTTGCTTCATAACTATATAGAGTATAAGTAAATAGCGTAACTATATTTACTCTCCAGGGCAATTCTGACTTTTGAATTTGCCCTTGGCTGGTTTCAGATGTTTGATGACCCTCTTTTGTGTCTCTATTTGAGAACTCCCTTTTGTCTGTCTAGTTCCATAGATGTATTACCAGGCTTCATGCACTGACTGGGGAGGTGTTGACCATTGGCTGTCTTCCAGATGAGGGTGCTTCCCTGTCTTCCTGGATGTCACCAGCTTTCTGGTATTATCTGCAGCCCAAGAGTCATCACTCTCTTCTCTCACCTAGGAACAGATACCTCTCTTGTTTGCTTCTGGTCCATGGGAATGAGATGGAATGGAAAAAAGAAGCTGATCAGCATGGCTCCTCCTCCCACCATCCCTGAGCAATTACCCTTTTGGTTGCCTCAGGGTCCAGCTGCTCCACTGCCTGCCACCTCTGAGACTGGGGCATCTCAGGATCCCTGGCACCTTTTGCCACAATGTCATTGCAAAGGTTTGGGGTATGGCTCTTTCTGCCTTCTATCTTCCAGGACTTTTTCAGCTTCTGATTCACTACGGCAACTCTAACTGTTTTGTTCCAACACAGGTATAGAGTTTTAAAAAATTATTTTCTCTTGTCATGTCTAAAAATTTGAAATACAAGACAGAGACTCCTTTGCTTTACACATTTGCTTCACTATTTCCTTCCCTCGATCACCTGATAGTTTTATTCTAATCTACTGGTAACATCCTTTAGGCATTGGCTTAGGTGCTGAGATGGTCTGTGGCTCTCTGAAATTATAAAGCAAAATTTTATATATCTGTAAACACTTGCATTTTCCTAGAGCGTAGGCTGGTAATTCTTGTTTTCAAAGAAAGCCATGAATCAAAGAGGCTAATGATTGCACAAAAACAAAAGACGGTAAGACAATGATTTCACAATTGTATAAGTCTTGCCTGGAATTTTAGATTTCCTTTCAAATTCTATTTTAGGATCTGATTACTTTTGATCCAGGGAGTAAAAAGTGAGAATCTGCTACGGCCTCAGCTGATTTTCCACATAGGTTTGGAACTGCTTTATGGGAATAATCTGTGTAATCACTTTTAGTCAAACCAGAAGAGAGAGGAAAGATAAGAAGTTAAGAATCCAGTCAAGGTAAGCCTGAGCCAGCAGCACCCTAGAATCCCACAGCATGCACTCAGCCCCTACAGTGGCCAGCAGCCAGGTGCTAGTTGCTTTGCCTTCTCAACTCTTTGTTTCCCTTGGCAATGACTTCTTAGAGAGGTCCCCCTGCAGAAGTGATTGCAATTGCAAATTAAGAAAATGGATGAGAGAAAATAATTATTTTCTTCCATTCTCCGAATAAGGCATGAGGTTAAGCATATGAGAGAACAAAATAAACCAATTCCAGCATGTAAATGATCAGCATCTATTTTAATAACTACACTTGGGATTCTGTAAATATAATGAATAGTAGTATATGGCTTTTGGAAACCATTTAATGGATCCTTATCAGCAGCCTACAGACAGGATCTGAATGGTCACAGCTTTGGATAATGGGACACAATTTAGGAATTGAGGGAAAAACCAACTTTGCTAATCTCTAGAACAATCAAGAAAATGTGTGGAATTTATAAATAACAGTGGAGGGAAAGCATGAGCTGCCAGAAAGCTGCTATTCCTCTGCTTGGCTTTTAGCAGAGGCTGAGGAATTTGCTTGGGTTGTTTGGGAAATTCTTGTGATACTTATAATATAATCAGGCAGAGGTTTTCTTTTTTTAATATATTTCTGCTTGCCTGCCAAATGCTAATGATTGCTGGATGCTAATTGTCTACAGCAGTTGTTAAATGAGTTTCCCTTCACATCTCCTCTGGGGGTATTTATAAAAGGGTAAGGAATCTATCAAGAAGTATGCTGTAGAAAGCAACAAATCCCCAATCTCCTTTCTACTCTGGAGGTACTGAGTTGAAAAGAGGCCAGGGATCTTCAGGCTCCACTTATTCCTGACATCACCCAGAACCTTGGCGAGGTTCCAAAGTCTTCAGGGTTGGAGGTTCCAACAACTCTGGGCTGGAGGTTGACTAGGTCCGGGAAAGCTTTTGCAGCCCGAAGACTTCTGCCTCTCTTACCTACTTCTCGGTATTCTCCATCCCTAACCCCTGTCAACCACTAATCTGTTTTCCATTCCTAACACGCTGTCCCTTCAAAAATGTTATATAAATGGAATCATATAATACCTAACCTTTTAGATTGACTTTTTTCACTCAGCATAATTCCCTGGAGAGGCATCCAAGTTGTATCCCATTTCAACAGTATTCCATGGTGTGTATGCACCACAGCTTGTTTAGTGACTCACCTATCCAGTTTGGGTTGTGATGAATAAAGCTGCTGTGTGAACATAAGTTTCCATTCCTTTGGACTGAATGCCCAAGAGTGCAATTGCTGGGTTGTAAGCTTTAGTTTTATAGGAAATTGTCAAATTATTTTCCAGTGTGGTTGTACCATTTTACATTCCTACCAGCAGCAGTTGGATCCGGTTTTTCCATGACCTGGTCAGTGTTTTCACTGTGCTTTATTTTAGCCATTCTGATATGTGTGCCATGACATTTAACTGTGATTTTAATTTTTATTTTTCTTATGGTGAATGATATTGAACATCATGTATGCCTTTTGACCACTTTCTAGTTGGATTGGTTGTTATTAGTGCTGAGTTTTGAGATTTCTTTTTATGTTCTAGATAACTGGTCCTTTGTTGAATTCATATAACTTTTAATATGTTGCTCAGGAAATACATGATTACATTTTCACTGTGAAAATAATATAATATTTAGCAACAAAATTTGAAAGTCCCCCTCACACCCTGCTATGTAATTTCACTCATGCCACTAAGGGTCACCTTTTTTCCCCAATTTTTAAAAATTATGTTAAAAATACACAACATAAGATTTACCATCTTACTCATTTTTAAGTGTAGTTCAGTGGTATTAAACACATTCATAATGTTGTATAACTATCAATACCATTCATCTCCAGAACTCTACCATCTTGTAAAACTGGAACTCTAGTAAATAACAACCCCCTTTTGCCCTCTCCTTTTATTCCCTAGCAATCATCATTTTACTGTCTCTCTTATGATTTTGATCACTCTAAGTTCTCTCATATAAGAGACTGTGACCGGCTTGCTTCACTAAGCACAATGTCCTCAAAGTTCAACCATGTTATAGCATATGTCAAAATTTTCTTCCTTTTTAAGGTTAAACAGTATTCTATTCAATGCAGATACCACATTTTGTTTATCCATTCTTCTGTCCATGGACACTTGGAACACTTCCATGTTTTCACTAGTGTATAATATTTGGTGGACAGACACAGAAGTAGAATTTGTGGAGCACACGGTAATTCTATTTTTAATTTTTTAGGAACTGCTATACTGTTTTCCACAGTGGCTGTACCACTTTATATTGCCATCAATATAGTATTTTATATTGCCATCAATATAGTATTCCAATTCATCCACATTCTCACCAGCACTTGTTTTTGTTTTTATTTTTGAGACAGAGTGTTGCTCTGTCACCCAGGCTGGAGTGCAGTGGCACGATCCTAGCTTACTGCAACTTCCGCCTCTAAAGTTCAAGCAATTCTCCTGCCTCAACCTCCTGAGTAGCTGGGATTGCGGGTGTGCACTACCATGCCCAGCTAATTTTTGTATTTTTAGTAGAGATGAGGTTCCCCCATGTTGGCCAGGCTGGTCTCAAACTCCTGACCTCAGGTGATCCGCCCACCTCGGCCTCCCAAAATGCTGGGATTACAAGCATGAGCCATCTCACCTGACCTAGTTTTCTGTTTTATGATCATAGCTATTCCGATTGGTATGAGGTGGTATCTGATTACAGTTTTGATTTTCATTTCCCTAGTGATAAGTAATATTGAACATCTTTTCATGTCCTTTTTGGCCATTTGTATCTTCTTTGGAGAAATGTCCATCCAAGTTCTTTGCTCATTTTTGAACCAGGTTGTTTGTTTTTCTGTTGTTAAGTTTTAAGAGTTCTCTATATATTCTAGATATTAATCCCTATCAGATATATAATTTAAAAATATTTTCTCTTACTCTGTAGCTTGCTCTTTTACTCTATTGACATTGTCTTTTAATGCACAATATTTAAAAACTTTATCAAGTCCAGTTTGCCTACTTTTTTGTTTCCTGTGCCTTTGTTGTCATCCAAGAAAGTATTGCCAAATCCAATGTTCTGTAGCTTTTACCTTATGTTTTCTTCTAAGAATTTTATAGTCTTAGCTCCTAAATTTAGGTCTTTAATCTATTTTAAGTTAATGTTTGTCCATGGTTGTAGGTAAAAATCTATCTTTATTCTTTCACATGTGGATATCTACTTTTTTCAGCACCATTTGTTGAAAAGACTGTCTTTCCCCAGTGAATGGTCTCACACTATTAACAAAAATCATTTGACCATATATGCAAGGGTTTATTTCTGGGCTTTCTATATTTTACTCCATTTGTCTGTCTTTATGCCCATATCACACTTTTGATTATTGTAGCTTTGTAGTAAGTTTTAAAATCAGGAAGTATGAGTCCTCCAGTTTTGTTCTTCTTTTTCAAGATTGTTTTGACTATTCAGAGTCTCTTGAGGTTCGATATAAATTTTAGGATAGGTTTTTATATTCTGCAAAAAATGTCATTGGGATTTGGATAGAAATTGCATTGAATCACTTTGGGTAGTATTGATACCTTAATATTAAGTCTTCCGATTTATGAACATGAGATGTGTTTTCATTTATCTGGCTTCATTAGTTTCAGCAATGTTTTGTAGTTTTTGTTGTACAAGTCTTTCACTTTCTTGGTTAACTCCTAAGTATTTTATTCTTTTTGATTCTATTGTAAACAGAATTGGTTTTGTAATTTCCCTTCCAGATTGTTCACTGTTAGTATATAAAAATCTAGTTGATTTTTGTGTGTTGACTCTGTATCCTGTGACTTTACAAAATTCATTTATTAGTTTTAATTTTTGTGTGAAATCTTTATAATTGTATACATATATAAAATTGTATCATCTGTGAACAGAGATATTGTTACTTCTTCCTTTGCAACTTGGGTGCCTTTTTTTCTTGCCTAATTGCTCTGCCTAGAACTTCCAGTATTATGTTGAATAGAAGTGGTTGAAAGCAGGCATCCTAATGTTAAAGAAGAAATTTTCAGTCTTTCACCATTGAGAATGATGATTGCTGTGGGCTTTTCACATAAGGTATTTATTATGTTGAAGTAGTTTCCTTCTATTTCTAGTATTTTGAGTGTTTTTTAAATCATGAAACTATGGTGAATTTTGTCAAATGCCATTTCTGCATCAATTGAGATGATCATATGTTATTCATCCTTTATTCTGTTAACAGTGTATTATGTTGATAGATTTTTATATGTTGAATCATTCCTGCTTTCCAAGAATAAGTCCTGCTTGGCATTATCTTAGTCTGTTTTTTTGCTTATAACAAAATAGCTGAAATTGGGTAATTTATAAAAAAAGGAATTTATGTTTTACAGTTATTGAGGTGGAGAAGTCCAAAGTCAAGCGGGCACATCTGGTGAGAGTCTTCTGGCTGGTGGGAACCCTACAGAGTCTGGAGGCAGTGCAGAGTATTACACAGTGAGAGAGCTAAGCTTGCTAATATGTTAATGTGCTAGCTCAGTTCTCTCTTCTTTTTCTTATAAAGCCATCAGTTTCCCTCTAATGATATCCCATACATCTATTATTCCAAGAATGTATTCATCCATTCATTAGAGCAGAACCCTCATGATCTAATCACCTCTTAAAGGCCTTACTTCTCAATACTGCCACATTGGAAATTAAACTTCAACCTGGGTTTTGAAGGGAACAGTCATTATATGTAATCCTTTTAATATGCTACTGAATTCAGTTTGCTAGTATTTTCTTGAGGACCTATGCATCTATGTATATCAGAGACACTGGTCTGTAGTTTTCTTGTAATGTCCTTACCTGGCTTTGGTATCTAGGATAATGCTGGCCTCTTTAGAATGAGTTAGAAAATGTTCCCTCTAGGAGGTGGGGGGGTCAGCCCCCCGCCCGGCCAGCTGCCCCGTCCGGGAGGGAGGTGGGGGGGTCAGCCCCCCGCCCGGCCAGCCGCCCCGTCCGGGAGGTGAGGGGCGCCTCTGCCCGGCCGCCCCTACTGGGAAGTGAGGAGCCCCTCTGCCCGGCCACCACCCCGTCTGGGAGGTGTACCCAACAGCTCATTGAGAACAGGCCATGATGACAATGGCGGTTTTGTGGAATAGAAAGGGGGGAAGGGTGGGGAAAAGATTGAGAAATCGGATAGTTGCCCTGTCTGTGTAGAAAGAGGTAGACATGGGAGACTTTTCATTTTGTTCTGTACTAAGAAAAATTCTTCTGCCTTGGGATCCTGTTGATCCGTGACCTTACCCCCAACCCTGTGCTATCTGAAACATGTGCTGTATCCACTCAGGGTTAAATGGATTAAGGGCGGTGCAAGATGTGCTTTGTTAAACAGATGCTTGAAGGCAGCATGCTCCTTAAGAGTCATCACCACTCCCTAATCTCAAGTACCCAGGGACACAAACACTGCGGAAGGCCGCAGGGTCCTCTGCCTAGGAAAACCAGAGACCTTTGTTCACTTGTTTATCTGCTGACCTTCCCTCCACTATTGTCCTGTGACCCTGCCAAATCCCCCTCTGCGAGAAACACCCAAGAATGATCAATTAAAAAAAAAAATTAAAAAAAAAAAAAAAAAAGGTAATTGAAAGACCCTGTTCTTCAAATTACCAAGAGAAAGATGTCGTGCAAGGAATAGGACAATGACCTTTCTGTTATTTGCATTACGGCTTGATAATTATCACAAGTACATTCAGTTTGAGAGTTTCTCGATCTCTTCTCAATGCCTTCAAATAGATATAAGACATGGCAAATTGATTCTTTACCTAAGCGAGGCCAGTTTCACATTCCAAAAATATTTCAAAGCCAAATACACATAACTTTATAAATTTAGCCACTGGTTTTTTTTCCCCTTGACTGTTTTATTCTTGACTGCAATAGCCAAGAGTTAATATAGTTGCGTTTTCTTAAGGAAGCAACATAAGTTCTAACAATAAATCTGTGAAAATGAATTTGTGATTTTAGTTCATTTTTGGATGATTTCAACCAATCATTGTAGCCCATACCTGGCAAAGCAAAAAGTTTATCACAGCAACTCCTTATTTTGCTCCCTATGAGATTGTATTAAATTTAGATCTCTCCAGAACATGTGACTCCCTTCTTAAGGAGATTTATGTTGAAAATTATCATATAGCCACAAAACGCAGTCCATTTTATATTAAAATGTGAGTGTATTTCTAAAATTTTTTCTTTTGTTTTGTTTGTGTTCTCAAGAATGCTTTCTAAAACAAACTCATGTGACATAAACAGGGCCAGCTTGCCCTAGTTACACCCTTACTATTTCATTAACAAAGGAACTGGGCTGCCATTCTGTTTTTGTTATGCTTATGCTGAATAACTGTACTCAGCCAGCTGCCATGACTTGTCTGTAATCCCAGCACTTTGGGAAGCCAAGGTGAGAGGATCACTTGAGCTCAGGAGTTCAAGACCAGCCTGGACAATACAGTGAGACCCTGCCTCAAAAAAAAAAAAAATTAGCCGAGTGTGGTGGTGCCAGTCTGTGCCTGCCTGTAGTCTCGGCTACTGGTCGGGGAGAGGGGCCTGAGGTGGGAGGGATCATTGAGCCTGGGTCACGGCTGCAGTAAGCTGTGGCAACAGAGCAAAACCCTGGGTGACACAGCAAGATGTGTCTCAATAAAAATAAGTATATAACTGTAAAAAAAAAAAAAAAAGAAAAAAAAGAAAATGTTCCCTCTAAAAAAATCAGATTTCAGCAACTTCAATTAAAAAAAAAAAAAGAAAGTGTTTCCTCTTCTCCAATCTGTTGGAAAAGTTTTAGAAGAATTGTTAATAGTTCTTCTTAAATGTTTGGTAAAATTCACCAGTGAAGCCATCAGCTCCAGGACTTTATTACAAGATTTTTGTTACTGATTCAATCTTTTCACAAGTTATAGATCTATTGAGATTTTCTATTTCTCCATGACTTAGTCTTGGTAGCTTTTGTGTTTCTAGGAATGTGTCTATTTTATATCAGTTATCCAGCTTGTGACATCCAATTATTCACAGTACTCTCCTATAATCTTTTTTATTTCTGTAGACTTAATAGTAATGTCCCCACTTTTATCTTTAATTTTACTAATTTGAGTCATCTCTCTTTTTTCCTTAGCCCATCTAGGTAAAGTTTTGTCAATTTTGTTGATATTTTCATAAAACTTTTGGTTTCATTGATTTCCTCTATTGCTTTTATATTCTCAATTTTACTTACCTCTAATCAAATCTTTATTATTTCCTTCTTTCTGCTAGCTTTGGGTTTACTTTGTTCTTCTTCTTTATTTTGTAGTTCATCAAATTATAAAATTTAGTTTTTGATTTGAGCCCTTTCCTGTTTTTTGACGTAAGCATTTATAGGTATAAATTTCCCCCTTTGAACTGCTTTCACTGAATTCCATAAGTTTTGGTGTGTTTTGTTTTGGTTTTAGTGTATCTAACAATATTTTCTAATTTTCTTTGTCATTTCTTCTTTGATCCATGGGTTAAGAGGGTGTTGCTTATTTCACAAATTTGGGAATTCTCCAGTTTTACTTCTGTTGCTAACTTCATCCTACAGTGTTTAGACAGCATACTTTTTATATCTCTTTTTAAATCTGTTGAAACTTCATTTCTAGCCTAACATGTGGTTTATACTGGGAAGTGCCCCATGTGCAATTGAGAAAAATGTGTATGCTGTTGTTGTTGCTAGAATGTTTCATGTGTCTGTTAAATCTAATTGGTTTATTATGTTGCTTAAGTCTTATATTTCCTTATCTACCTTCCATCTGGTTATTCTATCCATTACTGAGAATGGGTATTGAAGTCTCCCACTATTATTGTAGAACTGTTGGTTTCTCCCTTTAGTTTTATCAGTTTTTGCTTTATATCTTTTGTTAGTCTGTTATTGTGTATACAGATGTTTATAACTCATATCTTCTTGCTGTGTTGAGCCTTTTATTAATATATGATGTCTTTCTTTTTCTTTTGTAAATGTTTTGACTTAAAGTCTGTTTCATCTGATGTCAGTACAGCCACCTCTGCTCTCTTCTGGTTACTTTTTGCATGGAGTAACTTTTTGTATCCCTTCACTTTCAACCTATTTATATCTTTAAATCCAAAGTGAGTCTTTTATTTATAGAATACAGTTGGATCATGTGTTTTTATCCATTCTGCTTATCTCTGACTTTTAGTTGGAGAGTTTATTCCATTTACATTTAAAATAATTAGTGATAAGAAGGAAATTCTATAATATTGCTATTTGTGTTCAATATGCCTTATATCTTTTTTGTACTTCATTTCCTGAAATACTACTGTCTTCCTTTGTGTTCAGTTGATTTTTTGCTGTAAAGTGTTTATATTTCTTTCTTATTTCCTTTCATATATATTCTCTAAGCTGTTTTCTTTGTGGCTCCAATGGATATTACATTTAGCATCCTGAAGTTATAACTCTGATTTGGATTTATACCAGTTTAACTTCAATAACATACAAACTCTGCTACTTTACTACTTCTTCTCCACCCTTTTCAGTTGTTATTTTCATTAAATTTTATACTGATACATGTGCACCCCAAAATAAAAACTAATACTTCTTTTAAATGCATTATTCTCTTTATTTACATAGAAAAAAATATGGAGTTAGAAACCAAAGTTACAATAATTCTAAATTTTAGACTAATTTTTTTAGTGTATTAGTTTTTAAGTCATATGGAAAACAAATAAAAATGTAGTTACAGATCATTATATTAATAAGTGTGTGGAATCTCAAACTGGAACAAAAGTTGGGGGCATGCTAACAAGAAATGCCATGACAAGTAATAGGAAGAAAAGAGTATTGAGGGAAAGAACTTTTTTTTTTTTTTTTTTTTGCCTTTCTTGAATTTGGTTTTTATTGTGGGTGGGTAAAACAAAACAAAACAAAAAAAAGGATGACAAATTTTACCATTATCTGCCTAAGCATTTGTATTATTCAGGGTTCTCCAGAGGAACAAAACCAATAGGATATATACACAGAAAGACACACACACATATACACACACACATGCATAAACATGTGCATACCTATATGAGATTTATGATGGAAATTAGCTTACACATGATTATGAAGGTCAAGAATTCCCACTGTCTGCCATTTGCAAGCTGGCGAATCAGGAAAGAAGGTAGTACAATTCAGTCTGGGTCTGAAGGGCCAGATGAACTGATGGTATAACCCTCAGTGTAAATCTAAAGACCCAAGAACCAGGAGTGCCAAGGCCTGTGGACAGGAGAAGACAGATGTCCCCGCTGAAGTAAAGAGATGAAATTTTGGTCCTGAGCAGGATGAATGGTGTCCCCTGCTTTGGGAGAGTGATCTTCTGTACTCACTCTACTAATTCAAATGCTAATTTTTTCCAGAAACAACCTCACAGACACACTGGAAATAATGTTTTACCAGCTATCTGGGCATCCCACAGTCCAGTAAAGTCGGCCCATAAAATTAACGTTTTTCTCATTTGCCCTGAGCAGCGCTTGCTGCTGCAGCATTTACCCCGAGATAACTTTGCCACGAAATATCTCACTTTTATTATTATTTTCGCATTGCTCTAGCACATCCACTTTGGAAACAAAGGACATCATTCTATTTATAGAATTCTGTTTTTAGTAATGGTATTTCCATTTACAAAATATAGTAATTCTCAATGGCTGAAAATATCAAATCCTGGAAAACATAGCATTCTAATGTGTGATGTTAAGACTGTTCTCGAACAGTGGTTGGCTGAAGATTCATTTGATAAATTTGATTGTTCTAAAATAGACAATTTTGATGATTCAGACAATTCTGATGTTAGTTCTGTTTAGAAATAACTCCAAGAACAGTTTTTATGTTTCACTTTCACCCTGAAAATTAGGCAGATTTGCTTCATCCTCAAAGAGCATGTTTATATAAAATTGAATGAGCGCTGGCAGCGAGCTGCACTTTTTTTTCTAAACAGGAAAAGGGTTAACCATTACACCATCTATATTCTGTGATAGACCCTACTCCCCACCCCTGTGGAGAATTGGGTGGCAATATGTTGAAGCTGGCAGTGCACTGAGAAAGCTTTGTGTCCAATTTCGCAGTTTTACTGAGGATAAAATGGGAGTTCTGATAGACAAAGAGTTACACAATTAGCCACAGCAGCACTAGGAGAGGAAACTGAGTCTCTTGACACTATATGAGAGGTGAAATACTCTTGCTTTTGTGGTTTATTAAGGCCTTCTGGAAACTTTCACCAATGAAGAAAATCTGTAAGACAAGGTGTGACAAGGTAGACTCAAAAGAAAAAGGCAGACCACTTACAAAAGAGGGTACTAGCAAAAGGGCCCAAAGTTCCAAAGTTCCTGCCATCCTAAGCTTACAAAGTATTTACTTGTAGAAGAGCATGGGGAAAGTGGGATAAACTGGTATAATCGAGACAAAAATGTCAAATAGCCCAAGACTAAGAGCTGGGCACTCTGGGATTTCGCCTCAGCCCTGTACCTTTTCTATCTAACATATTGTCCTTTGGTGATTTGATAACTGCAGCTTCCTTTATGGGTTGATCTGATCTTGAGTGAGAACATTTGGTTTCAGTGATATAATTAGAACAAACCAAAAATGCCTGTCACTTACACAAATAATCTTAAACACAGAGTGAGGCAAGAGTTGCTGAAGTCCTATGAAAATGCAAAAAGGTCTCATTTTGTATGTTGTTTGGTTACTAACAAGTTCTGAAGTACTAGATACAATGTCTGAAGAGTCTGATAATATTAAAATACATTGTGTTGAGATGGGTTGGTACTTTCGATGTGAATCTTGTCACATTAATCTCTCAGGGAAAGTTATCGATAGCCACCACATCTATTTTTAACTGAATGCAAACTGTCGCAGAACTAAAACCAAATGCTGAACTGCATACTGACTATGTTCTAAACACTTAATATACAAGAGCTTGTAATACTGAAGCCCTTAATATTTACTTTTATTTCCTGTCTTCCTTCTGGCTATACTCCTTAATTTGTCTGTGTTGGATTTTTTTCTCAGATAATTCTCATTCCAATTATTCATTATCTAGCTATTCTGAGAAGCTGATAGGGAAAAAGTGTTACTCAGGGAAGCAATAGGACTTTTTTACAGAAGCCATTAGGTCAGAGAATTTATTCGTTCAAGGTGGTTGTAGATATGAGTTGGTAGACACAAGTTCTTTAATAGGGAGAACAGAAAAAAGATCATTAAGGCATCTGTTAATACGTTTTTAAAATGGAGATACTAGCTCATTTGGGAAATTCTTGACATAGAAAAAGTATTTACATTAACGCTACCATCATTTCCAGAGTGTAAAATAATTTTGCAGTTTTAATTTAATGTCAGAAAGTGCTTGAATATTTTTCCTCATTGTTTTCCAGGCCTTAACAATTTCAAATTATCCTATTCTATTTGCTGGCTCTAAATCCAGAGCTTCTGACAAGAAATTTTACATTAGAAATTCTGTTGATATCTTTTTAAAAATAAAACATTTGTAGAATATAAAGACATTGAGAATATAAAGGGCTCAGAATAAAAGGGAAAATCATAATGAATTCCTAAAAATTAACTGCAAGAAGAAATATTTTTAGATGCTATTGTTTCTTAAAACGTACTTCAGCAGCACTTATTAAGTCTCTGGTTTTTACTTCAAACAACACTTTCCCCACATTCATTCGTTAATAGTTTATCTGTTTTTCAAGACCTGGATCAAAAGCAACCTTCTTTCCTAATTAGTTTCTTCCTTTTCCATGGTACATAGTTGATTTTGTTTCATGAATATCATTTTTTGTTGTTGTTGTTGTTTGTTTGTTTGTTTGTTTTTAATTCTACCTGATAGAAAGTAAGTTCTGTGAGACCTCATCTGTTTTGTTCATTACTATGGTCTCAGGGCCTAGAACAGGTGCATAGAAAATAACTGTTTTTCCACTCACTGACCTGTTCCATCAAACTAATTCAGGTAGGGACCTTGTTTAGAGTTGCCCCACAGACTGCTGAATCATTAAGGATCTGCTAAGCCAACCCACACAAATCTACAAACTTCAGTGGATGTATTCCAGGGGTTCTCAGTATGGCCTACTGCAGTAAGAGAATGTGAAGGTTATTTTCATGTGTCAACTTGACTAGTCTATGGTGCCCAGGTGTTTGCTCAAACATCAGTCTAAATGTTGCTGGGAGGTTATTTTTTAGATGTGATTAACATTTTAATCAGTAGGCTCTGAATAAAGCAGATTACCCTCCATAATGTGGGTGGGCCTCATCCAACAGACTGAAGGCCTTTAGGGAAAAACACTGAGAAGGAAGAAGGAATTTTACCTCTAGACTGCCTTTGAAATCAATACCTCTATATCCACTCTTCTCTGAGTCTTCAGCCTGCTGTCTACTCTGCAAAACTTGGACTTACCAACCCTCACAATCTTATAAGCCAATTCCTTAAAAGAAATCTCTCTCTCTCCCTCTACATATATATATTTACACACACACACACCCTATTATTTTTGTTTCTCTGGAGAACCAAGACTAACATAGAAAGCAGGCAGAGTGGGAGATTGGCAGTGATGCTTTTATTCGTTCACTTGTTTTCCATGTATTGCAACCTAGAGCATCTTCTGCACACTCACATGAGTGGATTATGTGGAAATGATGGGGAGTGACCATAAAAACCTTTTTTGTCACACAAAGGTTCACCTTATGGCAAAAGCACATTTATTGAAATAGGAATCATACATAAAAATAAGATCAAAAAGCAAAGTTTACAAATCTTCTGACCTCTTCAGTGAGGACAAATTAGCTGACAGTAGTATGTCATCTAGCAAATATTTTATAAAAGAGAGACACACAGCCTGTTGCTTCAAGGTAAAGGTAGTAATTTAATAGTGAGGGAGAAAATAACAGCTCAAGCATGCTACAGAAGCATCTAAAAGTAAATGTTTGAAAATTATTTTTGTTACTGGAAGTAAAACATTACTTATAAAAACTGCATATTTATACACTTAAAAAGTTGGAAATAGACTGTTTACAATATAGTATCTTTGAATTAGTTTGCAAGAACAACTGGCTATTTAATAGCTCAATTTCAAGGCAAGAAAAAACTTGAGCATAATTACTGCATGAAATTTAAAAAATGAGTTTTATGATTTAAAATGAGTTTCATGATTTCCTGCAGGGCACAGTGGCTCACACCTGTAATCCCAGCACTTTGGGAGACTGAGGCAGGTGAGTCTCTTGAGGTCAGGAGTTCAAGACCAGCCTGGCCAACATAGTGAAACCCTGTCTCTATGAAAAATACAAAAATTAGCTGGGCATGGTGGCACATGGCAGTAATCCCAGCTACTCAGGAGGCTGAGGCACGAGAATTCTTGAACAAGAGAGATGGAGGTTGCAGTGAGCTGAGATCTCACTACTGCACTACAGCCTAGACAACAAGTAAGAGACTCTGTCTAATCAATCAATCATTTTCTTCTTCCAGGCCTAAGTACCTACTATAGACTGAATGTTTGTATCTTTCCAGAACTCCTATGTTGAAATTCTTATCCTCAATGTGATGGTATTAGGAGGTGGGGGCTTTGGGGGTTGATTAGGTCATGAGGGTGGAGCCCTCATAAAAGGGTACTTTTATTAGTGTCCCTATAAAAGTGACCCCAAAGAACTCTCTCCACTTCTTCCTGCCTTGTGAGAACACAGTGAGAAGGAGGTTGTTTTTGAAACAGGAAGCAGGCCCTCACCAGGCATTGAAAAAGATTCAGTGCCTTGACCTTGGACTCCCCAGTCTCCAGAACTGAGAGAAATAAATATTTGTTTTTTAAGCTACTCAGTCTATGGTATTCTGTTAACACCCACCTGCATAGACTAAAACAGATAATTGGTACCAAGAAGTGAGGGTGCTGCTATAACAAATATATATATATATATATTTTTTTTTTTTTTGAGACAGTCTTGCTCTATTGCTCAGGCTGGAGTGCAGTGGTGTGAGCTTGGCTCACTACAACCTCCATATCCCACGTTCAAGCAATTCTCATGCTTCAGCCTCCCAAGTAGGTGGGAATACAGGCACATGCCACCACGCCTAACTAATTTTTTTATTTTTAGTAGAGACAGTGTTTCACCATGTTGGCCAGACTGGTCTCAAACTCCTGGCTTCAAGTAATCCACCCGCCTTGACCTCCCAAAGAGCTGGGTTTACAGGTATGAGCCACTGTGCCTGGCCTGCTATAACAAATACTTTAAAATGTGAAAGCAGGTTTGAAACTGGGTAACGAGCAGAGGTTGGAAGAGTTTTGGGGTGTATGCTAGAAAAAAGCCTAGATAGTCGTGAACAATATTTTAAAAGTGATTCTGGTGAGGATTCAGAATGAAAAGAGCTATAAAGAAAGCTTCTGTCTTCTTAGAAAATACTTAATTAATCATAAACTGAATGTTGGTAGAAAAACAATAAAGGCCATTCTGATGGGTCTCAGCTGGAAATGAGAAACCTATTATTGCACAATGGAGAAAAGTCAATCTTTGTTTTAAATTGGCAAATAACTTGGTTAACTTGTGTTTATGTTCTAGTGTTTTGTAGAAGGTAAAATTTGTGAGCGATGACATTGGCTATTTAGCTGAAGGGATTTCTAAGTAACGTGTTGAAGGTATGGCTTGGCTTCTCCAAATTGCTTAGTAAAACATGAGAAGAGAGGAATGACTTAAAGATGGAATTGTTAAGCAAAAAGGAAGCAAGACTTAAAGATCTAGAAAATTCCCAGCCTACTTATATTGCAAAAATGATAAAGTGTGTTTGGAAGACAACACTAAGGATGTGGCCAAATGACCACCTGATAAGATTAATGTGGATCGACCATCTTAACAGAAGTCATGTGCTATTCTTCAAGACAATAGAAATATAACCCCAAGGGTATTTCAGAGATCATCAGGGGTGGCCATTTCCATCATAGGCCAAAGTACATGGGCCCAGGGGACATGCCTGTTTCCACCTAGGTTTCAAAGAATGGGGCCACCAAGAGCTGTGGGGTGCTGAGCCATGAGCACAGGACCCCAGGTCAGTGAAGCTGTGACATTCCAGCAGAGAGCTACTTCAGGGCCATTTCTCCAAACTGTGGGGATGATATTCTAGTAGGATAGGAAGGCAGGGCATCAAACCAAAGAGGATTATTCTCAAACTCTGAGGTTTAATGAAGTGTACCTTAAGTTTTGGATTTGTTTGAAACCTATTCCCCCTTGCTTCTTTCCTATTTCTCCATTTTAGAATAGATATGTCCATCCTATACCTGTCCAGTCAATATATTATGAAAGCATATAACATGTTTGATTTCACAGGCTCACAACTGAAGAGAAATTTTGCCTCAGGATAAATTATACCTCAAGTGTCACCCATATCAGATTTAGATGATATTTAGATGAGACTTTGGAGTTTAGACTTTAAGGTTGATGCTGTAATGAGTTAACACTTTTGAGGCTATTGAGATGGAATGAATGTATTTTGCATGTGAGAAGGACATAAATGTGGGGGGACCAGGAGTAGAATCCTATAAACTAGATGTGTGAGTACTCACCAAAATTCATATGTTGAACAGACTAAGATAGCACTTTTTAATATAAGTTTTTTTTCTGCTATGACAGCCATTAAGATCAAATGTCAAACCAAATCTAGTGCTGCTACATGACAATATATTGAACCAAGGTTAAAAAAGAAAAGGAGCTGGCTGAGCATGGTGGCTCATGCCTATAATCCCAGCACTTTGGGAGGCCGAGGTGGGTGGATCACCTGAGATCCAGAGTTTGAGACCAGTTTGGCCAACAAGGTGAAACCCTGTCTCTACTAAAAATACAAAAATTAGCTAGGCGTGGTGGTGGGTGCCTGTAATCTCAGCTACTCCGGAGGCTGAGGCAGGAGAATCGCTTGAACCTGGGAGGCAGAGATTGCAGTGAGCCGAGATTCTGCCACAGCACTCCAGCCTGGGCGACAAGAGCAAAACTTCATCTCAAAAGAAAAACAAAACAAAACAAAACAAGGGAAAAAAGGAGCCTATTCCATTATATCGTCCTGTTTTAAATGTGATTAATAATAAGCTTTTAGTTATAGAAAAGATACTATAAATAATACACATTTAAAAGTCATTTACAATGTTTATTTCATTTTAAATGATTCTCTTTTCTTTGCTATTTTGTGCATGTTTTACAATTTTGTGCTGTAGTAGTATAACAGAGCATTATAAACTTCACAAATAAGTATATACACAATGGGACTGTAACTTCATAATGTTTTGTAGATAGGAATTTGGAGAGCTCCAGGTCGAATGAGGGCCAGCGGATATTCCACACAGTCCTCAGTTTGAGGGATACTCACAAATCTGCTCACTGAAATGAGACCTCTTGCCCATTTTCACATGCTTTCGGGATTTATTTTAATGGATAAAGTACTCACTGCATAACGAAATGTAAATATTACAGAGATTAGACTTAAGGGACAGTCAGATGATGGAGATTAAGTTAAAGGCTTAGTTGCTTCCACCATTAAAGCAATTATGAAGAGTGCTGAGAAAATAAAGACAACTAATAAAACTGCAAATTGCACATTCATGAGCGGTAGTAAATTATAGTGGCACCACATCCTCACAAGCAGTATCCTTTTATGACTCCATTTATTACACTGAATCAGTGGTTTTATTTTCTTGAATGAATTCACAGTGCTAAGAGGGATTCTTTTAAAGAGAGAGTTCAGTAGTACGTACAGGTTAGGAATCCACTTAGCTAATTTTAAAGGAAAATTTCTACACGAAAACCATAAAAATAAGTTTTTCTTCATCAGATTATGTCTAGTTCATAAAGGAATAATTGCCCAGGGAATAGAAAAAGCAGGGCAGGATTCTAAAGTATTAAACCTGGCTCGATGATGTGTCATTAAAATAAGGAAGTTCTTTTTTTAAAAAAAACACAAAACTGGAAACATAACAACACAAGAATTCCCCAATTGTAATATACAATGTTCTGCTTCAGAAGAGGTGCTCAGAGATAGTAGAAAAGAATGCTTATTTTCTGCCACATGTATTTATAACAGATCCATAACTTTTTAGTTCATAATTGTGTTTGCATTTTAAAGAATGAACTCTAGCTCTAGCAAAATTTACACTTATAAAAATGTAGTATGGTGAAAAAATTTGGTATGGTGAACTTTGAAGCCAGAGCAATCTGGATTCAAATTCCAGCCTCGCCATTTACCTGCCATTTAATCTTGGGTAAGTTGTCTAACTTTTGTGAATCTATGTACCCTTATGTTAATAAAACTACTAATCTCATTGTTTTTTGTTTGTTCTTAAAGTGAGACTATATATATATATATATATATATATATATATATATATATATATATATATATATATAATTTGACTCATAAAGTGGCCTTCTTATTTAACATTTTAACCCTTAAATATGGCCTAGCTTTGTGTGTTTTTTGTTTTTCTCCATGACACTTATCATTTGCTTACTTTGCTTATTTTCCATTTCTTCAATTGGATTTAATATAAAATCGTGCAGGCACTTTGGAAAACAGTTTGGCATGTCCACAAATAGTTAAACATAGAGTTATCTTATGACCGAGCAATATCACTCCTAGGTATATACACAAGAGAAGTCAAAATGTGTCCACACAAAAACATATGCATGAATATTCATTGCAGCATTATTCATAATAGCAAAAAACAGGAAACAACACAAGTGCCCATCAGTTGATAAATGGATAAACAAAACATTACATATCCATACAATGGAATATTATTCAGCATAAAAAGGAATGATATAATAATACAAGGTACAATATGGATGAACCTTGAAAATGTCATGTTGACTGAAATAAGCCAGTCACAAAAGACTACATATTACAATATTCTATTTACATGAAATGTCCAGAATAGGAAAATCCATAGTTCTCTAAGTAAATTACTGGTTGTTTAGGTCTGCGGAGGATGAGCAGTAGGGGAGTGATAGCTAAAAGGCACGGGGTTTCTTTTTGAGCTGATGAAATATTCTGAAATTGACTGTAGTGATGGTTACACACCTCGGTAAACACTAAACCCACTGAATTGTACACTTTAAGTGGGCAAACTATATGGTGTGTGAATTATATCTCAATAAAGCAATTAAAACTGTATGGTTTCTTGCCAGTTTTTATTATAATGTGAAATAAGTTAAAATATATATTCTCTTTTCTGTAAGACTTTGGTTTTGGTTACTCCTGAAAAACATCTAATTAACTCTATAAATTTCTTGATAGTCAAATGGGTCAGATAAGTTATCTCCACAAAATACTTGAAGTCACAAAAATATAAACAAATATATTTAACTAAATTAAATGATAATAATTGTTATCTTTTAAAAGGATTGTATCCTGTAAACTCCAAACACTACTGCAAAAAAAAGTTGACTTAATTATTACACTTTCTGAAAACTGTTAAATGCCATCTGTCTAAATTTTATTACCAATAGAAATCATCTTAATCTGTACTGTTACAACTTAAATATAATTCCTAAGATCCCTGAAACTTGGACTAATAGTAAATTATACATAAACTTTGGTTATCTAAAATCTTTGGTTATCTGGACACATTCTAAGATATTAAAATTTATAAAGCTAGAAATCACAAAAGTAGTACAAACAAGTAATGTGTATTTTATCTTTGAAAAGCGCCAATCATGATAATACATTTGATATAGTACATTTATAGTCATGTAAATTAAATGATACAGCTAATATATCTGAAAACTGAAATTTAAAGCTTTAAAAATTTTATCACACTTATTGGTGTATGTTTAAACATAGATATAGTGCTATATTAGAATTGTCAAACTAAGAACCTTATGAATAATCAAAGAAAAACTAACAATTAGGTGGGAAATAGTCTTTGAGTATTCAATCAGCTCTTTTAAAAAAAGCAACAATGACAAACAATCATGTTTTCTTATTTGGTGGCTGTTTTGGAGAACAGACTTCCTTAACTCATAGGAAGAGAACTTCGTGAGAGGCTCCTAAATCTTTGTGGTTTTGTGTAGATTTCTTGATTCTTTTAATTAATTTTTTTTTTTTTTAACAGAGGGATTTTCGCTGTGTTTCCCAAGTGGGCCTCGAACTCCTGGGCTCAAGTGATACCCCCCACCTCAGCCTCGTGACTAGCTGGGATTAAAGGTGTGCACCACTGCAACTGACTTTCAATTCCTTTCTGACCAAAATCTTTTATTTCTAAA
The DNA here is from genome assembly GCF_000001405.40 of Homo sapiens. Lineage (NCBI taxonomy): Eukaryota > Metazoa > Chordata > Mammalia > Primates > Hominidae > Homo > Homo sapiens. The sequence continues at coordinate 115,704,917 of NC_000005.10, forward strand.
AAGAAATCAAAGAAGTTAAAATTCTATAAATGATTAGTTACTGCTGTGCTTAATTTAAATGTTATTTATGATTATTTTTATAGCTAAGATCATTGTTTCATCTTTAGACATCAATGACCTCTTTATATATTAATGCTATAAAATGTTTCTTTGATAATTATTTTTGATATTGCTTTTCCTAAATATAGGTTCCAAACACTTCATAATAAAAATTTTAAGATATTATTTTGTCTTAACTATCTTTGGGGTTTCCCAGGAGTCTTCTGAGACACAAAAGATTTGTTCCAAACTTTATTAAATGAATAATGCTACAAATAAGAATATGTGTATGTTCTACAAAATTATGAGAGCCATCCTGCTATCAGTCTCACAGTATGGGGACAAACCCCTCTCAAATCAAAAGGAGAAACTTAATCCTCTCCAGGTTAATTGCATGCAGATGAAATGTTATTATTATAAATATATTCTTATATCTTCAGGATGCTTATAAATCACATATATTAATAGAGGATTCCATTTCTCCTTATTCCAATAATTCTGGCTAATATAACATATTAACTAGAGTTATTCAGTTTTGTCATCAATAGATGGTTTCTGATTTCTTTTACATTTGCTTAAAAGTACCTGCTATAAACCACAGATCAGAAGGTCTGGAAAAAATTTCAAAAAAATCTCCAAAAATTTCAACGCTCTTCAGCAAAGAACTGTTGACTATTCTACTCCACAGAAAAGTAGATTTATGGATCCAGACTTGCCAAACAAAGCTGGTATCTTTATTACAAAGAGACCCAACACCTTTCAGAATTCACAAGATGAGTTTGACCTTTCACAGTTCTTTCATCCGGAAGTGGTCAACCTCATGGAAGGAGACACATAAGCTAACATTAATAAAACCAGAATTAACTAGGGTTAAAAGAACTGATTTGAGTATGATTATTGTTTTCTTTAAAATGGGCATATTAAATTTAGGTTTTCTTCATAATATCCTCAGGAACCATTTCATACAGATGTCACTGGACTGTTGATTGCTGAAATCCTGTCCAAAGCTAACATTCTTCGAGTTAATATGAATAGTAACTCAATCAGCAACGTTTATTACGTGCCTCTCCAAACGTATATTTTGTACATAATTAGATCACCAGAAATGTGATTCATGCCTCTGATTATCTACACTCAACTGCATTATTAATGTGTTGATATTAATGGGATTTTACCATTAACAACACATTAATTTTGTTTATAAATTGCATCTTAAAATATTGACCACTTTTATTAGGAGTGCATGATGTTTTTTCCAACAAGGAAAAAGTGCTCTGTTTTAGCATTTATCAATATACCCTATTCAGTTTTGTTCTGCTTTTTTTTTTTAGCAAGGGAACACTGATAGTTAATTTTATATGTCAATTTTGCTTGGCTATAGTACCCAGTTATTTAATCAAACAGTAATCTAAGTGTTGCTGTGAAGGTATTTTGCAGATGTGGTTAAGATCTATTTGACTTTATGTAAAGGAGATTACCCTTGATCATGTGGTTGGGCCTCTTTAATCTGTTGAAGGCATTAAGAGAAAAAAACTGAGGTTTCCCAAGAAAAGGAATTCTGCCTCAAGACCACAGCACCAACTCCTGAACTCTTGCCTGAGTTTCAAGTCTATTGGCCTGCCCTAAAAATTTTGGAGTCAAGACTACATGTATCAACTCCTGTCTGTTTCTAGCCTGCTTGCTTTGTTTGCCCTACAAATTTCAGACTTGCCAGGCCTAACAATTGCATGAATCAATTTTTAAGATAAACTCCTTTATATCTACATCTATATCTATGTCAAATCTCTATCTATCTATCTATCTATCTATCTATTTTATTGGTTTTTATTTCATTGGAGAACCATCACTGATATAGAAATGAATTTGCATAGAAGTTGGCTAAGGTTAGGAGTATAGTCTGTGCCAATAGAAAATAAATCTTCCCTATGGAAAGTTCACTAAAGCCATTTAAGGACCAAATCCATTAACTTGATCTCACGGGGCTGATAGAGGGAAGGAGAGCCCCAAAGTGGAGTCTTAGACCAGGAGGGTTCTTGGCTTTGCCCAGGAAATAATTCAAGGGTGAGCTGGTGGTGCTAAACACTGACTTTTATTGAAGTGGCATGCATAAATGCATTGTCAACAGTGATTTCCTTATGGGCACGAGATTGGGAGTTGGGAGGAGAAAAAAACCTGCTTTTTTTTCCTTCACAATTACTATATATATTTCAGAGTCGTTTATGTTTCAAAGACCATAGATCAGTATGTTAATTGAATAATTAAAACTCCATAAGCTAGTTAGGTGTGGTGGTTCATGCCTGTAGTCCCAACTACTCAGGAGGCTGAGGCCAGAGGATCACTTCAGCCCAGGAGTTTGAGGCTACAGTGAGATATGATTATGCCACTGCACTCCAGCCTGGGTGACAGAGCAAGGCCTTGTCTCTAAACAAACAAACAAAAACTTCATGAGGTTCAGAGGCCTTGATCATTATTTTTTCTGGAATTCCATGGGAAGCCTAGAAGTGTTCCCCACAAAAGGATGATGTCCCCATGAAAGGATGACAGCCTCCATTTGCCAAAGACCGGCTGATTCATAGGAATCCTTTTCTTGGATTCATTAAAATTTAGCATTCATAAACAGAAGCTCAGAGGGAAAGAAGACATTAAAGTTAGGGATTCTGTAGGATACCCAAAGAGGTCTATAGAATTCAGGGAGTCCACAGACCTGGCTGGGAACAATTGTATTGTTATTTTCACTAACCTTTATCTGAAATTCAGGATTTCCCTCAATTAACAATGTAAACAGCAATCCAGAGCAATAGACAACTGTGTTTCTATCTCCAATAGAGATCACAGATATATTCATATTCATTATAGTTGCAGATATCTCAAAATACTGTTTCTGCTTCTCACTGCTTTGAAGTTATAGTAGATAGTAGGCTTGCTGGTAGATCTAAACTAGTGCATTAAAAGTACATAGATTATAAATTTGGCTTATAGTCAGGTAACTGTGTTTGTAAATTATTGTTTTTCTTTGCAGTCCTCTACATGGTATTTTCTTCCTTTAATCCCATGACAAGCTACGGTGTTTTAAAAATATATTTAAAACGTTATTCTTAGAAGGGGTCTGTAGGCATCACCAAAGTTCTAGAGAGGTTCATGGCATAAAGAAAGTTAAAAATCTCTTCTTTAGAGAAAAACAAAACTAAATAATCTTTAACAAATAAAAGCAATCACAGTTTTTTGTTCTTGTTAAAAGAAAAGGGATTTACAGATGTGTAACATTCCATATTCCAAACAAGTGTTTTTTCTTTTTGCAGAGACCTAGCACAAAGGAATTACCATTACCACAGTCATCTGGAGATAAACTATTTTCCCATAGCTATAGAAAGATCTTTTGTTTAGGAAAAGTATCTAAGCAAAAAACTGACTTATACTATATAGATGATTTTTCCTTTAATCAAGCAAGAAGTACTTGACAAGGTTTTAATTTATGATATTCTGCTCTTTCAAATGATAAAGATATCTTTAAATTTCAATTGGATTTTTCTAAACAATAGACCTAAATCCCATTTTACCTTTCTTTTCTTATTTATATTTTATTTACTTTATTTATTTGTTTTTATGGTAGGGGTCTTGTTCTCTCACCCGGACAGTAGTGGAGTGGCGCAATCACAGCTCAATGCATCTTCGAACTCCTGGGCTCAAGTGATCCTCCTACCTCACCCTGAGTAACTGGGATTACAGGCATGAGCTATCATGCCCAGCTCTCATTTTACCTTTTTGAATCTTAGAAAGAGGAACCAGAATCCATATAGCCAATTGAAGCAATGTGACACATATAAGAACTCAATTTAGGAATTCAAGGTTATTGCCTGGAATCATTGTACTGAGGTTTATAGCCAATCATAGATCAAAGATCACCAGAAGGACCATGTCAGAAGACTGGGCAGTAAATAATTTGCAGTTGTTTGTTCCAATACATTCTAATGTGCCCTTTGATCTTAAAAAGTTCATGGACAGATGATGGTGAGGGAAATAAAGGACAGCAGAGTTCAGTGATGGGAGGTTGGGATGGGGAAAAGCTGCAATGCCGTGTGATGCCCTCAGTTCCACAGGGCACATTGTGTAACCACTTTGCTTTCCCCTCAGCAGGACATGCACTCTGGCCTCACGTTGAGTTGCATAAGTAGGGATTTCAATTTTTTAAAAAAATTTACTTTATCAATGAGGATGCTGTTTATGACAGCAAGGACATCAAGCCCCTTTGTTTGGACATAAGGTCTAGGGAAAAACCCCTAACTCCTCCCTCTTCTCCCTTCTCAGCAGTCTGAGTTTGCCCCAAGTTGCAGTGCATTTCAGGTTATAATAGAACAGGAGGAGAGTCTCATCTGGGAAGAAAAATGGGAAGGACCAAGTGGAAAACTATCAGGGCTTAGGTATTCAAAAGTATGGCATCAACTGGCAGATATGCTACATGTTTTTTGAGGTTTCTCTACTTCTGACCATTTTGGCTCCATAAGCCATATTTATCAATAAACAAGGAGTAATCTACCAGACATATTCAAAGTGTGGCCCATGGGCAGGAGGCATTATCTGGGAGCTTCTGGGAGAAATGCAGATTCTCAGACTCTAACCTAGAGCTGCTAAATCAGAATCTCCAGGGGTGGGACCCAGGAATCTGTGTTTTAATAATCCTTCCAGATGATTCTTAGGCAACCTAGGCAACCCTCTGCAGATTCCTCTTCTGAGGGAGGAGGACGTCGCTGTGTCACTGAGCAACAGCAGTGTTATGTGGGTGTTTATTAACTGGCCAAAGCCCCACAATGAAGAGCAGCAAAGCCATGACTTCATGGCACACAGACTGAGGGGAAAAACCATTAGTTTCTGTTTAATTTGCCCATGCTAAATCCACGCCAATAAGTTTGCAAAACATTACACACCTCCCTGTGACTAACTGTTTTGAAATTATACTCAAGTGTTTGGGTTGTTTGGGGAATTAAGGTAGAACATGTTGTTTAGGGAATCTGAGAACTTTTTCTCATTTTTTCCACAGACTTTCTATAAATATGTTGAGAGCTTGGACTGGGTCTTACTCATGCTTTTCTTACCAGCACTGGCTCAGAGCCTGCTTCATTAGAGCTGATTAATAAATGTTTGGAAAATGAATAAATGAGTAATAAATGAATGAAATTCAATGAAGGTTTTGTCTTTACCTGTGTTTATAGGTTTTATATTGCTCTCAGTATAAATTACCACTAATGTAGTAGTTCAAACAACAAACATTTATTATCTCATAGTTTTCTATGTCCAAAGTCCAACTGGGTCTCATTGGGCTGATCAAGGGTTCTGCAGGTCTGCATTTCTTTCTGGAGACTCTAAGGGACAATCCATTTTCTTGTCCATAAAAGTGGTTGGTAGAATTCAGCTCTTTATAGCTATAGGGCTGAGGTTTCCATTCCCTTGCTGAGTGTGAGCTGAGGGCCTTTCCCCGGTTATAGAGTTCACTGCATTCCTTGGATCCTGGCTCTCTTCCTCCATCTTCAAAGCCAGCAATCAAGGGTTAAGTACCTCTCAAACATTGAATCTCCCCTCTTTCTTGTTCTCCCACATCGCTCTAACTCTCTACCTTCCTCTTCTACTTTTAAGGGCTTATATGGCTACATGAAACTTACCCATATATACAGAAAAATCTCATATCAAGATTCATAACCTTCATTATGTATGCAAAGTCCTTTTGCTGTGTAAGTTAACATACTCAAGGATTCTGGGAATTAGAATGTCTACATCCGATGGGCCATTATCCTGCCGACCACATTCTATTACACAAAGTATATTAAAAGCATCTGAATCCTGATTGAAAAAGATTTCAATTCAAATTAAAAAGAATTTGATGAAGAAAAGGTATCTTTTTTTTTTTAATGAGACAGAGTTTCACTATGTCACTGTATTAGTCCATTTTCATGCTGCTGATAAACACATACCCAAGACTGGGTAATTTATAAAGAAAAAGAGGTTTAATAGACTCACAGTTCCACATGGCTGGGGAGGCCTCACAATCATGGCAGAAGGAGAAAGGCACGTTGTACATGGCAGCAGGCAAGAAAGAATGAGAGCCAAGGGAAAGGGGTTTCCTCTTATAAAACTATCAGATCTCATGAGACTTATTCACAACCATGAGAATAGTATACGGGAAACTGCCCCCATGATTCAATTATCTCACACCAGGTCCCTCCCACAACATGTGGGAATTATGGGAGCCATAATAATTCAAGATGAGATTTGGGTGGGGACACAGCCAAACCATATCATTCTGCCCCTGGCCCTGCCCAAATCTCATGTCCTTACATTTTGAAACTGATCATGCCTTCCCAACAGTCCCCCAATTTCTTAACTCATTTCAGCATTAACTCAGAAGTCCACAGTCGAAAGTCTCATCTGAGACAAGGCAAGTTCCTCCTGCCTATGAGCCTGTAATATCAAAACCAAGCCAGCTACTTCCTAGATACAATGGGGGTACAGGCATTGGATAAACACACCCATTCCAAATGGGAGAAATTGGCCAAAATGAAGGGGCTAAAGGCCCCATGCAAGTCCAAAATCCAGCAGGGCAATCAAATCTTAAAGCTCCAAAATGATCTCCTTTGACTCCATGTCTCACATCCAGGTCATGCTGATGCAAGGGGTAGGTTCCCATTGTCTTGGGCAGCTCTGACCCTCTGACTTTGCAGGCTACAGCCTCCCTCCCTGATGCTTCCATAGTCTGGCGTTGAGCATCTGTGGCTTTTCAAAGTGCACAGTGCAAGATGTCAGTGGATCTACCAATCTAGGGTCTGGAAGACAGTGACCCTCTTCTCACAGCTCCGCTAGGCAGTGCTCCAGTGAGGACTCTGTGTGGGGGCTTCAACCCCACATTTCCCTTCCACACTGCCCTGGCAGAGGTTCTCCATGAAGGTACCACCCCCACAGCAAACATGTGCCTGAACATACAGATGTTTCCATACATCCTCTGAAATCTAGGTGGAGGTTTCCAAACCTCAGTTCTCAACTTCTGTGCAACTGCAGGCTCAACACCATGTGGAAGCTGCCAAGGGTTGGGACCTGCACCCTCTGAAGCCACAACCTGAGCTGTACCTTGGCCCCTTTTAGCCATGGCTGGAGCAGCTGGGACACAGGACACCAAGTCCCGAGGCTGTACACAGCAGGGAGGCCCTGGGTCTAGCCCACAAAACCACTTTTTCCTCCTAAGCCTCCAGGCATGATGGGAAGGGCTACTGCAAAGGTCTCTGACATGCCCTGGAGACATTTTCCCTATTATCTTAACAATTAACATTTGGCTCCTTGTTACTTATGCAAATTTCTGCAGCCGGCTTGAATTTCTCCTCAGAAAATGGATTTTTATTTTCTTTCACATCATCAGGTTGCAAATTTATGAACTTTTATGCTTTGTTTACCTTTTAAAACTGAATGCTTTTAACAGCATCCAAGTCACCTCTTGAATGTTTTGCTGCTTAGAAATTTCTTCCACCAGATTCTCTAAATTATCTCCCTCAAGTTCGAAGTTTCACAAATCTCTAGGGCAGGCGCAAAATGCCACCAGTCTCTTTGCTAAAACATAACAAGAGTCACCTTTACTCCAGTTGCCAACAAGTTCCTCACCTCCATCTGAGACCACCTCAGCCTGGATGTCATTGACAATATCATTATCAGCATTTTGGTCAAAGCCATTCAACAAATCTCTAGGAAGTCCCAAACTTTCCCACATTTTCCTGTCTTCTTCTGAGCCCCCCAAACTGTTCCAACCTCTGCCTGTCACCAAATTCCAAAGTCATTTCAGTATTTTTGGGTATCTTTTCTGCAGCACCCCACTCTACCAATACCAATTTATTGTATTAGTCCATTTTCATGCTGCTGATAAAGACATACCTGAGACTGGGTAATTTATAAAGAAAAAGAGGTTTAATGGACTCACAGTTCCATGTGGCTGGGAAGGCCTCACAATCATGGTGGAATGCAAAAGGCATGTGTTACATGGCAGCAGGCAAGAAAGAATGAGAGCCAAGCAAAAAGGGGAAACCCCTTATAAAACCATCAGATCTTGTGATACTTATTCACTACCACGAGAACAGTATGGGGGAACTGCCTCCATGATTTAACTGTCTCCCACCGGCTCCCCTCCCAAAACACGTGGGAATTTGGGGAGCTGCAATTTAAGATGAGATTTGGGTGGGGACACAGCAAAACCATATCAGTACCCAGGCTGGAGTTCAGTGGTGTAATCACAGCTCACTGCAGCCTCAACTTCTCTGGCTCAAGCAATCCTCCCACCTCAGCCCCACAAGTGACTGGGACTACAAGCATATGCCACCACACCCAGCTAATTTTTGTCTATTTTGTAGAGACGGGATTTTACCATGTTGCCCAGGCTGGTCTCGAACTCCTGGACTCAAGTGATCTGCCCGTCTCAGCCTCCCAAAGTGCTAAGATTACTGGTGTGAGCCATCAAACCCAACCAGGTATGATGTTCTTGTAGAATGCATTAGCACAAGATACCAACCCCTTGAATTAGCCCTTTGAGAGATGATGAATTTAGAAAAGTTTGTTTATAGCCTTCTATTATCACCACTTTTAAAATTCCCCTTCCTGTGCACCCTCCCTCTTCATACCATGCTGGACAGCACCCAAGCTCTTAAACCTTCTTCCTCTTTTCTTTGTGTGGCTCTCAGTCAAAACATAATAGGAATAGCTAATTATTGATCACTTTACTATATGCTTATTACTTTCATACAAACCATCTCATTAAATTATCATATTACCTCAATTAAGTATTTGTCATTTTAGAGGAAGAGGAGACTTATCAAGTTTAAGTAACCTACTTATGATAGTCAATAACAGAGCTCGGATTCCACCATAAGCCCCTCTTGTTCATCATTACACATGACGTCTCCTTGTGATGCCCCATTTTCACATTCCCTCCACTCCTAAGCAGCAGACCAAACTTAGACTCATATGTTCACTAACTGATACACAAAAGTGTCTTTTGTAACAAGATCTCAAGTCTTAAAGAATAACCCCATTGGTGAAAATCAAGGCATCTCATGGTAGGCCAGGAGAGGAAATCAAACTATCTAGCTTCCCTTGGCACACAAACATTTATAAAGCTTGACAGAGTAGGAGTTTAGAAGAGCACTGGAGAATTCTTTTTTTAAATCTTTACTATGCCAGAAAAAGCACTAGTTCTACGGAGTAGTCAGGAAGAAGGTCTAAGGAAGATCCTATGATATTTGTCATTGCTATAGACACTGTATTTGAACAAAATCTCTCACTTCTATTTCTACAAGAATTTTATCCAAATTGGTAAAAATGTTCCCTCAGTATGGGAATTCATAAACAGGAACAATAACTATTGACTTATGAGTTATTTCACCCCTTTTGACTATTTAACCATTGATTGTCTGGTTTTATTACTCAGTATTTAGTGCCTCATTATTTAGTAAATACATACTGTATATTTTGCTATTTGCTGACACCATGCTAGGTACAGAGGCAAAAAAGAAGGAATACAAAGTTCAACCACAGACTGAAATACACTCAGCAGCAGCCAAATTATAATATAACGTAAGCTGTGACCTAATCTCATTTTTACCCTTATCCTGGATGATACCTTAATCAAGAAAGCCCAAGGAAATATAGATTTAATTCTGAATGGCTTGCTTGTTTGGAGGCCAAAGCTTGCTCCTAAGAAATTCATTTTAAACATGCAGTGTAGAGCAGGCTACTTCTCCTTTGCTCTATCATGTTCCATTTGCAAAGAGGAACTGTGTTCCAGGGGAGCGAGGACCAGACTGTGGTCTCAGCACTCAGCTCCTGCCCACCCTAGAAGACTGTTTTACCCTTAGAGCTCCCACCAGCTTTCCTGAAAGAGCAATCAAATCTAGCTTTCCTGTGAATTATATTTTTTGATGCCATAAATAAATATTACTGTAACCTTTGTTTACTATATATATGTTTTCCATAAATAATATTTCTATGGCTATGATGACTATTCATAGTTTAATTTCTGCTTTAGCAAGACTGGTGCTTTAAAAATTATGATGTAGGTGGAATTTGTCTTCACACATCTCTTCTCTTTCAGCACTGATTGACTCCTGAGATACCAAGGGAACATATGCTGCTATTAGATCCATCTTTTATATCCTCTACCATCAAACTTCACCAACTAGAATGTGCTTTTCCAGCATGCACTATGTGGCTCTGGAATCTGTATGACTGATTTCAAGCCCTCACTCCATAAAATTTTCTGTCCTGTTGACCTTTTCATTTGGAACTTACTTCTCAGACAGAGAGATGAGGAATAAGCTACAGGGCAGGGGCTATCTCTTTTACATATTTGTATTTCCTAATGTCTAGGTTATTGTCTGTGCTATAATAAATCACAATACTACAAACTATATTAATAATGGTGGACACTTCTGTAGCATTTACAACATGCCAAGCAATTATTTATACAATTTATATACATTGACTCATTTCATCTCATGACAAATTTATAAGTACTATTATACTCATTTTATAAATATAGAAATTAGATGTTGTTGAGTTTATGAATGAAGTAATGGAAGGTTACCTCATATAATAAAGACTTCCTGGAGACAATTCCTCACTTCAAAAGGTGACCCTAACAGTGGGAATTTGTGGCCTGTGGGCTATCTAAGAGGAAAGATACTTGTGGGTGTGTGGGGCTACAGTGGGAGAGGATATGTCTTTGAAATCCCTCCAGTGACACAGCACCCAACTTACACAGTATTTCAGGGATCTCTCTTTGTCTATGGTCTTGCTTCAGACAACTTGGCTTCATTTGATTTTAAGGAGTCCAGGAGTTAGGGAGGTTATAAATATGCTTGCCCAGATTAGGGGAGGGGGAGTTAGAACTCTGCAATCCAAGCCCTAAGGGATATATTAGAGACAAATAGAGAAATCCAGTCCAACCAGCTACAGAAGCTTGTGGGACAGTGCTGGCCCTGGTTACTCTTGGTCATGGAGCTTCTGTTTTCATTTCCTGTGCTACATAATAAATAACCACAAACTTAGCAGCTTAAAACAATACCAATTGATTTAGTTATTTTTGACTTTTAGATTCAGGGTTACATGTACGGGTTTGTTATATAATTGAGTATATAAATTGAGTGTCACAGGGGTTTTATGTATAGACTATTTCATTGCTCAGGTGATAAGCACAGTACCCAATAGGCAGTTTTCAATCCTCACCCTCCTTCTACCCTCCCCCTCAAGTAGGCCCCGGTGTCTATTGTTCCCCTCTTTGTGTCTATGTGTACTCCATGTTTAGCTCCCAATTATAAGTAAGAACATGCAGTATTTGGTTTTCTGTTCCTGTGTTAGTTCACAGGATAATGGCCACCAGCTCCATTTGTGTTCCTGTGAAGGACACAATCTAGTTCTTTCTTATAGGTGCGTAGTATTCCATGGCATATACACACCACATTTTCTTTATCCAGTCCACCATTGATGGGCATTGAGGTTGATTCCACGTCTTTGTATTGTGAGTAGTGCCACGATGAACATATAAGTGTGCATCTTTTTGGTGGAATGATTTATTTCCCTTTGGGTATATACCCAGTAATGGAGTTGCTAGGTCAAATGGTAGTTGTTTTACGTTCTTTGAGAGATCGCCAGGCTGCTTTCCACAGTAGCTGAAATAATTTATATTCCCACCAGGAGTATATAAGCGTACTCTTTTCTCCCCAGCCTCTCCAGCATCCATTATTTGTTGACTTTTTAATAATAGACAGTCTGGCTGTGTGAGATAGTATGTCACTGTGGTTCTGATTTGCATTTCTCTAATGATTAGTGATGTTGAGCTTTTTTTTATATACTTGTTGGCTGTATGTCATCTTTTGAGAATTGCCTGCTCATGTCCTTTGCCCACTTTTTGATGGAGTTGTTTTTTTTGTTTTGCTTGTTAATTTGTTAAAACAATACCAATTTATTATCTCACAGTTTTTGTGGGCCAAGCGTTTAGGAATGGCTTATCTGGATATCAAAAGGTTGCAATCAAAGTGTCAGCTAAGCTGCATTGTCATCTAGAGGCTGGACTGGGAAAGGATCCACTTCCAAGCACACTTAGGTTGTTAGCAGAATCCATTGCCTTGCAGCTGTAGGACTGGACTCCTTAGCCTCTTGCTGGTTGTTGGCTGGCAGCTGCCCTCAGCTTCTTGCCATATGGCCCTCCCAATATGGCCACTTACTTCTTTAAGGTCTGCCACAGAGTTCCTAGAATAAGTCTGCCAGCAAGAGGGACATAATCACACTGAAGTAACATTCTATCACCTCTGCCACATTCCATTGCTAGAGGTAAGTCACAAGTCCTGTCCACACTTAAGTGGAGGGCATGAGAATGAGAAGATGAGATTTTCAGGGGTTATGTTAGAGATTATCTGCCACAGTCTCTCAGGACCCTCTTGAAGAAAGCTCCATGAGGTTAAGCAGAAGTGTTATGTGCACTGCATTCACCCTGCATGTGAACAGATGACATCAGGCACCCTGTCTGACTTATTCATGGAAGTATCCCATGTCCAGGACAGTCCCTTCTACTGAAAAAGGTCTGCCCATGAATAAATAAGTGAATGACTCCTCATATTATGTCTGTTGTAAAGAAAGGAAATTGACAGGCAGGAATGAGGCTAAGAGTACACCTACAACTTACACTTACACTTGATGTGTAAAAGATGGCCCTTTGCATGACTTACTCCCAGCTAGCTCGTCCATTTTCTGCAACATAATGTCGCTGGCAAAGAAATTGTTTAGAAAATTGGTCCAGGCGATAAGGGAGGAGGAAGAAGACTTTCTGTGAGGGCACTTTCTCTAGTGGACCAAGTCTTCTCTCAGGATGGCTGGGCACCCCACTTCCAGGTGGTTCTGGTTGGCTCTGCTTTTCATAGAGAAATTTTGGAAGTTCTACAAAGATGTTAACAAGAGTATGAGTGCATTTCTTTTTTCTAGTACTTTACAGTTAGCAATGTCCCCTCAGGTATAACTTTCTTTGAGTCTAAATCTCCAAGTAGCCATTTTGGACACAAAGAAAAAGCAAACAGAAGGACTGAAACAAGAAGGGGAAATTTTAGTATTAAAGTGACCTCCAAGAGTCATGCAAGCAGCAGAGTCAGATGTTGCTTGGTGTCACTGAGATTTCACTACTCTTCCTGGAGCATTTCCTAACTGGGACCACACATTGTACTAACTTTGACCCAAGGGGTAAGGCTGTAGGCATAGAAACACGTAAGAACAGGGACACAAGGATGAGTACTCAGTAGGCTCTCAAGATGTGAGCTTTGCCATTAATTTAAATCATGTAGAGAAACAGGATAGAGTTTGGCTGGAAAACGGCCGCACACTAGACAAGTTTGATGTTTAAAATGTTGGTTGTTTGTGTGTCCATGTGCAAGTGTGTGTGTACAGAGGTTAGATACAGAAGAGAGAGCATGTCCAACCTCACTTTCTGTAAATTTTGTTGTTAGTAAGGAGGGGTGGGCTGGGCGTGGTTGTTCACACCTGTAATCCCAGCACTTTGGGTGGCCGAGGCGGGAGGATAATTTGAGGTCAGGAGTTTGAGACCAGCCTGACCAACAGGGTGAAACTCTGTTTCTACTAAAAAAAAAAAAAAAAAAAAAAATACAAAAACTTAGCTGGACATGGTGGCACACACCTGTAATCTCAGCTACTCAGGAGGCCGAGGCACGAGAATCACTTGAACTTGTGAGACAGAGGTCGCAGTGAGCTGAAATAGCACCACTGAACTCCAACCTGGGCGACAGTGTGAGACTCGGTCTCAAAAAACAAAACATAACAAAACAAACAAAAAAAAGGAAGGGAATAGGAGATCTTTAAGAGGAAAAAGAAAATTTGGAATTTCCTGAACAGAAATCCAAGGTATGGGAGGAGAAGTACAAGGATCAGAACTCAGAGATTGCCTTTGGCCTCTCCTTCAGTCCTTCAGTAGATTTTCAAAACTCCAACTGCACAGAAACTTTCAAATGGAAAAAGGATCTATTTACAGGCCAAGCCTTTAAAAAAAATTATGAATCGGAACATAATAGTGTAACTAAGAGGTAGGTCCTGAAATCCAGCCAGGAAAAATACTAAGACAGAGAAATTTATTCCTATGAAGGAACAGTGGCCAAAAAAACCCCAGAAAAACAGAGTAATCAGGGTTTGCCTTTCCACCCATGATTCTGAGCTGCTGTTTGTACTAGGAGTTTCTAACATGCAGTTTGCATCTTCTGTGTCACTGGCAGATCACACTTTACCAGTGGTTTTGGGGACCGAGTGACCAGCCTTTTATCTGGAGATCTGAGGCATTCTTGTTCTTTTTCCTGCTGTATCTGCCTCATGTTTGATGATGAAACATGTTATTTTTCCTAACACTTACCCATTACTTCTGGATGAACTTGTCAGAGGAAAGGCCCCAAAACACTTGCACTCCTTCTATAAAATACTCAAACCATCTTCTTGTCCCAGCTAACCAAATGGGAAGCCAAGAGGCACTCAGGGCCTCCTCAAGCATGGGCTTATCTGGCCAATGTTTGTGATTATAAGTGATATATTTTTAAAAGACATATTTTAATTTTAAACTCATAAGGCTAGGAGAGCTTTTATAAAAAAACAGAATATACAATGGCAAACATACAAACTAATTTGGGACAGTTCATATTCTTGGAGCTAGCCACAAGGGTATGCAGTCCAAAGGAGAGCTTCCCCTTAGCTCTAGGTAGGAAAGCCTGTGAGATTTTGGCTGTGCTTCATTCTTTGGGTACACCATCAGCAGAAGGAATATATAATGAACTTAATAGGCTCAAACATTAACTGATAGTTTAGTACAGTGCAGGAATGCCAGGGATGCCCAGAAATGCACAGGTAGGGAAGAGGATGTCAACGTCCTCTCTCTGAATAAAGAGGGCAGACCTGAGGCCAGGGTCTTTAGCCAACATGATGATAAAAAGGAGGAAGAGAAAAAAGTGGGAAGGAGAAGGAACACGACGATTCTAAGTGGAAAATTGTCACCTCCAACATAGCACTCAACAAAGTTGAAATGCTATTTTGTGTTTAAAGAGTAAAATTGAGAAAAATGTCAAAGAGGGAAAATACATGTATCTGTGACTTGAGCAGGCTGTGAAATCGAACTCTGTTTTAACATTTCAGATAATCAACTCTTATCAAGATTATATTAAACTTCATTAAAAATTGCCTTCTAAGTTGAGAGAATAACCAAGTATTTTATAGGCTTTTTTTCTTAACTTTAGATGGCTGGATTGAGAAGACAGCAAATGAGAAATATATGTATAAAATCAGATAATCCTTGCTCTCTCAAACATACCAACCTGTGAGTGACCTTGGGTGGCTTTGTCACCAATAAAAATCACAGGTTATTTCACTGCAGGTTACGGTTGTTGCAAATATCTTAAAATACCATTTATGCTCATCGTTGCTTTGAAATTATGATAAGAGAAATCACTTATTCATCAGGCCCGCAGCAGCTTTTTGAGTAAAAGAAGATAAGCCATTAAAAGAAAACAACCGAGGTAGGGGACTGTGACTAAGGAGAACACACACAGATTGGGGTTTGACTGCTATGTGAATAGTCATTTTTTTTTAGTCACTCAATAAACTTGAACTGAGTATCTGATATCTGCCAGATAATAAACTTGGCCTTGTACTAAATTATTATTTTTGGGAGGAGTAATCAAAGACAGTAATTCCTAGATAAGAAAAAACAAAATCAAACAAAACACAAAACAGGCAGATTTCTTTTTCTATGGAGATCACCAAGTTGCTTGAGAATGAGGTACCTACCAAAGATTACCAAGACTTTCTGCAGCAAAGTATACTGACTTTGTGCTCTGGACCAGAAAGTAAATTCTAATGATCTCTTTTATAAAAGAACATTGCACCATAATGATTTTAAGGCATGGGACTTTTAGAAAACGGTAGGAGTTTCTCCCATATTCAATCTCTACTGCTATGAGTTTCTTAGTGATTTGACAATAATTCCCAGTAATTTTCCAGAAAAGTTATTACAGTCTTTTCAAAACTGCCTAGGACAGATGCCAAGACAAAGCATTCAAGCTGCAACAGGGGCCAGATTTCAACCCACTCATGCTTTCCCAATATGTACTGCCATCTATTACAAGAGGAGGTGATCTAAGAACTTATACCTAGTGGTTGGCAACTAAGCATATGAGTATGAACAGTTCCACAATTTCTGTCGTATCAGAACAGCAGCAAGCAGAAGGGAATCAAATGCTTCTCTGCAACCTGTCTCTTTGGTGGGACTTCCATCAGTACTGACACCTGCCAGGCATCCACAGAAATCTAGATTGCATTAACAACCACAGGTTGCCTTCTCTGATCTTAGAATTTTGGAGATACCCTTCCACGTTAGCTGGATCAGAGGGACAATAGTAGAGTTTGCTTCTTAACAGAGCCCTTTCTCTTATATCAATCTGGAAGTTTCTTTCTATCTCATCCTTCTTGGTGAAGGGTTCCCAACCTTTTGGGGAGCACCTGGAAGCTCTTTGATCAAATATTTCTTGAGAGTCAGTTTTTACTCTGTGGTATCTTGGTACTTACTGCTACTCTCCAGGGGCAGCATTTCCTCTCTGCCTAAACAGAAATGATTGTCTGGGTTTCTGTCAGACTGTACTATCCACTCAACAAGTAGATCCAGCCCATTTTACCATAAGAAGCTATTTTTAATATCTCCGCAAAAATGTTGGGGGCCACCACATGATCACATTTGGTGCCTCAATAGGAGGTGAGATTATAAGTAATGACAAAAAAAGTGACCTAAAAAATCCTTTTAAATGATTTTGACATTTATTAATTCTACATATATTTTTTAATAAAGCATATATTTCTGAGTCAGATTATGTATTCAGTATAATGAAGAAATAGATTCTTGAGAGAAGTGTTCCCAGAGAATCTCTGGTCCACAGATTGGAAAATGTCACATTATGTTATGAGTTCCTTGAGGAAGATGCTATGTTTTGTTCAGCCTTTTATCCCTCATGCCTAACCCAGTGTTTGGCACAAAGCACATGCTTAACATGAAATAGATATTTGGGAGATGTTTTGTTTTAGTGAACACTTTTGTTACATTCATGGGACACTTACCATGTGCCAGACACTGTTGTAAGTGCTGTACATGTATTAACTCATTCAACCATCAAACAACTCTAGGAGATAGATGATGTTTTACAGATGACAAAACTGAGACTCAGAAATCTTCAGTAATTTACTCAATGCCACATTGCAAGGAATTTTAAAAGCCAGGATACAAAGTAATTAAACATTTCCTTTAATGTTTTCAAATGTAACCGCACGGCAGATAGGGAGTCCACAGCCATGGTTATTCGGTGGGGCACTGCTGACTGATCATATTTTAGAATGCTACTTGGGCAACTCCTGAACATGCAATGAAGAATGAGGGCCCTTCATCAGACTGCATGTGGTGGTTCACACCTGTCCCAGCACTTCAGGAGGCTAAGGTGGTGGATCACTTTAGGTCAGGAGTTTAAGACCAGCCTGACCAACATGGTGAAACCCCGTCTCTACTAAAATATAAAATTAGCCAGGCATGGAGGCATGTGCCTGGAATCCCAACTACTCAGGAGGCTGAGGCACAACAATCGCTTGAACCTGTGAGGTGGAGGTTGCAGTGAGTCGAGATCACACCACTGCACTCCAGTCTGGGTGATAGAGTGAGATGCGGTCTCAAAAACTAAAAAAGAATGAGTGCCCTTCATAAGGAAGTATTAATCTCCTTGTCTCTAGGCTACTAGAAATAGTTTCACAAATACACATCACAGTTTGTATATACCACCATTTCTAATCTGATTTATTTCATACCAGGCTCTCACCTGGTTTTTAAGAGAATAAGGGATTGTGTGAATGAAGGATTAAATGAATGAATGTCTATTCCTTGATAAAGACTTTATATGACATCAATTACTTTTCTGGCTAAGAGGTTTGTGAATACAGTATGAGCTCTTCAGTGGAAAGAAAATTAGGTCAGAGCTTCATTTCTCATGGGATGGAAGAATTAAGACTCATCAGTTAAAGAGAGAAAGACACAAGAGAAGCAAGGAGAAATGTAGGAGGCGTTCTGCCTGCAAGGAGCTCACGATCAATACAGAAGGTGAAATGTGTACATCAGTGAACATAATACAAGGCAAAATGTGACCTGTGTTAAAAGTAAATGAATAAATAAAGCACAGAAAGATTTAAACCAAGATTCCTGGGATCACAGCAAGGCGCCAGATGACTTCCAGCTACTGGAAGCAGGAAATGCCAACCCCTGAACTGGCTGTATTTTGATTAAAAGAGATTAGAAGGAAGGACTTTCTACAAAAAGGAAACTATGGAGATGCAGGGGTGGGAGAATGGGGGAGAACTGGCAGTTCATTCTGGTTGATTAAACAGTGGATACACACTAGCCAACTCCTGGCTAATCTTTATTTGGATTGGATAGTACATTATTGTGTTTTTCAAAAAAGACCAAATGTTATATGTGAATGCCCTAAGGGAGGACAAGGGCTCCGTATCACTTATCATTCTCCACTGTCTGACATACCCACCCACCCACACATTCATGTTTCTTGCTGTCTTCACAGGTTTTAGGATGGGTGATCTCTGCACTAAAGCAGAGTGTCTTGGATCTTACTGGGGCTTAAGCTAGGGGGAAGAAATTACTCACTAAGAAATAAGCAGTTCTTAACCTAGAATTCAGACAGGGGAAAGTTGGGGAGATGGAGTAGAGGGAGAGGGTTCAAACTGGATGGGAAAAAATAGACCTTAATTTTCACTAAACTCTAACTAAAATTTAGTGTTTCGTTCCATTTTGAATGAGGGTAGGGAGAATCACAGTAGTATTAGCAGTACTTATTACTTCGTTGACAATAAAAATCACAGATTATTTCATTCCATGTTGCAGTTGTAGATTTCTTAAACTACAATTTATGCTCATGATACTTTGAAATTATGCTTATCAGACTTATGCTCGCTCTTGTTTTTGTTGTTTGTTTGTGTGGGGGAGGGGTTTGTGTTTTTTGTTTTTGTTTTTGGCTCTATCACCCAGGCTGGAGTGCGGTGGCATGATCTCGGTTCATTGCAACCTCCACCTCCCGGGCTAAAGCCATCCTCCCACCTCAGCCTCCCAAGTAGCTGGGACTACAGGTGTGCTCCACCATGCCCAGCTAATTTTTGTGTTTTTTTAGAGATGGGATTTCACCGTGTTGCCCAGGGTGGTTTCAAACTCCTGGGCTTGAGCAATCCACCTGCCTCCGCCTTCCAAAGTGGTGGTGAGAAAGTGTGCCCAGCCTAGATCTTGTTATTTAATGAGTTAATAAACAAGTACATATATTACTATATCACAAATTTTTAAAAAGTATTTTGATATGATTTGCATATAAATGATTTCCTTTGTACACCAATGTGTTTTATTTTAAAACATAACTCTGAAAAGAGATGCATAGTTTTCACCAGACCACCAGAAGTATCCATGACCCAAAATAGATGAAAAACCCAGCTGAAGGTAGCTTGGGATCACAAAGAGAGCTTTAAATATCTTCATTAGCATTGTGAATTTAGTCTTGCAGGCAAATGGGAGCCACTGAAGGGTTTTTTTCTTTGTTTTGGGGAAGGTGTTTGTATTAGTCAGGGTTCTCTAGAGGGACAGAACTAATGGAATAGATATATATACATATAAAGGGGAGTTTATTAACTCACATGATCACAAGGTCCCACAATAGGACATCTGCAGGCTGAGGAGAAAGGAGAGCCAGTCCAAGTTCCCAAACTGAAGAACTCAGAGTCCAGTGTTCGAGGGTAGGAAGCATCCAGCATGGGAGAAAGATGTAGGCTGAGAGGCTAGGCCAGTCTCTCTCTTTTCACACTTTTCTGCCTGCTTTTTATTCTAGCCATGCTGGCAGTTGGTTAGATTGTGCTCACTCAGATTAAGGGTGGGTCTGCCTTTCCCAGCCCACTGACTCAATTATTAACCTCCTTTGGCAACACCCTCACAGACACACCCAGGATCAATACTTTTTTTCCTTCATTCCAATCAAATTGACATTCAGTATTAACCATCACAAGCCCACCCCTTGTCAACTTGAACACATCTCCTGAAATCATATATAATCTTCAAATAAAGACAATAATAAGGTCATAATTATGCCTAACATAATGCAAATATCCTTTGTACAACTGGAAATGCACCTATCTGCTTTAGACAGAGTCACTCTCTGTTGCCCAGGCTGGAGTGCAGTGGCACAATCTCGGATCACTGCAAGCTCTGCTTCCCAGGTTCACGCCATTCTCCTGCCTCAGCCTCCCAGGTAGCTGGGACTACAGGCACCCACCACCACGCCCGGCTAATTTTTTTGTATTTTTATTACAGACCAGGTTTCACCGTGTTAGCCAGGATGGTCTCGATCTCCTGACCTCGTGATCTGCCTGCCTCGGCCTCCCAAAGTGCTGGGATTATAGGCATGAGCCACCGTGCCCGGCCCCAAATACTATTACATTAAATTAACAATACTTAAATGCTGATGTGAAGTCAATAAATCTTATGTTACATGATAAAGGAGAAAGGAAATAAAATGAAGATATTTTCTGAGTACAAGCATATGCATGAAAAAACATGTTTTTAACAAAAGAAGGGGAAAATATTCATCACAATTCCAATCCTCATTTCTGCAGCTGGTCACGTGATCATAGCTGATATTGATGACTACTTTCTACTACCCATTCTGTATCCCCTTTGTCTTCAGCAAGCACCTCAGAAGGTCATGGCTTTTTTTTTCTGGTGGAGTGACTCAAATCTTCATTCCTGAAGGATCTGGGTCATTTGTAGTCCTGCCTGGTTTGGGCTGTTGTAGTTTCCCATTGACCTTAATCACAGGGCATGGTAATACTAAGAGACACCCTAATGGACCTCTTGTAGTCCATGCATATTCTTCCTTACCTCCATTATGAAGTAGTAGACTGATTTCATCTTGATAGTCCAGATCAATTGTCCCATCCAACACTGTAACTCCCCTCTTAGCCTGTTGACTTAAAGGTAGGAGGAGCCCGAAGTGTCCAGGTGGCAATCTTAATTTCCAGTTTAATGGAATTGTTGTTGTGTCTCCTGGTGGCAGTGTTCCTCCCTCTGGAACTAAGACCTCTAGGCCAGCAGAATGTAATATCATGGGAACAGGAAGTAAAAATTTTCCTAGTGGATCACTAGAGGTGATGGTGAGTGGTGCCACTTCCACTTCCACCCCTTGATTCCTGGACCCGTGAATCCTGGCTATGGGAGAAACAGTACCATATATTGGATGCGAATTCAAAGTATACACAGCCTTCTGGAGAACTTTGCCCCAGCCCTGCAAAGTACTGTCACCCAGTTGGTATTGTAATTGTGACTTCAAAAGGCCATTCCACCGTTCTATCAATCCAGCTGCTTCAGGGTGATGGGGAACATGGTAAGACCAGTGAATTCCAGGAGCATGAGCCCACTGCTGCACTTCTTTAGCTGTAAAGTAAGTGCCTTGCCAGACGCAATGCTGTGTGGAATACCATGACGGTGGATAAGGCATTCCATGAGTCCATGGATGGTAGTCTTGGCATAAGCATTGAGTGCAGGATAGGCAAACCCATATCCAGAGTGTCTATTCCAGTGAGGACAAACCTCTGCCCTTTCCATGATGGAAAAGGTCCAATATAATCAACCTGCTACCAGGTAGCAGCACGAGGAATGGTGCCATATTGAGGGCTCAGTGTTGGTCTCTGCTGCTGGCAAATTGGGCACTCAGCAGCGGCTGTAGCCAGGTCAGCCTTGGTGAGTGGAAGTCCAAGCTGCTGAGCCCATGCATAACCTCCATCCCTACCACCATGGCCACTTTGTTCATGGGCCCATTGGGCAATGACAGGTGTGGCTGGGGAAAGAGGCTGAGTGATGTCCACAGAATGGGTCACCCTATCCGCTTGATTAAAATCCTCCTCTGCTGAGGTCATCCATTGGTGAGCACTCACATGGGATACAAATATCTTCACAGTTTTTGACCACTCAGAGAGGTCCATCTACATAACTCTTCCCCAAATTTCTTTGTCACCAATTTTCCAATCATGCTTCTTCCAAGTCCCTGTCCATCCAGACAAACCATTGGCTACAGCCCATGAATCAGTATATAATCACACATCTGGCCAATTCTTCTTCCATGCAAATCCCACAACCAGGTGCACTGCTCAAAGTTCTGCCCACTGGGAAGATTTCCCTTCACCACTGTCCTTCAGGGATGTCCTAGAAAGAGGCTGTAGTACTGCAACTGAACACTTTTGGGGGGTGCCTGCATATCATGCAGAACCATCTGTGAACCAGGCCCTAGTCTTCTATTCCTCTGCCATCTGATCATAGGGAACTCCCCATGAAGCCAGCAGTGCAGGCTGGGGGAGAGATGGCAGGGTTGCAGGAGTGAAGACCGTAGGCATTTGAGCCACTTCCTCATGTAACTTACTTGTGCCTTCAGAACGTGCTCAAGCCCAATCATGTATATACCCCTTCCATTTGACGATGGAATGCTGCCGTGCACTACCCACTTTATGGCTGGATGGGTCAGAAAGCACCCAGTTCATGATAGGCAGTTCAGGTCACATGTTGACATTCAATTTCCACCAAAGCCCAGTAACAGGCCAAGAGCTGTCTCTCAAGAAGAGAGTAGTAATCTGCAGAAGATGGCACGGCCTTGGCTCCAAAATCCTAAAGGCCTCTGCTATGATTCACCTAAGGGGGCCTGCCAAAGGCTCCAAACAGCATCCCTATCTGCCAGTGACACCTCAAGTACCATTGGATCTGCTGGGTCATAGGGCCCAAGTGGCAGAGCAGCTTGCACAGCAGCCTGGACCTGTTGCAGAGCCTTCTCCTGTTCTGGAACCCACTTAAAACTGGCAGCCTTTCACATTACTCGATAAATGGGCTAGAGTAACACACTGTGATGAAAAATGTGTTGCCTCTAAAATCCAAATAGCCTCACTGGGTGTTGTGCCTTTCTTGGTTGTAGGAGGGGCCAAATGCAGCAACTTATTCTTCACCTTAGAAGGAATATCTTGACAGGTCCCACACCACTGGACCCCTAGAAATTTTACTTAGGTAGAAGTTCCCTGAATCTTATTCAGATTTATTTCACATACTCTGGCATGCAAACATCTCACCAATAAGTCCAGTGTGTCTGCTACTTCTTGTTCACTGGATCCAATCAGTATAATGTCATCAATGTAATGAACAGTGTGATATCCTGCAGAAGCGAAAACCAATCAAGGTCTCTCCGAATAAGATTATGACACAAAGTTGGAGAGCTGATATACCCTAAGGTAGGACAGTAAAGGTATACTTGCCAGCTGAAGGCAAATTGCTTCTGGTGGGCCTTGTGGACAGGAATGGAGAAAAAGGCATTTGCCAAGTCAATGGCTGCACACCAGGTACGAGGAGATGTGTTAATTTGCTCAAGCAATGAAACCACATCTGGTACAGTAGCTGCAAGAGGAGTCACCACCTTGTTAAGCTTATGATAATCCACTGTCATTCTCCAAGATCTATCTGTCTTCTGCACAGGCCAATTGGGAGAGTTGAATAGGGATGTGGTGGGAATCACCACCCCTGCATCTTTCAAGTCCTTGATGGTGGCACTAATCTCCGTAATCCCTCCAGGGATGTGATATTGTTTTTGATTTACTATTTTTCTAGGTAGAGGCAGTGCTAATGGCTTCCATTTGGCCTTTCCCACCATAATAGCCCTCACCCTACCAGTCAGGGCGCTAACATGGGTGTTCTGCCAGCTGCTAAGTATGTCTATGCCAATTATGCATTTTGGCACTGGAGAAATGACCACAGGATGAGTCTGGGGACCCACTAGACCCACTGTAAGTCAGACCTGAGCTAAAACTCCATTAATTACCTGATTTTCATAAACCCCTACTTTAACTGGGGGACCACAATGATGTTTTGGGTCCCCTGGAGTCAATGTCAGCTCAGAGCCAGTGTCTAGTAGTCCCCAAAATGTCCGATCATATCCCTTTCCCCAGTGCACAGTTGCCCTGGTAAAAGGCAGGAGGTCTCCTTGGGGAGGGATGGGAGAAAGATTCACTGCATAAATTGTTGGTAGTGTAGTGGGGTCCTTTCTCAAGGGGACCCAGTCTCCCCTTTATTCAAGGGGTTCTGGGTCTGTAAACTGGCTCAAGTCTGGAAATTGATTGAGAGGCCGTGATTCTTTGTTTGTATAATTCAAATTAGTCTTTTGTCCATTCGACCTAGAAGGTTTCTACTTGTATAATTTAATTGGGAATGCAGTAGGCTTCCTATTGATATCACTTTTGGGAACACTGTGATTAATTAGCCAATGCCAGAGCTCTACACAAGTCAGACTATTCTGATCACCGCTTTGCCTCTGCTGTCCATTATGGTAGCTACTCCCACCTTGCCTTTGACAGTTGAGTGCTGCCACTTGGCCCCTGCCACCTTGGGATCCAATTATTCCCACTGTATTTAAATTTTGTAGTTGAGTGACTGCAGTTCCCACTGTTAGATCTGACACACAGAGAAGAGCAATTACAGGGCTCTTCAAAGATTCAGGTGATGCCCTCATAAATCAATTTCACAAGGCATTGGTCAAGGGTATATCTTCTGGACCCCCCACCCCTACCCCAAGCTGGGATGAGTAGGTCTAAATTGACTAATCCACTCCATCACCCCAATCTCCCTAAGCCTTTGGATCCCTTCCTCTATATTAAACCAAGGGAGATCAGGCATTTCCAGCTCACTCACAGTGGGCCATCTTTTAATCCATATTTCAGCTAACCAAACAATTAGGACCTTTTTTAACTCCCCAAGCTGCAAAATTAAATGCAGAGTCCCTACTTATTGGGCCCAAATCAATAAATTCAGTCTGATCCAACTCTGTGTTCCTTTTGCAATTATCCCACACCCTTAATATACATTCCCATGCCTGTTATCCAGATTTCTGTTATATAAGTTACAAAACTCAAGCAGTTCTTTTTGAGTGTAGTGTACCTCCTCATGGGTCACACTCTCAACCTCACCAATAGGGGCCTGCCAGGACTTTAGTTATAAGTCTAGAAGCAAATGGGGTGTTAGGGGTGGCTCCTGAGGAGAATCAACATTATCTTGCCTGCCAACTGCCTCAGGAGAGGCCATCACTGTACACTCAGGCAGCGCAGGATTTATCTTCTCAGACAATGGAAAGGCTGACGGCAGCATGGGTCAGGGAGAGGATGTTGCCACTACTGGGGATGGGGAAGCTGTTCTTTCTGAAAAAAGAGGTTCATCAATGTGTACTAACTCAGTGTCCAGCTTCATCAGGGTCCTCCCACATCCCCATTCCAAGTTGCAGGGTCCCATTCTTTTCCAATCAATGCCCTCATTTTAACAGTAGACACCTGGTGAGGCTGTGCATGCACCTTTTGTTGCAGGTCAGCCACTCGCATGATAAGAGCTTGTGTCTGTTTTTCCACAATTTCAACTCTTTCTCTACAGCTGATAAGACTCTCACTCAGGGCAATCTTAGCAGATCTGAGGCTCAGTATCTGCTTCTGAAGCCAGGAGATAGAATCCCTAAGTTCATCATTTTCTTTCATCACTTTGTCTACAGAATTTAGGAGCAACCAACCAGCTTCACTATGTTCCTTGGTTCTCCACATATGCGCAAAGGCATTATGTATAGAGTCACTAAACTCCTCGCCTCTCATGTGCAATGAATCAGAAGTGTCAAATGCATTTATTTTGCATAACTCTCTAAACAGTTCATGCCAAGGATTATCCGTGTTCTCCATACTATTAGAAGTAGAGTCCTTAGCATTTTGGGGTCTAATCATATTAAGCAGCCAACTCCAGAAACCCCAAAACCAACAAAAGAACTGCATCTTTAATATTCTCTTCCTCTAGAACCACTCCTGGTACCAAAATCTGTATTAGTCAGGGTTCTCTAGAGAGAGAGAAATAATAGCATATATATAAATGTCATATATATGTAATATATATAGCACATATATATTACTTAATAAACTTAAATATATATAAACTTAAATATATATGTAAATATATAAATATATATAAACTTAAATATATATGTGTGTGTATGTGTGTGTATATATATAGGGGAGTTTATTAACTCACACAATCACAAGGTCTCACAATAGGCCATCTGCAGGCTAAGGAGCAAGGAGAGCCAGTTCAAGTTCCAAAACTGAAGAACTTAGAGTCTGAAGTTTGAGGGCAGGAAACATCCAGCACTGGAGAAAGATGTAGGTTTGGAGCCTAGGCCAGTCTCTCTCTTTACACATTTTTCTACCTGCTTTTTATTCTAGCCACGCTGGCAGCTGATTAGATGGTGCTCATCCAGAGGGGTGGGTTTGCCTTTCCCAGCCCACTGACTCAAATGTTAATCTCCTTTGGTGACACTCTCACAGACACATCCAAGATCAATACTTTGTATCCTTCAATCCAATCAAGTTGAAACAGTATTAATCATCACAGTGTTTAAATATTAATAATTACTTTTTAGTAAACTGGAGCAAACTATTTTCTAATCAGTTTTATTGAGATAAATTACATATAAAAGTACATACCCATTTGAAGTGTAAAGCTCAATGAGCTTTGACAAATGTATATATACATGTAACCACCATTACAATCAAGATATGATTTGAGTAGCAGAAAGTAAAATTTGGAATTTGTACCTCCTGCTGTCTCTCCTATCCTCAATGTATACCCACTTCCAGTTTGCAAGTGCACTGGTCCTTCACTGAGGGACCCAGACCCCGAGTTCCAGCAAGGTCGAATAGTCCACAAACCAGTCCAGGTGTCAACAGTGATGGCATATTGAAATTCAAGGACTTAGACATAGATATGATACATACACAAACAGTCTAAGGTCAGTCTTCAAATATCTACCTAGGTAATCATGTAGGTAACCATAATCAAATTGCAACTTTTTACTGGCTGAGGGAGGGCTGGAATTTGATCATCCATTCTTATTGACTGATAGCATATGATGCTGCTAACCATATCAACACATGAATTGATAATATCTATTTCATATTGCCACAACTTAAGCTATATCTTGTTGAAACTCCTGAAAACTACAGACATTCTTAAAAAAAAAAAAAAAAGGCTCCTATTACCCTCAGGGACTCTGGGAAATCAGCCCAATAGGATGATTTGCCAGGTCCTATAAATATTTACCAAGATGGCATTAGATAAAAGAAAGTTACAAAATAATTTGCATTGGGAGTTGTTACTTCAGCTGCATAAGCCTAAGACTCTACCACCCTAAAATAAAGTAGCCTTTTTCTTTTTAAAGACAGACTACAAAAAATGTAACTCACTTTATAATAGTTTTCCTAATATTCTCAAGGTATCAAAACCCTCCAAATATATTTTTAGGGTGTAAAATAAAATGGAAAAGAGGTACTATTCTTGGAGGCTATATATGGGGTCTTCCCTGTCTTCTGTCATGTACTTTCTTGTATTATTGTTAGTCAAGCAAATTACACCATTATATTACTTTTCGAATATAAGTTTTCTGCAAAAATATTTGTAAGCCTGTCATTGCATAATAATGATGATATTGGGGAGGAATAATATAATGATACACATGACTTTTTTCCAATATAGATGGTGAGTCTTCTAGCATTTACTTTAATATCTCTCATGTATTGAATGACAGTTGTACTTCAAGTTGTATAAGACACTTTATTTACATATATAATCTTATTAAGTCCTCCCAACAATCCTAAAACTGTGTTAATATCTATTTTTTTTACAAATGAGGAAACTGAGATGCACAGAAAGATAAGTGGCAGATCTGACTTCTGTCTTCCAAGAGTATGTTCCTTCCACTTCCTTGCCTCATTCAGGGATGTATTACTAGTTATCTTAATTTTTATAGTTCGTTAACTGTGCTTCAGCGTCTCATTTTGAAATATCTGGAGTGAAAGGTATGAGCTCTCTATTTTGCAAGGCAGAATCCCATCTTTTGTATTAGTAAGGTGTAGATCTTTAAGGAGGGGATGGACACCACCTCCCAGCTCCCCTGGACTTCTTGGCACCATTCTTCCCTCCAGTACATTTGCTCTCAGCTCCTTTCCTCCTTTACCTTCCAGTTACTACAGAGCCATACAAATCACCTATGACTATACCTGATCATCTTTTCTTTCCTTTTCAGTCTTATTAAGCAAATAGGTAGTTTTCACAAGAGCAAATCTGGAAAAATTTAACAATAATCGCAGAGACTGGCTGTAGTCTGCCACAGCCCTGGGTAATCAGCACATTTAACAATCACTCTCATGAGATATCACTGAAAGGAAACCCGAGCTTTGTCTCCCACTCTCCCTTTAAAATTTACTTCCTCTGAATGAAATCCTCCATGTTGCATGACTTTTCTGCTCACTCTTCTGAAATAGTCCTAGGGCACTTTATGTCACAAAACAGTCTCCATCCAGTAATGAGAATGCCCACTCCAATGTAACATACAAAACTCTTTCTTTGATTGTTAATTTTTTTTTTTTCATCTCCTAGCAAGGCCAGGATTTAGGGGAGAGTGGTGGCTTTCTCTCTTTCTCTCTCTCTCTCCCCGCCCCTTTCTCTCAGTGTCTCCTCTCAAACCTGCTAAGCACAAACCTCAGGCCCCTAGGGTTGGAGGGCAGAAAGGAAAGGAGTACAGAAAGTTCTTTCTTCACTGGTGTCATTCTAAAAAGTTTTGCACGATCAGGCATGGAAGATGTTTAAAACTGGTTCCCCCACAGGGACTACTGTGGGTTCTTTGGCAGTTCCCTTGATAGGTTCCTCCTACTGCAACTCTGTTTGAGAAACCAGTTCTCTAACAGTTGAACAGTTTGCATTTTGATCTGCCTCACTAACTCCTTTTAATAGTTATCCTATCTCAGAGCCTCAGTCAAGATTTCCCATTTAACATTTGCCACCATGTTCATCCTGTATATTATGGATCGCCGTTTGTTTGGTGGCTATGAGTGCAGACAATATTCCTTTTCAGCCAGTAAAACTATAAATGGAAAACATTAGCTGGCCTTTGTTACAGTACTGAAAACTTTTCTCATAATTAGTTTTCATTCAAAATTTAATTTTAACTTCAACTTGAAAATGAGGTATACTACCTCTTCTACAGGTAGTAATTCTTTTTTCAATTTGTTGTACATTTTGGTGGTTTTCAATAAATAGGCATTCTTAGCTCTGGTCATCCCATGCCTAAAATTGAAATCAATATTCTCCCCCAGCTGATGAAAATTTTCATCACGATTTACGTTTTTCTGTGTAAAAATGAAAAAGAGAGCGTGAATTAACATTCCTAATTCCCAGAAGGTATGCATTCTAACTGAAGATTACCCTGTACCATTTTTAGTCCATATCATTCATGTTGTTGATGGACACAATACAGATTCACTGTAGTCATGCGTTTTTAAATAACAGTAGCATGTTAATTGTTAAACATCCTAGTCCTTTTTTCTGTCTCTCATTCCACCCTCAGGATCATATCAGACATTCTTATGGCAACTACACCAGCATGGCAAAGACTAGAGTGAGGGAGTAAGGTATCCAGGACACAAAATTTAAGGAGGCACTCACTCTCATGGTCATACAAGCTAAGTGCCCCTTCAATTTTGCACCCTTGGTGCCTCACTCATCTCACATTAGTCCTATGCCTGGGTATCAGACCTGCATTGCTTCACATTCATCCAATAATATTCTTGAGTACCTTCTGTGGACCAAACAG
Organism: Homo sapiens; assembly: GCF_000001405.40. Classification (NCBI taxonomy): domain Eukaryota; kingdom Metazoa; phylum Chordata; class Mammalia; order Primates; family Hominidae; genus Homo; species Homo sapiens. Next base: position 115,734,793 of record NC_000005.10, read on the forward strand.
TGTTCTTGGTGCTGGATGTCCAGAAGAGGAGCAATCAGTTACAAATTCCTGCTCTCAGTATTGGATAACAATTAAGTGTTGTGCTATGGAGAAAGAGAAAGCAAAGAAGGAGAAAAAGGATGTGCCAGGGTGGGGTCGGGGTTGTCAACCAAAACAGTGTTCAGGGGAAATCCTCACTGAGAAGTCAACATTTGGGCAAAGAACTGAAGGAGGTGAAATGTTTTTGAAAACTTGACGAAGTGTTCACAAAATGTTAATGAATTTGCTACCAGTAATTTGTAATAAATAAATTTCATGTAACTATCTGACTTCTCTTGACAAATCCGAAGACCTGGCAAGACAGAGCCACATTTCTGTATGACAACAACTAGATGGAGCTGAGGGAGGCTCTCCACTTTAAACCAAGCCAGGGCCTTTATATTGGGCAAGGGTTCTCCAGTTCCCAAAGTCTCCCTCTCCCTGCCTCACTCAATTTCATCACTTGTTTATTCCCTGTAGACCTTTGAGCTTGCACACTCTGGCTAGAATCCTTCAGAGAAGAGAGACCTCAAATGCTGCCACTCTCCCTTCAAGCAGCCACTCATGGTCATGGTGCTATTGCAAAGAGATGGTCTCCTTACCACACCACAGTGAAGTCACTCTACTACAAGGCAAGAAAGGCCTTGATTCCAGACTCCAGAGATGAGTGATCTTTATTTAGCTGCTTGAAGCTGAGGGGAGACAGATACTATTGAGCTGTTTTCTTGCACAGTGATTGAGATTACCCGAACATTGTAAAAACCCTGCTATCCTAGTCCACACATGTTCTATCTTTCAACCAGAGCAGCAAAAGAAAAATATCAATTCTGAGATGCTCAAGGCATAATTTTCTGTCTCAGCAAAATTTCAAGACAACAAGCTGTCACGGGCATTGGAACCCCACCGACCTGCTGGCACATACGGAGGACAGGAATTTTCCACTTGAATGAACTGCCCGTACTGTTCACCGAAACTCCCCTGAGGAAGAGATCTGTGGTGGGAGGGAGTGCTGGCAAAGAGACTGCTGTGAAGTGTAGACAGAAGCACCATTCCCTACAAGGCTGAGAGAGTCAAAGGCAGGTTGCCATAGCTACTATTGTTTAGCCTTTCCATGGCATATTTTTTTCTGCAACTATTTGCCTAAATTATAGCAATATTTTAAACTGAAGCCAAGTAGGTGAGAATGAGTTAAGATTTCTCAACTTCAACTTATGTAAAAAATCTCAACTGTGAAATTGCATCAAACCAGTTGTGTTGTAAAATGAAAATAGGTGGGAGCACTGTGACTTCCAAGAAGACATGGGGTGAGTGTGTGTTTGACAAACAGTGTGAGATTCTGATATTTCAATCAACTCCCTACATTTGCACTGGATTAAAGAAATTTCTCAAACCCCGTCTACTCTACAGAGTACTTTATGTCTCAGCTTTATTGCACAATCAGTTATAAGAAAAATAAAGGGAAAAAGAAGTATGTTTTCAAGCTTAACTCCAAGTGAGTAATGGAAAATTGAACTTTCATGTTAGTAAAAATGAAAACCATGGTTTAAAAGTTACAATAATTTTAAAAATGACTTTTCAAATAGCAATTGGGTCATTCATTTGACTTAATACTAAATTTACATCAATTGAAGGGAATTTTGTTTTACGGTAATCCTAAGAAAATTTTGAAACAAGAGACATTTCTCTTTGGTGTACAAGATTTCTCTTTTCTGTACTTTTCCTTCACCTCTAGCAGGTTCTCCTATATACTGCCAACACACAGTTTCCAGTAATTATGCTCTTACCCACACATATTTAAATATGGGTTGATGGGTAGACATAAGAACGTTATGTTCTTTAAAAAGCTCTGGTTAAAAGATTGTTGCTGCTTTTAAGAACACAAAGAAAAAAGTGTGAAGGGAAGAATGGCTGTATCGCCTTCACAAATTCTTATGATGTTTCTCCTTTTAAGCAAAGTTTTCAAAGGATGCCAATCATTTGTTAATGAAAGCTCTTTGTGGTTTTCTTTTGCAAATCAAACATTAAGCAGCAGCATCTGGCCTGCAGATTGTTCTAAAATTTTGGTACCTTTTTGTCACACCCATGGCAACAGTAGAGATGCTTTGCAATTCTGTATTCTTGTGATATCCTGAATACACAGAAGCTCTAATTATGTAGTAGACCTGACCTTACAAAAGGAAAAACTGAATAAATTGTACTTTTATTTTCCATAAAACAACTCTTCAGAGTTCTTTTTACCTTGCACCCCTTTCATTCTTTTTTGTTTACCTGTAAAACAAGTTTGCAAATGACTATTTGCCCACACACATAGCATGAATGCTAAATTAATATTATTTGCAGGAAAACTTCATTTTCGTATGGACTTCCATGCTAAAGGAGCCACAGGTGAGAGAGAGAGATTATCTAAAAATATGACTTAAGATTCAATAAAGCCATTTAACATGAACATTTTTTAAAGGCTTGAAGAAATTATTTTGGGTAAAGTCTCTTTCCAGTGCCCCAGAAACTATGACCACAGGCAATGGATTATGCTGCATTTGCTGAGGCTGACCCCGTTCACCTGCTTTCCTTCCATGAATTATTATTGAGGTATAGCAATGGTTTTGGGTGGTCCAAAAATAGGACACTAGGCCAGCCCCCGTCCTCAAGGTTATGTAGTAAGAAAACAACCATCTTTCCTCCACTTTCTGTGACCATCCTCCTCTGCCTCAGAATTCCTCTGACTTCATTTTCATTCCCTGCATCCTCCTTCCTTCTGGCAGAGGCAGAAGCTTCTCTTTTCCTGGTCTGAATAATCCTTATCCCCACATCCCCCTCCTGCCTTGACTCCTAATTCCATCCACTTCCTTTCTTCATCAACTTTCTTTTCTCCTTTTGAATGTCTTTCTCTCCTCCTGTCCCTTTCTTTCTGACTAAAAGCCTATGCGCATCATCCCTATTCTGAAAAACCCTTCTTTACAATGTATTGTCACCTCAAGTTACTACTCCAGCAACTTTCTTTCCCTACCAATCACCCTGTTAACAGAAAATCCTTAGCCAAATTAAATTAACAGAGTTTAATTAGACAAAGAACAATTCATGAATCAGGAAGCCTCTTGAACCAGAATAGGCTCAGAGAGATCCCAGCATAGCCACATGGTAGAAAAAGATTTATGGACAGAAAATGGAAAGTGACTTATGGAAAGTGACTTACAGAAAAGAGAAGTGAGGTACAGAAATAGCCAGATTGGTTACAGCTCAGCATTTGCCTTATCTGAACATAGTTTAAACAGTTGGCCCCCTTTTATTGGCCAAAACTGGGTGATTGGCACAAAAGTAGGTTATAGCCTATTTACATCTCCGTTTAAGTTATAGTTCACTATGTACAGAGAAACCTTTAGGCTGAACTTAAAATATGTGAGGAGGTAGTTTTAGACTAAACCTGATTTAAAAATTTTCCCCTTTTGGTCATCGTCTCTCAATTTTGGGAGATTGACCAAAACTTTAGTCATTGATGTCACTATCACCATTGTAAATGTGAGTATTTGGTCTCGAAATCCCCTAGGAAATAGCAGAACAGTGGGATTTGTAAGGTGGGAACAAGAACTTCAGGTTATATTTTTGTAAGGGTTAGAGTAGAGGGTACTTTCTTATGCTGAAATGTCCTGTTTACAGGAGAAAAACAAGACCTGGTCTCCTCTGGAATCTATTTCTTTAAAGCCTTAGTTTGATTATATCACATTTAGCATGAGTGTCTATTTTGGTTTGGTCTGATCTGTTGGGGCCTATTGCATGAGCTCAATCCAAAACAATGGCCTCCCATAATTTTGTTTAAAAAATTCTTCCCTTCTGGTCAAGTTCTCATTTAGTTGAGAGTATGACCAAAACTTAGGGCCTTAGTGCCACTCTTACTGTCATTTTGGGTTTTCAGTGTCAGCATATCATTCATAGGTTCCAGTGCCCTCATGGTCACACATTTCTTTCAGCTCGTCATTCCAGTTGAAAAGAGACAATTTGACATTCTAGAGATGGCTGCGTGCAAACATTTAAGGCTTTTAAGAGAATACAACACACCAGGGAGACTACTATGACTATCAGCAGAATAATACCAAGGGTTTGGAGTATGCTCTTTAGCTGGGATACCCATTAACCAAAGCAACTAAAATTAAACAGATCAAAGAATGAGCTGGGTAAACAGTCTATTTACTTTAACCAAGCAGTCTGTTCATTAATCCTCTATGACTGAATCCCCATAGTATACAATTTATTTCTCCATGGGCAACAAGACATGCCAGCAACTGCACGGCTACTTCTCCATTTAGCCAGTAAGTAATCTAGAGCAATTTTAATATTTAGCATAACTTTCACAACAGAATTTAAAGTCTGTTGTGTAACCACAGCCTTTACTATAGAATCTGCTAGAGATGCTATCATGAGAGATTAATTTTTAATCATTACCTAATTTACTCTAAATCATGAAAAAGAAGACCTAAAAATGACGCTCATCCAAAAGAATGAAGACGTCCTGGCAATTTTCTCTCTCTCTCTCTCTTTTTTTTTTTCTTGACAGGGTCTTGCTCGGTCACACAGGCTGGAGTGCAGTGGCACAATCTCGGCTCATTGCCACCTCTGTCTCCCAGGCTCAAGCAATCCTCCCAGCTCAGCCTCCTGAGTAGCTGGGACTACAGATGCATGCCACCGTGCCCGGCTAATTTTTGGTTAGAGACTGGATTTCACCATGTTGCCCAGGCTAGTCTAAAACTCCTGAGCTCAAGCAATCTGCTCACTTCAGCCTCCCAAAGTGCTGGGATTACAGGTGTGAGACACCACACCTGGCCTGACAATGTTCTCTTTAACCCATGATGTAGTTTAAGAGGAGCGGACCAAAGTTTCATTTCTGACTGATTATTAGGCAACAAATATGCCGTTAAAATTTCTTACCTACATTGTTCCTTCATCTTGCATCTATCGCAACATGAGCTTGTCCGTGTATAAGGCTGGCTGCAAAATCTTTCATAAATAGGAGTATACCCCATGAATACACACAACAGACCCCCTTTTCATTTCCATTGTTCACAGAGGCATAAGCACACATTGAAAGATACGAGTCTCATGATAGCAGAGAACTCTCAATCTGTGATTTTGGAAGAAAGCTGTCCACATCACGGATGCAATGCTTCTGGGAAGAAACTTCTCTGATTAGCTTTACTTTAAGGTTTCTAATGGGTGTACAGTTCCAAGAGTGTGGAGGGCCCTTCTGAGTTGTGAGATTATGAACCTTATGGTATCTCTATTTTTAGTTTCTTGAGGAACCTCCAAGTTGTTCTCCATAGAAGTTGAACTAATTTACATTCCCACCAGCAGTATACGAGGGTTCCCTTTTCTCCACACCCTCGTCAGCATTTGTTATTGTCTGTCTTTGGATATAAGCCATTTTAACTGGGGTGAGATATCTCATTATAGTTTTGATTTGCATTTCTCTGATGATCAATGATGTTGAGTAACTTTTCATATAACTGTTTACAATTTGTATGTCTTCTTTTGAGAAATGTGTATTCAAATATTTTGCCCATTTTTTGATCAGATTATTGGATTTTTTAGCTATAGATTTGTTTGAACTGCTGGTATATTCTGCTTATTAATCTCTTGTCAGATTGGTAGTTTGCAAATATTTTCTCCCATTCTGTGTATTTTCTCTTCACTTTGTTTATTGTATCATTTGCCGTGCAAAAGCTTTTTAACTTGATGTGATCCCATTTGTCCATTTTTGCTTTGGTTGTCTGTGCTTGTGGGGTATTGTTCAACAAATCTTTGCCCAGACCAATGTCCTGGAACATATCCCCAGTGTTTTCTTGTAGTAGTTTCATAGTTTGAAGTCCTAGATTTAGGTCTTTAATCCATTTTTATTTGATTTGATTTTAGTATATGACAAGAGATAGGGTCTAGTTTCATTCTTCTTCATATGGATATCCAGTTTTCCAGCACCATTTATTGAAGAGACTGTCTTTTCCCCAGCATATGTTCTTGGCAACTTTCTCAAAAATGAGTTCACTGTAGGTGTGTGGATTTGTTTCTGGGTCCTCTATTCTCTTAACTTTGAGCTATGTGTCTATTTTTATACCAGTACCATGCTGTTTTGGTTACTATATCTCTGTAGTATAATTTGAAGCGAGGTAATGTGATTCTTCTAGTTTTGTTCTTTTTGCTAAGAATAGCTTTAGTTATTCTAGGTCCACAAAAGTAGTTCCATATAAGTTTTAGGATTGTTCTTTCTATTTCTGTAAAGAATGTCATTGGCATTTTGATAGAGATTGCACTGAATCTGTAGATTGCTTTGGGTAGCATGGACATTGTAACAATATTGATTCTTCCAATCCATGATGATGAAATATCTTTCCATTTTTTGGTGTTCCCTTCAATTTCTTTCATGAGTGTTTTATTGTTTTCATTATAGAGATCCTTCACTTCTTTGGTTAACTTAATTCCTAGATATTTGCTTTTATCTGTGGCTATTGTTGATAGAATTACTTTTTAGTTTTTATTTTTTACATTGTTCACTCTTGGCATACAGAAATGCTCTGATTTTTGTGTGTTGATTTTGTATCCTGCAACTTTACTGAATTTGTTTATCAGTTCTAGTAGCTTTCTTGTGAAATCTTTAGGTTTAGCTTTTTTAAATACAAGATTATATCATCTGCAAAAAAGGACAATTTGGCTTCTTCCTTTTCAATTCACATGCCCTTTTTTCAATCTTCTCTGATTACTCTAACTAGGGCTTCCAGTACTATGATGAATAACAGTGGTGACAGTGGGCATCTGTGTTATGTTCCCAATCATAGAGGAAAGGCTTTCAGTTTTTCCCCATACAGTATGATACTATTTAATATCTGTGGGTCTGTCATATATGGCTTTTATTATGTTCCTTCTATCCCAATTTTTTGAGGGTTTTATTATGAAGGAGTGTTGAATTTTATCAAATGCTTTTTCAGCATCAATTGAAAAGATCAATTGATCATTTTTATCCTTCATTCTTTTGATATGATGTATTATGTGGATTTATTTTTTTATGTTGAATCATCCTTGCATGCCTAGGATAAATCCTACTTGGTCATGATGAATGATCTTTCTAATGTATTGTTGGATTTGGTTTAGTAGTATTCTGTTGAGGATTTTTGGCATCAATATTCATCAAAGCTATTAGTCTGTAGTTTTTTGTTTTATTTTGTTTCAATGTGTTTTTGGTTTTGGTATCAGGGTAATACTGGTCTCATAGAATGAGTTTGGAAGTATTACCTCTCCTCTATTTCTTGGAATAGTTTGAGTAGGATTGGTAACAGTTCTTATTTAAATGTTTGGTAGAATTCAGCGGTGAAGTCATCGGGTTGTGAGCTTTAATTTGCAGGGAGACTTTTTATTATGGCTTCAATCTCATTTCTTGTTATTGGTATGTTCAGGTTTTGGATTTCTTCCTGTTTTAATCTCAGTATGTTGTATGTATCTAGGAATTTGTCCATTTCTTTTAGATTTTCCAATTTATTGGCATATAGTTGCTCATAGTAGCCACTAGTAATCCTTTGACTTGCTGCAGTATCACTTGTAATGTCTCCTTTTTCATTCCTGATTTTATTTAATTGGATCATCTCTCTCTCTCTCTTTTTTTGTCTGGTGAAAGGTTTGTCAATTTTTTTAACTTTTCAAATAACAAACTTTTGTTTCATTGATGTTTTGTATTGTTTTCTTCATTTCAATTTCCTTTATTTCTGCTCTGATTTTCATTATTTCTTTTCTTCCAGTAACTTGGGGTTTAGTTTGCTCTTGCTTTTCTAGTTCTTTAAGATATTTATTTTAGATTGTTTATTTGACATTATGGCACTTATAGCTATAAAATTCCCTCAGAATTGCTTTTGCTGTATCCCATAGGTTTTGGTATGTGTGTTTCCATTGCTTGTTTCAAGAAATTTTTCAATTTCCTTCTTGATTCTTTCATTGACCCACTGGTCATTCAGGAGCACATTGTTAAATTTCTATGTATTTGTATAGGTTCCAAAATTCCTCTTGTTATTGATTTCTAATTTTGCTCCATTGTGGTCAGAGAAAATGCCTGATATTATTTCAATTTTTTTGAATGTTTTATTTTGTGACCTAATATATGGTCTATCCTTGAGAATTATCCATGTGCTGAGGAAAAGAATGTGTATTCTGCAGCCATTGGAGGAATGTTCTGTCAATATCTATTAGATCCATTTGGTCTATAGTGAAGATTAAGTCTGATGTTTCTTTGCTGATTTTCTCTCTGGAAGATCTGTCCAATGCTGAATGAGGGGTGTTGAAGTCCTCAGCTATTATTGTATTGGAGCCTATCTCTCTCTGTAGCTCTAATAATATTTGCTTTATATATCTGTGTGCTCCTGTGTTAGGCACATACATATATTTAAAATTGCTATATCCTCTTGCTGAATTGACCCCTTTATTATTATACAGTGAACTTCTTTGTTTCTTTTAATAGTTTTCTGTCTTCAAATCTATTTTGTCTCACATAAGTGTAGTGACACCTGCTCCTTTTTGATTCACACTGGCATAGATTTTTTCCATCCTTTTATATTCAGTCTATGTGTGTCTTTACAGATGAAGTGTGTTTCTTGTAGGCAACAGATCACTGGGTCTTGTTTTTTTCATCCACTCAATGAGTCTATGTATTTTGATTGGAGAGTTTAGTCTTTTTACATTCAATGTTATAATTGATAAGGACTTACTCCTGCCATTTTGTTATCTGTTTTCTGGTTGTTTTGTGGTCTCCTCTTCCTTCTTTCTTTCCTTCCTATATTCTTCTAGTGAAGGTAATTTTCTCTGGTGATATGATTTAGTTTCTTGCTTTTTATTTTTTGTGTACCCATTGTATGTTTTTTGTTTGTTTGAGGTTATCATGAGGTCTGCAAATACTATCTTATAACTCATCATTTTAACCTGATAAAAACTTAACACTATTTGCATAAATAAACAAGCAAAAAGAAAACTAATAAAAACTCTAACCTTAACTTCATCCCCTGACTTTTTAACTTTTTGTTTTTTTCTATTTATTTATAAATTTTTGTTCAGACCATGTCTTTAAAAGTTGTGGTAGTTATTATTTTTATTGGTTCATTGTTCAGTCTTTCTACTTAGGATAAGAGTAGTTTACACACCACAGTTACAGTGTTACAATACTCTGTGTTTTTCTATGTACTTACCAGTAAGTTTTGTATCTTCAGGTGATTATTTACTGCTCATTAATGTCCTTTTCTTTCTGATTGAAGTACTTCCTTTAGCATTTCTTGTAGGACAGGTCTGGTATTGATGAAATCCCTCAGCTTTCGCTTATCTGGGAAAGTCTTTATTTCTCCTTCATGTTTGAAGAATATTTTCACCAGTTATACTATTCTAGGGTAAAAGTTTTTTTTTTTCCTTCAACGCTTTAAATATGTAATGCCACCTCTCTCCTGGCCTGTAAGGTTTCCACTGGAAAGTCTGTTGCCAGATGTATTGGAGCTCCATTGTATGTTATTTGTTTCTTTACTCTTGCTGCCTTTAGGATCCTTTCCTTGTCCTTGACCATTGGGAGCTGGATTATTAAATGCCTTGAATTTATCTTCTTTGGGTGAAAACTTCTTGGTGTTCTACAACCTTCTTGTATTTGGATATTGATATCTTTTTCTGTGTTTGAAAAGTTCTTGTTATTATCCCTTTGCATTAAACTTCCTATCCCGATCTCTTTCTCTACCACTTCTTTAAGACCAATAACTCTTAAATTTGCCCTTTTAAGATTATTTTCTATAATATATTCTGTAGGCATGCTTCATTGTTTTTTATTCTTTTTTGTATTGTCTCCTCTGACTGACTATTTTCAAATAACCTGTCTTCAAGTTCACTAATTCTTTCTTCTGTTTATTTCTGCTATTAAAGGTCTCTAATGCATTCTTAAATATGCCAATTGCATTTTTCAGCTTCAGAATTTCTGCTTGATTCTTTTTAATTATTTAAATCTCTTTGTTAAATTTATCTGATAGAATTCTGAATTTATTCTCTGTCTTATTTTTAATTTCTCTGAGTTTCCTCTAAACAGCTATTTAGAATTCCTGTCTGAAAGGTCACATGTCTCTCTTTCTCCAGGATTGGTCCCTGATGAGTTATGCAGTCCCTTTGGTGTGGTCATGTTTTCTTTGGTAGTGTTGATGCTAGTAGATGTTCTTTAGTGTCTGGGCATTGAAGTTTATTGGAGTCTTCACCATCTTGGTTTATTTATAGAAGTTCTTCTTGGGAAGGCTTTCTAGATATTTGAAAGGACTTGGGTGTTGTGATCTAGGCTCTACCTGCTTTAGGGAGTACTGCAAATCCAGTAACACTGTGGTTCTTGCAGACTTGTGGAGGTACCACCTTGATGGTCTTGGACCATCCAGAATTCTCTGGATTACCAGGCAGAGACTCTTGTTCTCGTCCCTTACTTTCTCCCAAACATACAGGGCTTCTCTCTGTTCTGAGCTATCTAAAGCTTGGGGTGGAATAACACAAGGACCCCTGTGGCCACCATCACTATGACTGCACTGGCTCAGAACTGAAGGCAGCACAGTGCTGGATCTACCGTAACCACTCCCTGGCTACTCTCTATGTTCACTGATGGCCCCCAGGCTCTACAATTAACAGATGTCAAGGCCAGCCAGGCCTGTGTCCTTCCCTTCAGGGCAGTAAACTATCCCATGCCCCAGGTGGGTCCAGAGGTGCCATCCAGGAGTTAGGGACTACAGTCAAAAACCTTAGAAATCTACCTGGTGCTCTATTATATTGTGGCTGTTCTGGTGCTCAAACCACACAGTGCAGTTCTTCCCACTCTTCCGTGTTTTTTCCAAAAGCAGGAGACTCACCCCATAGCTACCACCACCCCAGGCCTTGAGGAGTACTGTAAGACTACTATTGATGTTCCCTTAAGGTCCAAGTTCTCTTAAGTCAATTTGTCATGAATGCTGCCTGGCCTGGGACTCACCTTTCAGGGAAGTGGGCTCCCCTCTGACCCTGGGCAGGTTCTAAAATGGTAAGACTCAAGTCGAGCTCTACCCCTCTGTGGCCATGCTGTGATACCTAAGGTATCAGACAAAGACCCCTTTACTTTTCCCTCTGCTTTTTTCAAGCAGAGGGAGTTTTCTCCCATAGCCACCACAGCTGGTATTGTGCTGAGTCTCATCTGAAGCCAGCAACTCTCAGAGGCTCACCCAAGGAACTCTATGTAGTACCTGGGTATCACTGCTGGTTATTCAGAGCCCAGGAGTTCTTCAATTAGCAGGTGATTAATGCTGCAGGACTGGGTCCTTTCCTTCAAGGCAGTGGGTTCCCTTCTGGCTCAGGGTGTGTCTAGAAATGTCATCTGGGAGCTAGGGCCTGGAACAAGGACCTGACAACTCTGATTGGTACTCTATCCTGCTGTGGCTGGGCTGATATTTAAGATGCAAGACAAGGTCCTCCCCACTCTTCCCTCTCCTATCCTCAAGCATAAGGAAGGAGTCTTTTTTGGAGCCATGAGCTGTGCAGCCTGGGGTTAGGGAATGGGTGATGCCAGCACTTCCTTGCCTGTCCCAGCTGATGTCTCAGTATGCCATGTGCCCTCCCCGGTACATGATCTCTTAGCCTACTTCAACACTAGGACTCACTTAAGAATATCAGTCCTTATGGCCTAGACTGCCTTTCAAGTTTTCTGGTATACACAGAGTGCTGTAGCCCTTGGTGGAGAGGTTTGCAGGCACTGGGATTAACGATTCCCCTCTGGCTGGGGCTGGTTTAAATGTTCCCTCCATGGGTGGGCTCCAGCTGAGTTTAGTTTGGTTTTCCTTTCTGTTCAAACACAGCACTGAGTTCAATGCCTCACAATTGCTGTGTTCTCCCTCCCTAGCTGGAGATGATCTCCACACCACACCGCTGCTGCCAGAGGGAGCATGGAGGGATGGTGTCAGCAATTTGGGACTGTTTTTTCTATCTCTTTAGTGCCTCTTTCAACAATATGAAGTTAAAACCAGGTACTGTGAGTGCTCATCTGATTTTTGGTTCTTATGAAGATGTTTTTTTTTTCTGTGTAGATAGTTGTTAACTTGGTGTCTTTGCACGGGGTTGCAATCTGTGGAGCTTTCTATTTCGCCACCTTGCTCCACCTTGCTCCAACTCTAGTTTTCTTTGATTGAAGCATTTCCTTCTCTTATTTTCCTGAAGCTTACCATCCAGGAAAAGACTCTCAAGATTCAGTGCATTCTCTTTGGCTTTGTCTCTGTCATTTCCCTCAAGAGTTATCCATTTTGTGGCTTCACTGTGCATTGTTTAGGTGTGTTTTTACAAAGGGATTATTTCCCCAATTTGCATTCCAACCTCCAGTAGCCATTGGTCATATCTACATAGATAAGCCATTTAGACCTGAAACTTCATCAGTTTTAAACCAAACTCAAGACCTAACTAATTTATATGCCTCATTTTATTTATATGAATGGTGTCATCATTTCTAGCTACACAAGCTCAGAGTCTCCAAGTTATCCTTGTTTTCTCCTCTCCCTTAACACCTGAGCACTAAACCGTAAGCCAAAGGCAGTTCTCAGGATCCAGCAGTGAGTGAGAGGAGAGTACTGCAAGATATTTTTGGTTACAATTTAGTGACATTTTTATGCCCTGATGATATTCTAGATACACCACAGCCAAGCTACTAGGTTAAGTTTATGCCTGTTCTTCATATCCCCTTTCTTCTCATTTAATTTTCTTTTGCATCCATATCTCCAGTTTTCTTTGAATTCCTTTCCTAGCTCTTTCTTTCTTTGTTTTATCTTTCTCTTTTATTGGTAATCAATCATATTTTTTAAAAGTATTATATTCCCTTTGTCTCTCCCCATCAGCATTAATTTATTGAACAATACCTATTCAATCCTATCTACTTCTCTATCTCTCTATCTATCTCACATCATACTTCATTGGTACTCATTTTCATCATCTTTCTTAATCTTAAAACCATTCCAAAGGAACAAAGACCATTGTATGGCAGACAGGCCCGATAGCAGTAACTTCAGCACATCCTGAAAATGACCCTATGGTCTAAGAAGAATTTGCTCAGTGTCCCAATCTAAGGAATCTAGGAGTGGCCAATCCAGATTCACTCCTTATCTATGAAGGACATCTGAGCCCCTGGCTCATCCCTTGCAATGCAGGCCACACAGGGGATCAAAGCCGTTTGTTTTGGTTAGATTGCGGTAGCTAGGTGGAGGGTGCTAAGTGAAAATGCTATATAAACTGTCTGCTTTTTATAAACGGTAGCGGTTTGCCTGACCAGCCTGCCACCAAAGGCCCATACCTGTATGTAAATCCCCCCAGTAAACCCTATGTCTTGTTCACTGTCTCTTCTTCATCTTCTCAGACATAGTGTCATCCCTACTGGAGTCAATAGGGGTCCAATACAACAACCATTTCCATGTTATTCATTATTTTATCTTGTATCCCATGGTGCCAAGCACTTAGTAGGTGTTCAGTAAGTGTTTGTTAAAGGAAAAAAGGATGGGAGGGAGGGGAGAAGGGAAGAGGAGAATTTGGCTCCCCACTTTGCAGATAGGCAACTAAGACAACAGTCATACAGCCAATTAGTGATGGAGTCAGATTTCTACTCCCCATCTGGTTAAAGTCCAAACCTGTAATAAGGACACTGCTCTTCTGTGTCCCCCACTCTATACTAGGTGCTAAAGGAGAAGACACATATGTAAAAGACAAAGGTTCTGCCCTCCAGGACTATATAATTTAGTAAGGGAGTTAACTACATGAATAACTATAATATAAGTTAGGATATAATTATGGGTCCACAATCTCCAAAATGATTTGTTCAGTATCTAGCTTCTGGGTAAATAATTTTAATGTGTAACAGAATAAAACAAGTTAGTAAACAGTCTCCATATAGAAGGTTCTCCTTTCCCCTGGAGCCTTGTGGTTGCCCTTAAGAACAAGAATCTTAAAATTTAAACAAAGAGGACACTCTCTAACACAAGTCAGATCCAGAGGCTCAGGTTAATGAAGATGCCTGTATAGTTCCGAGACTGACAACAGATTCAAAGTCCTGAGAAACAATTCTTCACTGCTGGCTCATAAAAGCCAAAATAGTGTCATTAAAATGTGATGTAGTTTATTATCTTTCATAAGTTGGCTCAAAAGAGGAAACTTCTTTATGGCTTGGAAAAGATAGAAAGTGAATTCATTTTTAAAAGACTAGAGTAGACAAATAATGTAGTCTCTCGTGCATACCACACCATCTAATTCTCAATACAGTTCCTCCTTTAAGGAAAAATAAATATGAGTATTTATATAGTTCCAGGAAGTATCTTTCTATTACAGGGATGGTGGCTCATGGAACCAAAAGGAAAATATGAGTCACTTGCAAGGGACCTGGTTGAAAAGCTACAGGTTGAGACTTGTTTGTTGATAGGAGTATTTGTGACACCTATGATTTGGACCAAGTGTTTACTCTGAGGATTGAGACCTTGTAATAAGATGAGATTTATATTTCTCCCAGAGTATTAGTAAGGAGATAAGTAAAGATCTCTCTAAGTTCCTTGGAGCACTCCTATTTTATCTTTTCCTCCTTTGGCTGTTGTTTTTCCTTCTGTTAATTTTCAGCAATCTTTTTTTAAAGTGGCCATTTTTTTCAATAATTGCAACTTGGAGGGTTAGATCTGTCCAGAGGTTTATTGGGTATATTTTGGCAGTCCAGACTGGGTGAGTAATTATTTCAGCTGCAGATTCATAATCTTCTTAGCTTTATTTTTTGGTCTAGTCTCTTTCCCTTTTTCATTTTTAATTAAAGTACAAGACAACTTTTCAGCAAGATTAATCAAATTGTGAGTGTGAGAAGTAGCCCAGCTAGGGCAATGTCTCTTTACTATTAGAGCTAATTTTTTGCGTAGCCCATTTATAAACTTGGAGTTCAGGAGAGTCTCATTTTGATGATTAGCAGAACTCACCTCAGATAAACCTGAATATTGTCTAAAAGTCTTTTCAAATCTTTCAAAATATAACACCACTGACTCACCTAGATGTTGTTGACATCGCTGTATTTTATTCCAATCAACTCCCTTTTAGAAGACTAAAGAAATGGTTGCAAGTAGAGCCTTTCAGTGTCACGGGCATTCCTGCAGTCTTCTTTTGAACATTTATGGAAATCCTCTAGGGGTTTTGCCAACGGGCTTTATCTATTCAAGCCTCATTTTTAGCCTTGTTTTTGAAGCTAACATGTAAACTAGTTGATATAAATCAGAAATACCAGGGTCATAAGCTCAAATACTTAAATTCCATAGCAGGGCAAGGTAATTTAGACAGTAAAGGATAGAGACAAAAAGGACCCGAGGGAGGAGAAGGGAAATCTTCTGAGGGAGGAGAAGCTTCAGCAACCATTTTAAATTCAGAAATTGTTTTAGACAGTCTTCTGGGTTTTTTTTCCTGCAAAGAAATAACTTTATCAGAACCTCTTTTGGATGCATTCAAATACCATTGAAAATGACATTCCCAATTACTCTGTTTTATTCTAGTCAGCTTTTTTAAATTTGAACTTGCAAGTAAATTAGTTGAAGTTTTTCAAAGGTATCCCATTTCAGCCATTGAAGTTTTGGTTCTTCCAAGTTATATGGGACCATTTTTAAAAATAATGACAAGGTGTGGTGCCGTAAGTATTGTACATGAATCTAGCTGGAGTCTCTAAAGGTGGATTTTTCCTCAAGGAAGACTTGGTTTTAGATGGCTGATTGTCCATCATTTGCACTTTTCTCTTAAGGACTAAAAGCTAAAAGGGAAAGGTGTTTTGGACTGAGTGTACTGCTTAAGGGACTAGCTCCCCAAGGTGTCACCCTTGGGTTGGTTCTTCCCTTTTATGTGTCTCAATGAAAAACAGGAATTCAGTGTGCTTAAGGCACTGGGAGATCAGTCCCTTATATGTGCCCACAAGTTTAAGCAAATTTCCCTGTATTTTCTTCTTTGGGAATTCCCTGTGGGACCATTTCTTGTCTCGATTGATAAGCTCTGAAACTTGCACAAGTCCTTGGTTGCCTAAGGTGCCTTTGGCTGGGAGGAACAGTGTCCCTTTTCTTCAGGACTTACCACATCCTAATAAAGGTCTTTTGTTAATTATTGGTCACTCAAAAGAAGAATTCTAATTTGCCAAATTGAACCAAACTTCAAAACCTCACCAATTTAAATCACAATTTTGCTTAATCCATAGACATTTACTTTCTCCTATTAAAGAGAAACCAGATTTTGAACTAGAGAAAAGGTTGCAAACTTTAGCAAGTAAGACGAACAAAATCTTAACCTCAAAGATGATTAAAACCACAAACTTGCAAACAACAGAATCTCTAGAGAGATAAAAAAATGAAACTACTACCTTAAAGCTTTAAAGTTAAGCTTCAATTCCAGCTCCATCCGGTATGGAATCAGGTTGCTTGAATACAGTCTGCATTTCACCTAAGCCAGGGAGATTTGAAACCAGAGAGGAGCCTTACCAAGGGCTTCCCACAAACTCCAGCAAAAGTCAGTTGGATGGAAACAGTTCATGCTGGTACCAGCATGCTGGACTGTAAAGAAAGCAGAAAGAGTCAATGTAGGAAGCTCACTATGGGTCCCATCTGGGTCACCAAAATGTCAATCTGAAATAACGGAAAGGATAAGAATCTAGTTTAAATGAGTTTATTCAAGTGCAAAACTGAGGATGGCCATTTGGAAAATACAGACTCCAGAGAAATGGGGTCAGTGCTCAGAAATTGAAAAGGCAAGGTTTTACTTATATCAGCAGAAAACAAGGATATTTAACAGGATTATATTTCCATACAAGGCTGGTTTATGAGTTACAGCAATTTGATTTGTTATAGCTTGTTCCCCTCCCCACCCCCACCATTTTAAAGAGTATATTTAACATTCCATCTTAGACAATGTGATAATCATGACGTCTTTGCGTTAAGAGAAGAAAGAGGGAAATTAATCTACAATGAAGATCAATAGTTAAGAGTAAATGAGTCATTTCTGGAAACTTTAGTCTTTAAAAACATTTTACAAAATAATATAGGTAAAGGAAAAGGCTAATGTATAACCAGAGAAAAAGAGGTTACAGCTGCCTAGGTTATATACGTCTGTTACATGACTCAAATCCCATAATCACATTCCATTAAGGCCTAAAATAATTTAAAATTCCAACAGCTTTTATTTTATTTTTCTAACTTTTATTTTAGGTTCAGGGGTACATGTGCAGGTTTGTTATATAGGTAAACTGCATGTCACGGGGGTTTGGTGTACAGATAATTTCATTACCCATGTGATAAGCATAGTACCCAATAGGTATTTTTTTCTGATCCTCTCCCTCCTCCCACCCTCCACTCTCAAGTAGGCCTTCGATGTCTCTTGTTTCCCTCCTGGTATCCATGTGTTCTCGTTGTGTAGCTCCCACTTATAAGTGAGAACATGCAGCATTTGATTTTCTGTTCCTGTGTTAGTTTGCTTAGGATAATCGCCTCCAGCTGCATCCATATTGCTGCAAAGTACATGATCTCATTCTTTTTATGCCTACATAGTATTCCATAGGGTGTGTGGGTGCCTGTGTGTGTGTGTGTGTGTGTGTGTATACACACACCACATTTTCTTTATCCAGTCTATCATTGATGAGTATTTAGGTTGATTCCATGTCTTTGCTATTGTGAATAGTGCTGCCGTGAACATACACATTCATGTGTCTTTATGGTAGAACTATTCATATTCCTTTGGGTATGTAGCCAATAGTGGAATTGCTAGGTCAAATGGTAATTCTGTTTTAAGTTCTTTGAGGGATTGCCACACTGCTTTTCACAATGGCTTAACTAATTTACACTCCCATCAACAGTGTATAAGTGTTCCCTTTTTTCTGCAACTTTGCCAGCATCTGTTGTTTTTTGACTGTTTATAATACCAATTCTAACTAGTGCAGGATGGTATCTCATTGTGGTTTTGATTTGTATTTATCTAATAATTAGTGATGTTGAGTATTTTTTCATATGCTTCTTGGCTACATGTATGTCTTCTTTTGAAAAGTACCTGATAATGTCCTTTGCCCACTTTTTAATGGGTTGTTTGTTTTTTGCTTGTAAATTTGTTTAAGTTCCCTATAGAGTCTGGATATTAGAACTTTTTTGGATGCATGGTTTGCAAATATCTTCTCCCATTATGTAGGTTGTTTACTTTGTTGACAGTTTATTTTGCTGTGCAGAATCTTTAGTTTAATTAGATCCCATTTGTCAATTTTGGCTTTTGTTGCAATTACTTTTGGTGTCTTTGTCATGAAACATTTGTGAAGTCCTTCCTGTGTCCAGAATGATATTTCCTAGATTATCTTCCAGGGTTTTTATAGTTTTAGATTTTACATTTAAGTCTTTAATCCATCTTGAATTGATTTTTGTATGTCATATAAGCTAGGGGTCCAGTTTCAGTCTTCTGTGTATGGCTAGCCAGTTGTCCCAGGATCATTTATTGAATGAAGAGTTCTTTCCCCATTGCTTGTTTTTGTCAAGCAATGTGGAAGATCAGATGGTCATAGGTATGTGGCGTTATTTCTGGGCTCTCTATTCAAAGTATACTTCAAATACTTTCATGCTGTTTTGGTTACTGTAGCTCTGTACAATAGTTTGAAGTATACTTTGAAGTATAGTTTGTAGCAATGTGATGGCTCAAGATTTGTTCTTTTTGGTTAGGATTGCCTTGGCTATTCAGGCTTTTCTTTTATTCCATATATTAAAATAATTTTTTAAAATTATGTGAAGAATGCCATTGGTAATTTGAAGGGAATAGAATTGAATCTATAAATTGCTTTGGACAGTATCGCCATTTTAACAATATCGATTCTTCCTATCCATAAGCATGAAATGGCTTTACTGTGGAAGAAATGTGGATTAGATCAGGGGTACCCATTCCCCAGGTCATAGACTGGTATCAGTCCATGGCCTGTAAGGAACTGGGTCACACAGCAAGAAGTGAGCGGCAGGTGAGCATTACCACTTGGGTTCCACCGCCTGTTAGATCAGCGGCTGGCATTAGATTCTCATAGAAGCACAAACCCTATTGTGAAGTGCCAGGGATCTAGGCACTCCTTATGAGAATCTAACTAATGCCTGATTATCTGAGGTCGATCACCCTGAAGCCATCCCTCCACTCTAGTCTGTGGAAAAATTGTCTTCCACAAAACTGGTCTCTGATGCCAAAAAGATTGGAGACCACTGGATTAGATTCACACCTTCCCTGAGGTTTTCTTCTTCATGTTTCTATGTGCCTCTAGACTTCTGTGTACTTGTGTGCTGATCTTGTTTTATCTTATAAAACCCAGATGTAAAAACTCAGTCCTTTCACAATAAATTCATTCCCAGCAAGCCCTTTGTGAGTTTTTGCTGACTTCTCTGAGGGTTTGAGGATCATTCGGGCTTCCACCATCCCAATAGCTGTTCAGCCTTTCTCCTGCCTGATTTTTTGAAAGCTTTGGTGCTAGCCAATGCCTGGCCCTGAGAGGAGTGTAAATAGAATAAAAGAATAAGATTTTCTCTTTATCATTAGATTTGTGTATGTATAGCTATGTATGCTCATATGTGTGTGTGTATATATACATATATATAGAGAGAGAGAGTGTGTGTGTGTGCATGTGTGCGTGTGTGTGTGTGTGTGTGTTTGCTATTTCCCCTGGATATTTAAAAATTCAGGAAGCTATTATTCAAAAGTTAACAGTGGCTACCTCCACACAGTAAAAGCTCAGGTAACTTTTATATTCTTATTCATACTTTTCTGAATTTTCTGGAATTTTTACGAGCATGTACTACTATTATAAGAGAAAAAATAAAGCTCAGTTTTTTTAAACAAGACTGGGAAACATAGGGAGACCCCATCTCTAAGAAAAAAAATTAGCCAAGTGTGGTGGCAAATGCCTGTGGTCCTAGCTACTCAAGATGCTGAGGTGGGAGGATCACTTGAGCCCAGGAGGTCGAGGCCGCAGTGAGCTATGATTCACATCACTGCACTCCAGCCTGAGTGAGAGGGAGACCCTGTCTCAATCAATCAATCAATAAACACAGAAGCAAAGTACTGAAGATAATGCTGTATATTTCTGGATCTATCCACACTTGTTCTGCAGAAGCCCAGCCCCTTCAAATTCACCCAAAATTGTTTTTGAAGTCTGTTGGGGGTGTCCCATGTGTATGAAACCAGCTCTTTTGTCTACCTCCCTGGTCTTCCATTTCCATCCTCTCCTACAGTGATGCCCCCTGCCAGTGCCCCATGGGGCAGCTCTCTTCACATGGCCATGCTAGTGAGGAGTGCTCCTCATTCCTGCTGGTGAGTGCCTGCCAGCATCTCAGGCAAGGGACTGGAGTTCTTACAAGACTACCATCCCCTACCTGGGCCCAAACTGACCTTCTTCTATTATTTCTCTTTTGCAGCTATCCCAGAGAATTCTGCCACCTTCCAGAGCCAACTGTTTTCCCCTTTCTCTGCGTTTGATAGAAAAGAAAGATAAGAAATAAATAGGGCTTAATTTCCCAAACCATTTATGTAGTTTTTCCTCCTTTTCAGGACAGAGAATAAAGGGTCCCTGTATTCATGCCTTCCTGGAAATCTCAGTGCAAGGCCCTATCAGGAGGTTTCCTGGAGCAGCTAAGGGAACAGCTAGACCACCCAGGAAGAAATGACAGAAGCCTACCTGACTTCCAATCTGCTTGCTTCATGGTGTAATGGGGGCCTAGACAGAAGCACCCCAAGGACACTTACAACAACTGTTCTGCCAGCTCTAGTCCATTGGAGAAGATGTGCCAACATACCTTCTCACCATCCCTAGAGCCCAACCTTGCTATGGAAAGGTCAAACCCTTACCATTGGCCCTGCCAAGGATCCCCAGACAGAGAAGCACAATGGAGGCCATAAATTATGGCTTCTTATCATGGCCTCCACATAACTTAAACTCTGGATGGTGAATGAAATCTGGGGCCAAGTCTTAAAGGGTCAGGGTAGCCAATGAGCATAACTCAATATTTGTGTTTCTAAGAGAAAACCACAGAACCTCCATATCCATGGCAAACTGGCCAGCCACAGGCTGGATCCAGTGTGCAGTAGTGTTTTGTGTACACCATTCACTATTTGTCTACTTGGGTTAAAAATGTTTTATATTAGTTAGCAATGTTTAAACATTGGGAGAATTAAAGGGAAATGAAAACGTACTTCCCACAAATACTTGCACATAAATATTCACAGCAGCATTGTTTATAATTGCCCAAAACTAGAAACAACCCAAATATCCATCAACTGATGAATGATAAACAAGTTGTGGTATATTCATCCAATAAAACAATATTCAGCAATAAAAATAAACAAATCAGGCACTTAATATAATTGAATATCAAGGTCATTATGTTGAGTGAAAGAGGCCAGAAAATAAAAGTATACACTATTTGATTCCATTTATATAATATTCTAGAAAATGAAAACCAGTCTATACTTACAGAAAACAAGGTGGTAGCTTACAGAGATGGGGTAGAGGGAGGGAGAGATGACAGAGAGGCATAAAAAAACTTTCCGGACAATGAAAATGTTCTGTATTTTAATTGTGGTGATGGTTTCATGGATGTACAAGTTCATCAAATCTCATCAAGTTAAATATATGCATTTATTTTATATTAAGTGTACCTCAATAAAGCAGAAAAATTTAAAATTGGTAATATTTATATACAAATTGAGATATCTATATTTCTTGAAAATCAAAATGTCTGACATCATTTGGTCTACATATTTATCTGCCAAAAATACAGGAGATAGACAGTAGCTGTCCTTTAGAAGGGGCATACCCTTTCGAGTTTGCAACAGGCCTTCATACTTCCTGCTGCTTACCCAGCATTCATTACATGTTTATTGTCATTTATTTAAGTTACTTATTGTGAACCTAATGCATGTATGGCCTCATTCTAGGTACTGGAGACTAAACATGCAAACACACCTAACTGGCATGGTTTCCATTTGCCTAATTGTCACGGGGTACCATGAAGTTTACATTTTAGTGAGATTGGAGAAAGATAGACATTTAGAGTTAATAAGTTGGATAAATAGTATATTAGGTGGAAAGAAGTATAAGAAAAAAACATACAGCCAGGAAGAAGTATAGACAGTTCCAGAGCTAAAATGTTAGCCATGGATCCCAGGAAGTCCTCACTGAAAGGTGACTTTGGGAGGAAACCTGTAGAAGGTGAGGAATTGAGCTATGCATATAACCCAGGGAAGAGCATTCTAGACAGACATGACAGTCCATGAGAAGATTCTAGGCAAGGGAGGTAGCCCAGGGTCTTCAACCAACAGCAAGGAGGCTAATCTAGCTTGGCACAGAGTAACAAGAGATGAGATCAGAGAAATAACAGGGTAGAGATGGTGTGGAGTCTTATAGATTATTGAAGGGAGTTTGTCATTTACTGGATGAAATAGGAAGCCTTTGGAGGGTGTTGTTAATTGTAATCATGATAGGGTTATTACTTTTCTTATAGTAGAGTTCAAAAGAAAGGAAAACTTATTTTTGTAACCAGGTCATTAACCTGGCCCCTGTAGACATCTGAGTTTGTAATTTCTGTCATATTTTATCTAAATATCATGATAGAGAACAAAATATCTGACTGGTTCTGTACTGATAGGCAGTCAGTCATGCTGGCTAACTTTCAGAAATATGCCATGTTTGGTGGTCTCCTTTCTCTCTGTTTTCTCTAGGTTGAATATGGGGATTCAACCACATCACTTCACTCTCTCACCCCTTATAGCACACGCTTCTCTCCCTTTCCTTGGCATCCCCTGGCCCTATCATGACCTGAGGTCTTCCCTACCACTTTGGGGGCTCCCATCTAAAAATGCATTCTAAGTCCTCTACCTGGAACTAATTTATCTCCAGGTCTACACTACTGATAACAAGATATACGATCCCTTGCAAAGGAACTTGTAACACCCTGAAATTACTCAGAAATCACACCTCACAGGAGATTGAGACCATCCTGGCTAACACGGTGAAACCCCGTCTCTACTAAAAATACAAAAAATTAGCCAGGCGTGGTGGTGGGCGCCTGTAGTCCCAGCTACTCAGGAGGCTGAGGCAGGAGAATGGCATGAACCCAGGAGGAGGACCTTGCAGTGAGCCGAGATCGCGCCACTGCACTCCAGCCCGGGCGACAGAGCAAGACTCCGTCTCAAAAAAAAAAAAAAAAAAAGAAAGAAAAGAAATCACACCTCACAGGCAAACTCTGTAAGTGGGCTCCTGTAGGAAAGCAGCCTGTTGCATGGCAAGAAAAATGCCATCTTGAAGTGAAATCGTCATTAATTCCTGCATATCCAGGCATTCCCACAGCAAGGTCAAGAAACAATGCCTATATCATAGATAACTTCTCATAAAGATGCTTCTCTAACTTCCCCAGTGGTCATGAATGTCATAAGAGGGTCTGAGACGTGACCAGCAGCGCATGTCTTACCAAAAAAAAAAGCTTGCTACAGAAAGGATATTTTCTGGAGTGCCGAGTGTGGGGATCCATCATCTTGTGGCTACCCAAAGCATGGCTTCTGTTTGTTACGTCCCTACTAAATGTTTCTTTCTGGGAAACTGAATTTGTCAGCCTCTTTCTTTGGCCTGTCAGCTCTCTTGGCTTTCGGGGGTAGATCTGCATATACCTACTCACCCAGAACATTTGGTGAGTCAGTCAGGAGCTAAGAGGCCAAGAGACAGGAAAGGGGAATGAAGCATCTGTACGGGAAATCCCAGGCCAGCCACGTCTATGTGGGATGGTGTGGCACGTCTGTTAGATGCATTTGGACTCTGTGTGACTATGGAGACACCCTGAACAAGCTGGTTGGCCTAGAGTGGTTATTAACTGAAAGGCATATGGTGCAGTGTGGTAAGGAAGGGCAGTGGATAGCCACTGCAGTGGGTTGGCTGCTTCTGTGGGCCATTTGTTTGTCAACACAGGTTTAGCTAGCAATAGAAATGAAAAGCAAATGGCTAGAGGAAAATTGCACCAACCTGATAGAAAAGGACATGTGCCTTTTCACTTCTCTGATTGCGTCCAGTGTAGCTACATGTTTTACCAAAAAAAAAAAGAAAAAAAAAAAGCCTGCTATAGAAAGAATATTTCAGGAGGGTAGGTGTGGAAATCTATGGTCTCTCAGCTGCCCAAGGCATTGCTTCTGTTCATAGGTTCCTATCAAATGTTTCTTTCTGAGAAACTGGATTTGTCAGCCTCTTTTCTCTGGCTTCCCAGCTTCCTTGGCCTTTGAGGGGGAGACCTGCATATATCTGTTCACTGCAGAACAGCCCCATACATGAAATGAATTTTGAGATTAGAGGAAGAAGTTTCATTTATAAGCCCAAAGCAAACAATTAGGAAAAAAAATTATGCTCAGGAAGTTAGGGACTAAGAACTAACCTAATTACAGGGCTAAAGAAGGAAATTTGGCCAAAATAATCTGACAGAATGCAATTTCAACAAAGGCAAATTAAACCAAGGTAAGTCACTCCATGTACATTTGTGTCTAAATTAATATCCCTAGTCACAAATAACAACTTAAACTTATAGAAGTAGTTGATGAAACCAGCTGACACAGAGAGCCATGTATCAATCTTGATTATAGAACCTTCTGGAGATCATGGTTATTTCAAAATATATGGACACTGAGGGTGCATCAAAAGGGCTAAAAGATTATGGCTAGAAGATAAAATAGATGTGTCTCTCTATTCCTTTCTCTAGATATAGCTAAAATCTCTGGACATCATACATAAACATAAAAATACTCGGAAAGGTGGAGACAAAAAAACAGGTCAGTTAGGGACTTTGAAACCTTAAAAAACAGCATGGCACTGAGGTCTCTAGATTTCCTCGTGCCTTATATATTTCATACTGGATGCTAGAGAAGCCTGCAACCCAAAATACCAACATACACTGATAAAAGAAAAAAAAGCCCCAAGAAAACCAAGGAAGGGTCAAAGGGTCAGCCTAGTGAAAAAGAAAAAATCATCTAATTAATTCAATTTTTAAAAAATAATTTCAACTTTTATTTTAGATTCAAGGAATAAATGTGTAGGTTTGTTTCCTGGGTATACTGTATGATGCTGAGGTTTGGGGTATGATTGACCCTGTCACCCAGACAGTGATCATAGTACCCAATAGCTTTTCAACCCTTGCCCTCCCCCTTCCCTTGCCCCTTTAGCGGTCTCCAGTGTCTATTGTTTCCATATTTATGTCCATGAGTATCCACTGTTTAGCTCCAACTTATAAGTGAAAAGATGTGGTATTTGTTTTTCTGTTTCTGTATTGATTAGCTTATGATATGGTTAGGCTCTGTGTCCCCACCCAAATCTCATCTTGAATTTTAATCCCCATAATCCCCATATGTTGAGGGTGGAACAGGTGCAGATAATTGAATCATAGGGGCAGTTTCCTCTATGCTGTTCTTATGATAATGAGTGAGTTTTCATGAGATCCAATGGTTTTATAAGGGGCTTCCCCTCTTCACTTGGCACTCACTCCATCCTGCCACCCTATGAAGAAGGTGCATGCTTTTCCTTTGCCTTCTGCCATGATTGTAAGTTTCCTGAGGCCTCCCCAGCAATACGGAACTGTGAGTTAATTAAATCTCTTTCCTTTATAAATTACCAAGTCTCAGGTATTTCTTCATAGCAGCATGAGAATGGACTAATACAGCTTAGGATAATGGCCTTCAGCTGCATCCATGTTGCTACAAAGGACATGATTTTCTTCCTTTCTATGGCTACATAGTATCCTACGGTACATATATACCACACTTTCTTTATGCAGTCCACCATTGACGGGCACCTAGGTTGATTCTGTGTCTTTGCTATTATGAATACTGCTACAATGTACAAACAAGTACATGTGTCTTTTCGGTAGAATAATTTATTTTCTTTTGAATATATACCCAGTAATGAGATTGCTGGGTCAAGTGGTAGTTCTAAGTTCCTTGAGAAATCTCCAAAGTGCAGAAATAAAATTTTTGACAATAACCACCCAACTCCAGCCAAACATTAGGAGGAAAACTGTAGCCCTGTCCTGATCCCATCAGCAAAGGCCAAGTGGGAACGCTATACTTCCACCTTTACCCAGATGTAATGAGGTGCTCTCTTTCCTCCTGAGAGTGCCAATGAAAGCTGCACTGGGAACCTAAACCTCTACCCCCATGTGGCAGTTATGGGGCAGCACTTTCCTTTCCATGCTGATGTGGTTTCAGATGAGGCTTGCTGAAACAGAAAATTTAAACAAGATCCAGAGTCTTCTGACTTAATGCCTCAAATGTCCACAATATTAAAGTTTACTCATCACACCAAAAACCAAAAAAAAACTCAATGTGAATGAGAAAAGACAATAACCAGATGCTGTCTTAGTCTATTTTGTGCTGCTACAGCTGATCACCGACTGGGTAATTTATAATAAACAGAAATTTATTGGCTCATGGTTCCAGAGGCAGGGAAATCCAAGATCAAGAGGCCAGCATCTGGCGAGGGCTTTCTTGCTATGTCATCCCATGGTGGAAGAGCAAAGAGAGAATAAGAGAGGGAGAGTAAGAAAGGAGAGGGGCAGAAAGAGAGGGCTGAACTTGTTTAATTAAAAAAACAAACCCACTCCCATAATAATGAACCCAGTCCAGTGATGACAGCATTAATCCATTCATGAGGGCAGAGCCCTCATGGCCTAATCACCTCTTAAAAGATTTCACCTCCTGGGCCAGGTGCGGTGGCTTGCGCCTGTAATCCCAGCATTTTGGGAGGCTGAGGCGGATGGATCACAAGGTCAGGAGATCGAGACCATCTTGGCTAACACAGATGAAACCCTGTCTCTACTAAAAATACAAAAAAATTAGCAAGGCATGGTGGTGGGCCCCTGTAGTCCCAGCTACTCGGGAGACTGAGGCAGGAGAACGGCGTGAACCCAGGAGGTAGAGCTTGCAGTGAGCCAAGATTGCACTACTGCACTCCAGCCTGGGCGACAGAGTGAGACTCCATCTCAAAAAAAAAAGTTACCTCCTATGTTAGTCTATTTTCACACTGCTATGAAGAACTATCTGAGATTGGGAAATTTATTTTAAAAAAGAGGTTTAATTGACTCACAGTTCCATATGGCTGGGGAGTCCTCAGGAAACTTACAATCATGGCAGAAGGCAAAAGGTAAACAAGGCATGTCTTACATGGCATCAGGAGAGAGAGAGAAAGAGAGAAGAACTGCCACACACTTTTAAACGATCAGATCTTAAGAGAAATCCTTCACTATCACAAGAACAACATGGGGAAACCCACCCTCATGATCCAGTCACCTCCCACCAGGGCCCTCCCTGGGCATTACAATTCAAGATGAGATTTGGGTGGAGACACAGAACCAAACCATATCATTCTGCCCGTGCCTCCAAATTTCATGTCCTTCTCATATTTCAAAACACAATCATGCCTTCCCAACAGTCCTCCAAAGTCTTAATTCATTCCAGGATTAACCCAAAAGTCCACAGTCTCATCTGAGATAAGGCAAGTCCCTTCCACCTAGGAGCCTGTAAAATCAAAAGCAAGTTAGTTACTTCCAAGACATAATGGAGATACAGGCATTGGGTAAATGTTCCCATTCCAAATGGGAGAAATTTGCCAACACAAAGGGACTACAGTCCTCATGCAAATCTGAAACCCATCAGGACAGCCATTAAATCTTAAAGGTCTGAAATAATCTCCTGTGACTCCATGCCTCACATCCAGGGCATCCTTAGGCAAGGGGTGAGCTCCCAAGGCCTTAGGCAGCTCCACCTCTGTGGCTCTGCAGGGTAAAGCCCCCACAGCTGCTTTCACTGGCTGGTGTTGAGTGCCTGAAGCTTTTCCAGGCACATGGTGCAAGCTGTCAATGGATCTATCATTCTGGGGTTGGAGGATGGTGACCCTTTTCTCACAGCTTCACTAGTCAGTGCCCCAGTGTGGACTCTATATGGGGGCTCCAACCCAACATTTCCCCTCAGCATTGCCTTAGTAGTGGTTCTCCATGAGAGCTCAACTCCTGCAGCAGACTTCTGCCTGGACATCCAGGCATCTCCATACCTCCCCTGAAATCTAGGTAGAGGTTTCCAAACCTCAACTCTGGGCTTCTGTGCACCCTCAGGTACAACACCACATGGAAGTCACCAAGGGTTGGGGCTTGCACCCTCTACAGTCATGGCCCAAGCTGTATCTTGGCCCTTTTTAGCCATGGCTGGAGCTGGAGTGGCTGGGACACAGGGCACCATGTCCCCGGGCTGCACAGAGCAGCAGGACCCTGAGCATGGCCCACAAAACCATTTTTCTCTCCTAGGCCTCCAGGTCTTTGATAGGAGGGATTGCTGTGAAGATCTCTGAAATGCCCTGGAGACTTTTTCCCCATTATTTTGGCTATTAACATTCAGTTTCATTTTAGTTACGCAAATTTCTGCAGCCAAAAGTTTACAGTTCTCCCCAGAAAATGGGTTTTTCTGTTCTACCACATGATTAGGCTGCAAATTTCCCAAACTTTTGTGCTCTGCTTCCCTTTTAAACATAAGTTCCAATTTCTGATTATCTCCTTGTGAATGCATATGACTATATGCTTTTAGAAACAGCCAGATCACATCTTGAATGCTTTGCTGCTGAGAAACTTCTTCTGTCACATACCCTAAATCATCTCTCTCAAGTTCAAAGTTTCACAGATCTCTAGGGCAGGGGCAAAATGTTGCCAGTCTCTTTGCTAAAGCACAGCAAGAGTAACCTTTACTCCAGTTCCCCATAAGTTCCTCAACTCCATCTAAGACCACCTCAGCCTGGATTTCATTGCCCATATCACTAAAACCATTTTGGTCAAAACCATTCAACAAGTCTTTACAAAGTTCCAAACTTTCCTACATCCTCCTGTCTTCTTCTGAGCCCTCCAAACTATTCCAACCTCTGCCCATTACCCAGTTGCAAATTCCCAAGTCATTTCCACATTTTCAGTTCTCTTTATAGCAGTACCCCACTCCAAATACCAATTTTCTGTATTAGTCTATTTTTACACTGCTATAAAGAACTACCTGCGGCTGGGGATGGTGGTTCATGCCTGTAATCTCAGCACTTTGGGAGGCTGAGGTGGGCAGATCACTTGAGGTCAGGAGTTCAAGACCAGCCTGGCCAACATAGTGAAACCCCATCTCTACTAAAAATACAAAAAATTAGCCGGGCATGGTGGCACATGCCTGTAGTCCCAGCTACTTGGGAGGCTGAGGTGGGAGGATCACTTGTAGCTAGGAGGCAGAGGTTGCAGTGAGCTGAGATCATGCCACTGCACTCCAGCCTGGGTGACACAGTGAGACTCTATCTCAAAAAAAAAAAAAACTGCCTGAGACTGGTTAATTTATAAAGAAAAGAGTTTTAATTGACTCACAGTTCTGCTTGGCTGGAGAGGACTCAGGAAACTTACAATCATGGCAGAAGGCAAAGGGAAAGCTAGGCACATCTTACATGGCAGCAAAAGAGAGACAGAGAGGAACAACCACACACTTTTAAACCATCAGGTCTTGTGAGAAGTCACTCACTATCATGAGAACAGCATGGGAAAAATTGCCCCCAATGATTCAATGACCTCCATCAGGTCCCTCCCTCAACACGTGGGAATTACAATTCAAGATGAGATTTGGGTAGGGACACAGAACCAAACCACATAACTTCACAACACTGCCACATTGAGGAATCTAGTTCCCAACACATGAACTTTAGGGGACAAATTCAAACCCTAGCAGATGCCAACAAAAAGACGACATGAATATTGTTTGAATCATTTGACAAGAGTTTTAAAACAGCTAGTATAAAACGGCTTCAGTAAAATTTACAAGTACACTTGAAAAAAATGAAAAAAATAGAAAATCTCAGCAAAAAAAGAACCAAATGGAAATTTTAAAACTGAAAAATGCAACAATATAAATTAAAATTTTAATGGATGGGATCAACGGCACGATGAAGAAGAAAGAGGAAAGAATCCATGAACTTGAAGATAGAGCAACAGAAATTATCTAATGTGAACTACAGATAGAATATAGGCTGAACAAAAATCAACAGAGCCTAAAGTTCCAATGGACCCATACCAAAAGATCTAACTCCATGTCATTGGAGTCCTAGAAGGAGAGGAGAAATCATGAGAATAAAAAAGCACTCAAAAAATAATAGCTGCAAAATATCCCAATTTGGCAAGAAGTATAAACCTACAAAGTCAACAAACTGCAAGATTCAAAATAGGATAAACATAAATGAAAGCCCACCAAGACATATCATAATCAAACTTCTAAAAATCAAAGACAAAAACTGTTCAGAGAGACTCCAGGGTTGCCACACAGTGAGATAACATTTATAAATAGGAAAAAAAAATGATATACGGAAAACAGAAGTGAAGTACAGAAACAGCTGGATTGGTTAAAGGTGGGCATTTACCTTATTTGAAACTGGTTTGAACAGCTGGCTTTCTATGATTGGCTGAAGTTAAGCTGCTGTGATTGGCTGAGCCTCAGCTATTTGTTAAAGTAGTTTACAGTCTATTTACACATCAATTTGGGTTACAGTCTATTATACACTAAGAAGGCTTTAGGCAGTACTTAAAACATAAAGAGACAGCTATAGGCCAACCTTAATTTAACAATATGTTTCTCAATGTACATAAAGGAAGTATTTAAGACAATTATATTATAAATGGAAGTGGGTAAAGGAGACTTAAGTGGGGTTAAGTGTTCTATACTTCACTTGAGCTGGTTAATCTTAACACCAGTACACTGTGTTAATTTATGTAGGTATAATATAATAACTTGAACAACCTTTAAAAAAGACTATAAAGAGAAATAGACTCAAAAATCCCAGATAAATAAATATGGACTTTCAAAAAATGTTCTTGTAACCTACAGGAAATCAGGGAAAGAAAAGAAAAATTAAAAACATAAGAAAAAAAGAATATACATAAATCAAAATGGCAGACTTGGGCCCTAATATATAGACAGTTTTTTTAAATGATTATGGATGGGGTGGGTGTGACACATTTCTCAGAATCCTACTATTTTGTGCTGTAAGCCTTCACTTTTTAAAATGAAGGGCTGCATTCCCAGATATACCCAGAATGGTTAAAGTTACATTTTCCCCCACGATTTTCCATTCCTTTGACTCATTTCATGCTTATCAATGTTCAAAGCCACAGACCTCAGAAACTAAAGCAGTAATCGGCCAGGTACCCTTTACAATTAAACTAAAGCTATGACATTATATTCAGCAACTTCTCCAAACCAAGGCTTTCCAAACACTTCCGAATTAAATTAAGTTCTTTTTCCTATCCTACCTCTTCCTTTTAACCAACTGTGAAGACAATGTTATAATGTTACCAAGAAGAGGTTCTCCAGCATATTGTGTGATAATAATAAACACTGTAGTTAGGAATGGAATAAAAGAATTTGAAATAAGTCTATCTGTGGTTTAAAAGCATCTCTCTTTTCTCCTTATGTCAACCTCGAGGTTCGTAAGCTAATTCTTGGTGACTTGACTCCCTTTTACATAGAAGAGAATTGTATCTATTTTGAGGGTTAAATAAATTTGATAAATGCGAATGTGTTTGGCATAGGTCAAGGTAAACAGTAGGTACTTAATATTAGATTTCCTCCTTCAATCTCAGATTTCTATTAGGCAAGCAAATCTGTAAATCTTTAGAATAAAGCTCTACTGTACATTTTCGTGTTTTCTTTTTCATTTTTGGTGAACCTGAGTACAATCCTGATATATAGATCACTTAGAGAAGAAACTATTACAGTTTTTAAACCTGCTGATACTATCACTTATCTGTAAAGTGACCAGTTAATCTATTATCCAGTTTGCAACACCTTTGAGAATGAAAGCAGAAACTAGCACTATATTACTCCAGGACATTATGACTGCCTTGGAAAAATCAGGATGCAGAGTCATAGACAGGAAATCAGCTGTGACCTAGAAGCCAAATCACAAAGGCATCAGAGCAGCCAAAATAAAGATTCCCAAATTCTCTTGAGGGTATACGTTATATTCATGGGAAAACTCCAGTAACTCTCAGAAGAGCCAACTTACTCTAATTTACACCAAATTTATCAATATTGCTTTTCTAGTTTTTAATTCACAAGGACATTGACTATAACAAGACACTATAACCGTGAATAGAAGACAGAGGATCCCCAGAAGTAAAGCATTTTAGGACTTGTAGCAAACAGTTACAAAGCTCAAGAGCAGGAAATAGCTGTGTCATAGAACAGTGCCAACTATCATGTTCATAAGGTTGACCCTGGATCATTAGAGAAAGTTTGATTCACGTTCAGGTATCATTTAAAGCCCTAATGAAGAGTGAACTCCATTTCTATCCAAACTGTTTTTTAAAATTTTGTTTTGTTTTTCAAAGGATAAATGTCTCAGTATTTGAAACTCAGCCAATCAGAAAACACAATGGTGGGTTTAGCTTGAACCCAAGCTAGGCCTGGCCTAGGATTCACAGCTATGTAATCACAAGAAGAAAGTCCATGGAGAGGGACTTCAGGGCTCCTTGAGAAGGACCTCCTCTAAAGAAAAGGAAAGACTTACAAGAGAAGGTGTGATATGGCCTAGCTCTGTGTCCCCACCCAAACCTCATGTTGAATTGTAATCTGAATTGTAATCCTCATATGTTGGGGAAGATACCTTGTGTGAGGTGATTAGATCATGGGGGCAGTTCCCCCATGCTGTTCTCTTGACAGTGAGTGAGTTCCCAGATATCTGACGGGTTTATGAGGGGCTTTCCCACTTTGCTCAGCACTTCTCTCTCCTGCCACCAAGTGAAGGACGTGTTTGCTTCCCCTTCCCTCATAATTGTAAGTTTCCTGAGGCCTCCCCAGCCATGCGGAACTTTGAGTCAATTAAACCTATGTTCTTTATAAATTACCCATGCTTGGTCAGTTCTTTATAGCAGCATGAGAACAGACTAATACAAGGTGATAGGAGAGTAGCCACTGAATGAGAGAAGGGCATTTCTGAGAAATTATGGTTCTTACTGCTACCTGGCCCATTTCCTCCCTCTCCTCCTGTACTCTTCTACACCACCTCCATCTGCAATCTGTGCAAGAGGCTTGGAGAGGGTAGCCCCCAACATATGTACATTTGATAATAGCTGAAAATACTGTGTGTGAGCCACACATGAGACAGCCCAGGGACTTGGAAAGGTCTCAAAATCTCACAATAGAGAAGACAGATGACAGCCAGTAAATCCTGTACTACTTTCATGGTGGCCCCAGGCTGATGGGGCCTGAGATCCCAGATCCGAGACTTATTTGAAGATCTGGATAGCTAAGATTTTTGCTGTGCATTGTTGAGCAATTCTACTTCCCTTATTATCTACATGGATAACACCTGAAGATTTTACACACAAATTTTTTTCTGATTATAAAAAGAATATATCTATAACTACCAATGTAAAGGTAATATCCAAGTATTAATTGTGAAGACAAGAGGGAATATATAAATATATGTTATATATGTATTGTAAATATAAATATATATTAATATGCATACATTTATATCTATACATATACATATACACATACATACATAGATTTATAGCTATACAGATATATAGAATATATGTTCCCTTCGGGAATGTGGGAGAATAAAGGTAGATCAAATAGCTGAAAGAAACAAAAATCTGAGAAACTTGTTAGTGTTTCCAATATGTAACTAAAATTTTTTTATACATGCACTTGTGTGCCTGTGCATACGTATTTGAAATTTTTTGTATCCTGCTATGGGGGGAGTTATTTGGTGAATGATGTCTTGGGAGACAGAGACTCTAATAGAATTATTATAATTTAGATCAATTTAGCTTAAATTTCTCTCCTGGGGACCTTATACAAGGTTTATTTTTTTCACAAACTGTTACCTCTCTTGAATAAATTATTAAAATATCTCCCTATGTAAATTAGCTCTCATTCAAATACTGAAAACTATTTTGTGTGTGTACGTATACACACTGGCTCTGGGATTAGTTTAAGGCATATAAAATTGACATGGAATGCGATTAATTTATATTGAATTATTAAGAGGTCATTTAGCTTATTTTTATTTATTTTTTTAAGAGACAGGATTTCTCTCTGTTACCCACACTGAAATGGAGTGGCACCATTTTAGCTCACTGCAGCCTTGAACTGCTGAGTTCAAATGATCCTGCAATCTCAGCCTCCCAAGTAGCTGGGACTACCAGTATGCGCTAATTTTTTTTTAAAGGTTTTTGATAGATACAGGGCTTGGCTATGTTGACTAGGCTGGTCTTGAACTCCTAGCCTCAAGTGATCCTCCTGCCTCTGCCTCCCAAAGAGCTGGGATTACAGGCATGAGCCACCACACTCAGCTGATAATTTAAAATAACATACATTTATTTTACTGTGAAAAATAGTAATGCACAGTGTTGATACATGAGAGAAGCCCCAAAATGATACCTCTCTTCTCGTTGAGTTTTAAAGTAAGATCAAAAGAACAAGGCTGGGCAAGGTGGTTCACACCTATAATCCCAAAACTTTGAGAGGCCAAGGTAGAAAGATGGCAAGATGGCTTAAGCCCAGGAGTTCGGAACCAGCATGGGTTGGTTCTTCTCTACAGAAAATTTAAAAATTAGCTGGGGTAGTGAAGCATGCCTGTGCTCCCAGTTACTTGGGAGGCTAAGGTGGAAGGATTGTTTGGGCCCAGGAAGTCAAGGCTACAGTGAGCCGTGATCACACTGCTGCACTCCAGCCTGGGTGACAGAGCAAGAAAAAAAAAGAAAAGAAAAGGAAAAGAAAAGAAACAGATGTAAAATTGAAATATTACCTTTATTGTTGATAAAACTGATACTGGAGAAGGAAGCTTATATCTGCAGACAAGCAAGCTGCCTGATATTGGAACCAGAATTAGAGATTCTGCTCCCAGGAGTGCTAGTCAAGGCCACCATCTCAATGTAGAGGAGGAAGACACATATCCTTTGTAGGGCAGCTCACTGCCAGAAGGAATGAAAAGTGAAGAGTTTACACTTTGTATGCCCATTTTTCTCCTCCAAACTCATGGGTTTATAAGTAAAGGAGTGAAGAAAGTGTTATATAATCAATGTCCTTCACATGGAAAGAAACGTCAGGAGAGTTTCCTAAACATGTTGTCTAGTTGTGTTTTTTATTAACCATTAACCCTTGGGTGCAGCTGCTCCTTTGGGGGAAAATATCAGCAGGCTCTCAGTCCATGCTCCCATCTCATGGGTGCTTCTGCAATACCAACAACTTCCCCTTTGAATATCATCCTGGAACCACCAGAGAGCAGTTTTGATTTTGCCCCCAGAAGAGTCTTAAATGCATCGGAACAGTATAGTAGGTAAATTAAGTCCAAAGCCACTTTCTACCCAATTCCAAAAGTTGACTGCCTATTCTGTTTTTCATCACAAGTCCTGAGCAGCCTCCTGCACCAGCATAGTCTATTAGAGGTTCAATATGAAGACAGTCCAACAAAAAATGGTCAGCAAGCATAGAAATATGAATATAAACTCTCTTCCATTAAAAGGTCACAAGAATTGTTTGAGGCCAGGAGTCTGAGACCAGACTGGGAAATACAGCAGGACCCCATCTCTACAAACAATTTTTTAAAATTACCAGGTGTGGGCCGTTGCTCTCCAACGCCAGCACCACCTCTCACTCGCTGAGCTCCAGCCTAAGGAGAAGGGGGGTAAGTAAGGAGGTCTCTATACCATGGCTCTTACAAAGCAGACTGCCTGCAAATCCACCGGTGGTGAAGCACCCAGAAAGCAAGTGGCTACAAAAGCCGCCTGCAAGAGTGCGCCCACTACTGGAAGGATGAAGAAGCCTCATTGTTACAGGCCGGTTCTGTGGCACTCCGAGAAATTAAACATTATCAGAAGTCCACTGAACTTCCGATTCGCAAACTTCCCTTTCAGTATCTGGTGGAGAAATTGCTCAGGACTTTAAAACAGATCTGGGCTGCAGAGCGCAGCTACTGGTGCTTTGCAGGAGGCAAGTGAGGCCTATCTGGTTGGCCTTTTTGAAGACACCAACCTGTGCGCTATCCATGCCAAACGTGTAACAATTATGCCAAAAGACATCCAGCTAGCACGTTGCATACGTGGAGAATGTGCTTAAGAATCCACTATGATGGGAAACATTTCATTCTCAAAAAAAAAAATTATCTTCTTGCTGTTATTGGTAGTTCTTGTGAATTTTTAATGTAAATGCAGGGACGTAAAGCGTTAATGCAAGTCAAAATGTTTCAGTGAACAAGTTTCAGCAGTTCTGCTTTGTAATAATTATAAATAAACCTGTTAATTTTTTTTCTGGAAAAAAATTACCAGGTGTGGTAGTGCATACCTGTAGGACTGCTTGAGCTTGAGCCCAGAAGTTTGAAATCACAGTGAGCAATGATCACACCACTGCACCCCAGCCTGGCAACAGAGCAATACTGTATCTCAAGAAAAATAAAGAGTTCACAAGAGCAACTAAGCCTGCTTACAAGATGACTCTAAAAACATTATTGTCCAATGGAATTAAAAGTCCAGAATCAGTTTCCCTTGCCATTCAGTGTTAATGTCCAAAGACATACCAATTCAAAATTTACCCCTCTCAATCTCTTATCTTGTTCAGTTTTCAGATAGAGATTCTCCATCTTGGATAATGTGATTCTTTCAGCAGTTACAGCTTAAGCTGTTCCATAACAGAATTAGTGTAGTTCTCAAGATGTAGTATTACTTCACGCTAAATCTTTCATGTACCACCCTTGGAAAAAGTTCAGAGTTAATTAGTAGTACTTAATAGCACTGGTCCCACATTTACCAAATTTAGAAAATTGCTGCATCCCCAGTCCCTAGGGCAGTTATCCCAGAACAAAATTATATTCTCCCAACTCAGTACTTAGTCTAAACCAAAGAGAGTTGGCAAAGACCGCAGCAGAGATTCGGCAGCATTGAGTGGAAGAAGACACTTTCTTGGTTTGAGCTGCACCAGTATGCCAGAGTTTATGCCACTTGTCCATAGGCCATGATCTGGGAGCTTAACAATAACTAGGAAATGGCTCTTGGCAAGAGTTTATTTTTGGAACCATGAATTTTCCAGATGGGGAGAGAAATACTCCTACGCATATTGTCACCTCTCAGAAAAGAGCATTTAAGATACTGCTGCTTTGAGCAAAGTCCAGAGAGCTGACCTAGGGGCATTCCCAGTCTTATTTGAGGTGCCTTTCTTTCCCATCCAGTATATTCAAAACTTCCTAAATTGTTCTTTGTCCTTTGAATCCCATGTTTCTAGTGTTCAAAGATATTTTAAAAAGAAGCAAAATCATGACTCTCATATAGATAGAAAATGAGCACATGTTAAAGATGTTATGTAACCCATTAATTAAGTGGAGAAACCAGGCAACTGGTTCAAAGGAGAAGTCATAGAAGTACAAATTTTTATGGACTAAGAAATGTTGATGTGAATGCTCATTTGGATGCAAAACTGGCTTCTGCATGGGCATGGGGTAGTGAGAGGATGAGGGAGTATTGTTCCTCCACCAGAAAAAATTTCACTTCAAAAAAATTTCAAAATACAAAGAAAGTAATTATTTTGATTGGCATCAGTTATTTTCCTACTTACAGAGTTAGAAAATAGCTCCCATAGAATAGAAATTAGATAACCATGAAGGGTGTATTGTGCTAGTCTAGATGTGACATAGTTTCATAGTTTTCCATTGGAGCACACATCTTCCTTCACTAGCACCCCAATATTGAACTGAACGTAGGCACCGCCAAGTTACACAGCAATCATATTCTTTTCTGATCTGGCTTTTTCTGTCTTTGCTCATAGAGGCTGTTTCTACTACCTCTTACTGCCAGGTCAGTAGTCCTAAGAACTCTGCATTCTAATCTGGGACATCTTGAGATCACACAATGAGGAGTGATCCTTGAATCTGTGTACAAATCCTATGAATTTAAGGTTAGCTCCTTCACAGCTCACTCTTTGGTCCTGGATGCAGAATGAAATTGGAGCAGCTCATCTAGTGCTCCCTCCCAGGGTCTGGCACTCTTAACTGAAACTTCCTGCAACATACACACACGCATGCACAGACACACACACACCACACACACAAATACCCTTCAGCTGCACTGCATTTTAAAAGCACCAAAAGTGTGCTGCTTTTAAAGTATGTCCAAAGACTTTCCCCTACCCCCTTACAAATGGACTACTGCCTTAGCTTTTTCAGTATTAAGCCCTTTGAGGCCCACTAGAATCTGTCCAGAAGCCCAAGAGGCCAGAGCATTTATGCCTGTGTAATCCAAGGACAGGCAGCAGCCAGCTGAGCAAAGCCCCCACTGGGGGACAGTAGCTTTGTTGAGGACAGGAAGGCCAGTGTCTGCTTGCTCACCAGCCCCCTCATGGCTAGCTTCTGAAGGCAACTGTGGGCCCCATGCATTTGTCGGGTCTGCCTTCAAAAAGATAGCTATTGGCCTGTGGATAAGGCCTTCATAAACAGCAGTAATCAGCAAGTTCAAAATACCACATAGCCCAAGGGATAGAGCCTCTGACCTAGACTGCAACAGTGCAAAGCCAACTGCACAGCTGTTCAGACTGACTGCATCAAACCACCAAAGTCACCAAGACAATAAAAAGGGTTGTCCATTAAGCATGTCATATCATCAGCTATGAGATATATTCCAATTAGAAAGCAGTAAAAATGAAAGAGAAAAATGTGAGTCTTAGAATCAATTAAGTATAGCAGTAATAGTAACAATAGCCAAAATGTGGGTGTAGTTACTATATGCCAGGCTCTGTTTAAACCTTTACTTGTATTGCCTCATTTAATTCTCACAACAGCTTTACGAAAGCAGGCATTATTCATAGAATCCCCATTTACAGAAAAAAATGGAAGTAGAGTGAGATTAGAAATTAGTCCAGGGCCACCTGGGTATTAGATAGTGGAGCCAGTCAGTCTGAGTATGAATATCTACATTACATTCTTGTAGCTCATTTGGAAAGTATAGAAATATAGAGAGAGGCAGGAGGAAAAGCCATTTGTCATCTTATCCCTGAAAGACAACATTAAAACTTTGACACTGTTCCTCCCAGTAATTAAAAAAAATTCTTTATTATTTTTATTTTTTATTTTTTGAGATAGAGTTTCCCTCTTGTTGCCCAAGCTGGAGTGCAATGGCGCGATCTCAGCTCACTGCAACCTCTACCTCCTGGATTCAAGTGACTCTGCCTCCTGAGCAGCTGGGACTACAAACATATTGCACCCCACCCAGCTAATATTTTTTTTTTTTTTTTTTTTTTTTTTTGTAGAGATGGGGTTTCACCATGTTGCTCAGGCTGGTCTCAAACTCCTGAGCTCAAGCGATCCTTCCACGTTGGCTTCCAAAAGTGTTGGGATTACAGACATAACCACCACACCCAGCCTTGATCTACTTTTTGTTGCAACCATTCTATACCCCAAAGGGGATGCACCATTCCTGGAGGTACTGTAATACCAGGTCAATGGGTGGAGTGGGGCAAGTTACTAGTCCATCTACTAGCTCCAAAAATCCATTCAATATATTATCCTCCGATAGAGGATGTATCAGATATTAAACTGATATAAACAGATACCACACTTGATCTTACCCAGGCCGAGAAGTGGTAAAAATAAATTTTCTATGAGGCTTTTAATAATCAATGTTTTTGAAGTGATTGTTTTTATAGGAACCAGATGGAACTATTAATAATTATCATCCCATCCAACACTCCAGAACAGCCCTACCATGGGTCCTTTGAACTCCAAGATTGTTGGGAATCCCAGCCAGTTCTTTCCTTGCTTTGTCCCTTTATGGGGTTAATCCAAGCCTTCCCATGGTTTGCAACATTTCCACATGCTGCTAAAGAAGGCCATGCAGTAGTAGTGATGTTTCTTGTGTGCCTGTCTTAGACCCTGAGCACTGTCACATGATCCCACTGAATTATTGCAGTAAATGATCCCAGACCCCTTGAGACACCATATGGCAAGCAACCAGATATCACAAAAGTATGACTTGTATTTCTGGGCAAGCAGCAGTCTCAGAGGACTAAGCTTTTCCTAGGCCTTGAAACCCTTGCAGCTGCCAGTAGCTGGATGAAATACGCATCTCCAGGTGGAAGAATGGTCATCAGCCCACCCCAGAGAGAGCCTGACACTTGAGAATACAAGTGGGGCTTAAAGCACGTGCAAAACAAAGTCGAAGACCTTGTCGGTACTAATGACATCAGCTTTTCACACACAGCAAACCCAGACAAATGGAATGCAGATAACTACATATTGCATGAACAAATTAAAAGAAATATGCTTTGATTTTTTTTCCCTTTAAATCCATACAGAAAGAAACAAGCGTGCAGGGTGCGGTGGCTCATGCTTATAATCCCAGCACTTTGGGAGGCCGAGGCAGGCAGCTCACATGAGGTCAGGAGTTTGAGACCAGCCTGAAAAATTAACTGGGTGTGGTGGTGCACACCTGTTGTCCCAGCTAATCAAGAGGCTGAGGCAGTAGGATCGCTTGAACCTGGGAGGCTGAGGTTGCAGTGAGCCAAGATCACGCCACTGCACTCCAGCCTGGGTGATGGAGTGAGACTCCATCTCAAAAAAGAAAGAGAAAGAGAGGTGTGGTGCCTTACACTGCCAGGGCCTCCAAAGACCTAATATATAATTGGGGATATATAATATAGAAATAAACTTGTGGCTGGTACAGATTTTCTCAAACTAGGTGGGGCAGGCTTGGCTGCATTCTCAAGGATTTGGTAATTTTGTGAGGAATTTTAAATGTTAATTTTTCATTTTAAAGATAGTACAAAAATAACTTCACCTGTTATAAAGATTATTTGCAGTGACAATTCATATTTGAAAAACTTTGCTTGTAGAATAAGACTTTTGTTCCATAAAGTAGTATTTTTCCCACTGAAGTAAGTAGACATAGTTTTGAGACTTCATGAAACTTTTTTGCCTTTACAAGGTTAATGTAGCTCCCAGATTTAAGAAACATTGGTCTGGGACATTTTTAAAAATTGAAAACTGTAAGACATAATTATAATTTGGTATTAGTCCCTCTTTATTTCAGTTTCTCAACCACAAAACTTTCTTCCAGCCTCTCCCTTAAATGAGATGTAAAGTCAGGTGAGATTAATGTGCACTACAGCTCCATAAGAGGAAAGATACAGGCTAAATGGAGGGCATGAATTGCTTTAAGCATAAATATAGTTACTGAGGAGAAGTGCAAATCACTACGGATCAGAAAAAAGGTGATTCTTACCTAGCAGCCTTGTGACAGTGAGGCTATGAAATACAGGCTCAGAGCCAGCTGGTTGGCTCCTCCGCAGTGGCAGAAATTCCCCAACTGTGACCATCATAGGAAGACTAGGCAGAAGCCACGTGGGGCTTCTATTTGGGCTAAATGAGCAAAGCAAAGACATATGGAGAGGATTGCAGCAAGGAGGAGCAGGTGACAGTGCAAGTAAAAGTACCTAGCACAGTGCTTCGCACAAACCAGGTGGTCTACACATGTTTATTCCTTCTGACTCTTTAGTTCAAGTAAATATTTAGTGGAAAAATTGAGAGATTTTAAAAAGAAAGAATTCAACAATTTGGTTTGACAGGACTGTTGTTTTGACTTATATCCCAGATAAGTTTTTGTATGAACTGATATCTCAGATATAGACCAAATGAACAGATTCACATCCAACAAGCCTATGTAGATATTTGCTGTAAGCCAGACACACGTTAGGTGACTTTGCAAAGGCAATCCCAGTCCTTCCCAAATCCTCCAATGTCCTATTAATTAACAGTCTCATCTCAAATACATAATAAATAAATAATGAACAGTCTTATCTCGTACGACTCTGGAAGTCCAAAGCCTAAAGTTCCTAGGAGGAAACTCCCATTTTCCAAGTGGTTTTCCGTTCAGTTCACTTTATGCCACACTGTGAACACGGCTCCTTCTCCATCATTCCCCAAAGCTTATATAGGGCTGTCGGGCCCCTAAAGTGAATTCTGCTGCTTCTCTAGAAAAATAGAAGCCTACTGCTACTGCCTCTGCTCCAAGATTCTTATCACATACTCCAAGAGTCTCTTTCCATTCCTTACTCTTACCTTTAATTCCTGACCCTAGACAAATTATCCTGCCTAGAAAAAGAGAAGCCACCTTAGGCCAGCCCCTGAGATTCCCTCAGAGTGAGCAATTCAAAAGGTCAAGGTTGAAGCTGAAATGTTGTTTGTGATCTGACCTCTGAAGTCACACGCCATCACTTCCACCATATTTCACAGCACATGCAGACCAGCTCTCCTTTCATTATGGGAGGATGCTGCACATGCGCAGGAATATCAGGAAGTAAAGATCATTGATGGCCTTCTTGGAGACTGGCTACCACT
This sequence comes from Homo sapiens, assembly GCF_000001405.40. NCBI lineage: Eukaryota > Metazoa > Chordata > Mammalia > Primates > Hominidae > Homo > Homo sapiens. The sequence continues at coordinate 115,777,253 of NC_000005.10, forward strand.
TTGCCACTGGCTTTGGGCAAGTCCCATAACCCCTCTGAACACCAAGTTCCTCATCTACGAAATAGAAATTAATAATAGTCTCTACCTCATTAGGTTGTTTGAAAATGAGAAAATACATGTTAATTCTTTTCACTTACCAGGAACTCAGTATACATTAACCGTAATCACAATAATTCTACCATCAATACTGTTGGATAATAACTAAAAGCTTTCCCACACTAAAACCATATATCTATCTGACCAGTCCACAGAGAAGTCCACATTGCTTAAGCCACGAAGTGGAGGCATGCACAAAGCCACTCACACCTTCACATCCTTTCCTTCATAGATTCACAGAACCTTACAGCTGCCCATCTCTTCTCTCTCCCTGCCCTATTGATCACACATTGCAACTCTCTATATTGAACAACTTACAGTCCCATGTTATTCCACATTTTTAGTCTTTGTACATGCACCTCCTTCTGCATGGAATGCTCTTTCTTTCCAGCTCTCTAATACCTCACCTAACTTCAACTCATCCTTCTTTACTCAATAAATATATTGATTTGTTTTCCTAAGTATTTTCTTTCTCTTTTTCCTTTTCTTTCCTTTTTTCCTCTCTCTTTCCCCTGTATATGTATTTAGCCCTCCTTTTTCCCCGTATTTTCTTTCATCTACTCAAAAAATTCCTACCAAGTGTCAACCATGTGCCAGGAAAAAACTAGCAAGACAAAAGCCCTGTCCTCCTGGAATATCTAGTTTACTGAGACAATTAGTACCCTCTCTCCAAAGGAAATACATACATACATAAGACGTCAGGTCATGATGAGTGCAGTGAAGAAATATTAAACTGGGGAAATAGAGAAAATGTTGTAGAACTGCAGACCAATTTTAGAGTAAATTTAAATAAATTTTAAATAGATTTAGCTTCCTATAGACTATGAACACCTCAGGGTCAGATATTAGATCATTTACCTCTATTTCTCCAGTGATTAACAATGTGTCTGGAGCTAAGAATATGTTTAATAAATATTTGTTGAATAAAATAAAGAAATAAATATATGTATGTATGAATAAATGAATAAATGTTAGATTCCAATATAAACCCTATATGAAAAAAACTGAGGCCCAGAAAAAGTTGATTTACTCAAGAAAGCTTACTTCAAGGACAATGCTGTTTTTACTGTGTCATATTACACATGCCTAAAACATCTTTGTTTTAATAATACCCTATCTGCTCCTTTTTTACTGTTGTCTAGACTTGGCTACTTGAATGAAATTCTAAAGAGCTTGTTTTTCTAGCTTTTTACTTAATCTTCATGGAAACCATCACTGTTTACTCTAGAATAGATAAAGGGCTTCACCAAAGTCTCAACAGTATATTAGCTCACTTGGTCAACCAGTTGTTTGGTCATAAACCACAAGGATTCAGAATGTGCAGCTGATCAGGAACCAGAAAAGAGTTCCCACTAAAATCCCTTAGGATTCGATTCTTTTAGAGAAGAAAAACAAATCTAGGACCATAATCCTCAAACTTTTGGACTCAGGACAACTTTACCCTCTTAAAAATTATGGAACATCCCAAAGAGCTTTTGTTTTTGTGGATTATATCTATTGATATTCACTGTAATGGAAACTAAAATTATGTAATTTCTAAAAATATTTACTTATTTTAAAATAATAACAGATTCATTAAATGTTAACATCTTTTAATGAAAAATAGCTATATTTTCTAGAATAAAAAAGGTAATGAGTGAAATGGCTTTTTTACACTTCTGAGAATCTCTTCAATGTATGCTTAATAGAAGAAAGCTGGATCCTCCTATCTACTTCTGCATTTTTTTTGTTATGATAGCATTTGTCATTTAGCCTCTGGAAAATTCCACTGCACATTCATGAGAGAATGAATAGAAAAAGTCAAATAACATTTCAGTATTATTACAAAAGCAGTTTTGATCTTGTGGACTCTATGAAAAGGACTTGTGGTGGGGGAGGTCCCTAAGCATCCCCTTGTCCATACTTTCAGAAGTGCTGGTTTTGAGAGTCATAAATTTGTATTTAAAAAAACAAAAAGAAAATAAAATTAAACTATGTTTCAGGTTTTTATTCTAAACGTGTATCTATTTTTATACTCCTATAGGAGTCGTTCTCAACTTTTAGTGTGCTTAAGAATCATTTAGGAGGCATAGTTAAAATGCTGATTTGGCTTCTACCCCCAAAGTTGCTGATTCCTTAAGTTTGGGCTAGGACCTAGGAGGGTGCACTTTTTAACAAGTTCTCACTCCAGGGCTCTATCCCCCGGATAATAATAATCCATGCCGCATTATTTGAGAAAAACCATTCCAAAGCAAAAAATATCATGGATAGTTTACAAAACTAAAGCATTTCAGTAAGATGAAATTTTAAATTTTGAAGTAAAAGTATCTGACTTAAAACAGAGAAAGAGATCAAGAAAAGAGAAACCCATTTCTTGTGATACACGCAGGTCCACTCTATGGTTATTGCACCAAGATCGTGTGTTATTGCTAGCATAAGGAATTTTCCTGTCCTCCAGATTTCCCTTTAGCCAAAGGTCCCTTAAGTCATCCAAACACAGTTCTTCATTCTACTACTAATATATTTACTTTCTGGCCTTAAAAAAAAAAACTTCTAGAAGTAGCTAAAGATATCATTAAAACGTATAAAAGAAAAACACATTAAGATAGTTGTTCTTTGCCTAAACACAATGACGGTGATTAAATTCACCATTTCATTCATTCATTTATCAAATAGCCACAAAGCTTGTAGGCTAGGTCCTGGAAATATCAATATGTTTACCCTATAGGCTGTCCCATTTCTGTTAAAGGCAAAACCATCCACCTAGCTGTTCAAGCTGGAAACCCATGAGTCACTCTTAATATCTTCCTTTTCTTTATACGCTCCGTTTCTCATCTATGTACTAGTGCTGAACTCCAAAATATACCTCAAACTTGTTGACCTGTTTCTGTCTCTACCACCTTCACTTTAGTTAAGCCACTATCATCTTATGCCTGGACTCCTGCAATTGTTCCTAACTGTTCATTCATTCATTCATTCATTCATTCAATATTGATGAGGACCTACCAAGTACCATGAACTTTTCAACACTCTAAAGACAGAGCAGAGAAACAAAACAGGCAAAATCCCTGCTTAATGGAACTTTCATTTTGGTGGATGGGAGACAGACAAAAAACGAATTATACAAATAAATGTGGATATGTCAAGTAGATAATTAGGTATAGAGTTGGGTGTTCAAGGGAGAGATCAGGACATATTTTAGTATTCTGGAAGTTCCAAGAACATGTCAAGCACTCATTTGCATATATTATTCCCTCTACATGGGACCCCCTTATCTTTATATTTTTTTAGAAGTTGGTGCCTTCCCACATCTTAGCCTACATGTCATCTACCTAGAGAGGACCTTGGCCACCCAATCTAAATTAAGTCCCTTCCTATAATATCCTCTCAATAACACCTGTTTATTTTCCTTCTTAGCCCATACCACAACTTGCAAAGTACTTGTCTATTTATTGCTCTCTCAATATTAAGCTGTAAATTCTATCTTTATTGTGTTTATCATTGAATATTTAGTGCCCATCACATAGTGAACAGATGTTTTGGTTAGGATTCTACCAGAGAACAGAGCTAGCAGGAGATTTTATGTATATATGTAAACACACACACACACACACACACACACACACACACACGTATGGAGAGAAAGAGAGATTTACTGCACCAACTACAAAAGGATCTTTTTTTCCTTTTAATTCTTTTTTTTTTTTTTCCTTTTTTGAGACATAGTCTCAGTCTGTCACCCAGGCTGGAGTGCAGTGACGTGACTTTGGCTCACTGCAGCCTTGAACTCCTAGGCTCAAGAGATCCTCCCTCCTCAGCCTCCCAAGTAGCTGGGACTACAGGCGCATGCCACCACACCCGGCTAATTTTTGTCTTTTTTGTAGAGACCAGGTTTTGCAGTTTTTGCCATGTTTCCCAGGCTGATCTTGAACTCCTGGGCTCAAGGGATCCCCCCACCTTGGCCTCCCAAAGTGGTTACAGGCATGAGCCATCACACCCAGCCGGCTTTTGGTTTGTTATTTTTAGCATCACCTGAGTGATATGCTTAGTTTGTTATTTTCAGTCTTTCTTCTATATCCTTCCCTTCATGCCCTGCAATATCTGGAAAAATTTATGGGTAGAGGACATAAGCAGAAAGAGTGTAATCTTACTCACAGGTGATCATAAACAGCTTGGAATGCAGAGGAGGACATTCTGGAAAATATTTCTCCTCATTGAGTTGCTTTTTAGTCCATACAGAATCCTCCCCATGAGTCTCCACTTCTCTTGATCTCCCTTAATCCTTCCATCTCTAAGACTTCCATATCCTGAAAGTTTGCAGGACATTCTACAAGGAGCCAAAGCACTTAGCATTTGCCCAAGCTCAGCAACTCCTATTAGCCCCTCAAAGCCAAGGCTTGTAAAACCTCTTTGCTCTAGACCAAGCTTGCTCAACCCAAGGCCCACAGCCCACATGTAGCACAGGAGGGCTTTGAATGTGGCCCAACACAAATTTGTAAGCTTTCTTAACATATTACGAGATTTTTTTTGCAATTTGTTTTAAGCTTATCAGCTATGTTTAGTGTTAGTGTATTTCCTGTGTGGCTCAAGACAATTCTTCTTCCAATGTGGCCCAGGGAAGCCAGAAGATGGGACACCCCTGCTTGAGACCCACACATTCTTCATGCCTAAAAGGTAAACATGCCACTCTTTCTCACTTATATAACCCATCTTTCACAACTTCATAGTATCATTACCGTGCAATATTTTTCAAAAAAGACTCTCCACAATAATGAGGAAGAGGCAGATTGAAGAGAATCAGAGACTGCTGTCTCGTCACACTATTTCTGACACAGTTTTCATAATTTTTTCTCAGGAGTCTAATCTCACAAGTTTGATAACATGTGCTTACATTAGCATTGATTTTTATCCAGTTGCAAATATTTGTTTTTATTTCTACTTTAACCCAAGATTACTTAGAAAGGTTTTTTTTTGATTTTTTAACTTTCAAGTATACTGTTTCTTTGTTTTTAATTTTGACTATCGTTTTTTGTTAATTTCTGTTCCTATTACATTGTGGTTAGAAAATGAGATTTCCCTTTGAGGCTTAATGCATGTTAAATTTTTATAAATATCCCACATGTATTTGAAAAGAATGCAAATTACTTGTGGTCAAGCTTACAACTGGGTTATTCAAATCTTTTATAGCTTTACTAATTTTTCTCTCTCTGATCCAAGAAAAGAGCATTAAAATATGTTACCACTGTGGATTTGTCAAATCCTCTGTTTTCTATCCATTTTTCCTTTATGTATTATGAAGTTACATTGTTTTATAATTTTGGGGGATTATATCTTTCACCAATATGAAATATTTCTTTTGTCCCATTGAATGATCCTGTCCATTAGCAATTAATACTAAATGGTTTGTTCATATGTTTAGTATTTTCTTGTACTTTTTTTTCTCTTTTTTTTTCTTTATATTTCTTACAAAAGAGCAGGTAGCTGGATTTTTCTCTTTTTTCCTACTCAGCATCTCTGTCTTTTAATGGGGAAATATAACCAATTTATATAATTGTCAATCTGATATGGTTTTCTTATTCTTGCTTCATTTTTACTATTTTATTTTTATCATTTTCTTGTTTTTTCCTCTCTTTTCTTTTGTTGTGTTATTTTTTTTTTTTTGCCCACTCTTTTCTTATTTATTTGAAAGTTACAAGTCCTACATCCATTTTTTTTTTGGTTACCCTAAAAGTTGCAATTCACCTAAAAAATTCTGTTTAACTATCTGTGTCTAGATATAATCTGTATTTTTTTGTCGAGCTACACAGAACAAACATTTTAGCATGTTTTCACTTACTTCTGAATCCTTCATATTTATCATCTAGTTGAAATGGTCTTTGATTTTATTTCCAGATTGATATTAGTTTTTTTTTACATTATGCATGAGTGATTATTTAGACATAACTATATGCTTTAGCAATTTCTTAGCTAATTATTGCTTCTGTAAGCTAAATATTTTCTCTCTTAGATTCATTTTCTGTCTTACTGGATTATATTCTTGAGTAATACTTTCAGAAAAAAAAATCTGTGGGTGGCAAAGCTTTGAATACCTGCATGACTAAAGATGTTTTAATTGTACTTAAATAATTGAATTTGTGCTCATCTAGCTTTTCAAAAAATTTTAGTCTCAAAATTGTCTTCCAGGATTTCAAAGATATTACTCCATTATCTTCTCACATTCAGAGCTAATGATGAGAAACCCAAAGTTAATCTGATTTTTGTTTGTTTGAAGGTTTCATGATTTTTTTCTTACTGGATGCTTTTAGGATTTTCTCTTTATCCATGGATAGTGAAATACAATTTGAATGTGTCTCATGGGTGCTTTTCAAAAATCCTACCCATTAAGGCCCTTTGGGGCCCTTATCCATTGGGGCCTTTCTTTGAAATACTCTTGTCTTTCTTTAGATGTGGGAAATCTGTCTTCCTTTTTCTTCCTCCCTTCCTGCCTCTCTTCCTTTCTCCCTCCCTTTTTTCCTTCCTTCCTTTCTCTCTTTTTCTTTCTTTCTTTTCTTCTTTCCATTACCTCTGATCTCTCTCACTCCCTCGTTCCTTCCCTCCCTTTCTTCTCCCTCCCTTCCCCTCCTCAGAGGAGAATTTCTGGATTGTGTTAGATTATGAGAAAATTCTTCACCTAGATCTTCTAATTAATGTTTACATCTGTCCATTCTTATATTAGGGTTATTTACTGAGTTTTGCAGTTTCTGCGATCAAAAAATAAAGACCAAAAAACCCAAAATTATATAACATTTTTTCTAATTGCCTATCTTGTTGCCTATGAATATGCAATGTCCCTCTTCTATCACACTGAGGGTATTAATTACAACTATTTTGGAGTCTTTTCTGTTTGTTCTATTTACCCTGTTTGAGTTTGCTTGTTTGTTGAGCTTGGTGCCTCACTTTCCCAGTGTTCCTCAAATGTTTGGTGATTGGTAGTTGTGTTCTTATCTTTGTACCTGTGGTTCTGTATATACAGGTCTGTGGATTCCACTGCAGTTGACTACAGCTTGCCTCCAGGGACATAAACAGATAAAAGATGTATAACTTCCTATGTGGGGTGGGATGGGACTTGTGGCCAAGAAGAGGTGTTCCAACCATTGCCTTCTGGGTGAGAGGTTTTCCCACCCACCTTGGAAGCTGACAGCCATGTGGTAGCACTGCTTTGTCATTTTATCCCCAGGCCCCATCTAGGGTGTCAAACAGCTGCAGCCCACTGCTTTGTGCACCCAAGAGAAAGGGGATGGGCTGATTTGTCCAGAACGTTTATCAGTATTATAACTATATTTGATCTCCATTAGGAGACCTGTGAGAGATTTCTTAAAGCCCCCTTAAAAATACTTTTGCTTTATGATTTGCAAATTGCATTAAGCCACGTCTAAAGAAATATGAAATTTTCAACTTGTTGTTTAAAAAAGGCAAAACTAGCCCTTAACTACATTCCTGGTAATGTTAATTGATCTCACAGAGGGAAGGTGGAATTATGCCTTTGAATAAAGCAAAACAGGTAAGCAAATGCAAAAGGGTTATATGCTAAGTCAGACCTTATTTTAAGAATTTTTAGTGGGAAATTATTACCATCATCGGCAACACAATGAGTAAAAGAAAAACTAAGTGCCCCTTAACAGAATAGATCTTCAAGATTTCTATGTAATTTGAGGAGAATAAATGAGAGACAGAAAAAAGGAATAAGCTCAATTTAATTTGATGTTTTTAGAGAAACCAAGGTCGTTCAAATGATATTTTTTTAAAAACTATACAAAGAAAATCTTATTACTGTTACATAAAACGTTTAATGTTTGTGACAACTAGAATATTGTGTTTGGGTAGGGTTGCCAGGCATTATTTGCATACAGGGCATATCCAGTGTCCTGTATTGACTTTGTCAGAACACATTAAATGCCCTGTATTTGGCTTTTCCCCCCAATAAATTAGAAAAATTCAGCAGCTAGAGCTATTTTTCTGCACCCATAATTAGTACTTAAATTACTTAAATAGCAACACCAGCTAGAAATCATTCTTTTGGAAATAAACATCTGGACAATCCCTCATTGTCTCTCCTGCAGATTTGGCTAAGAGAAGACCAAAAGAGGAAACTGAGAATTAAAAGTACTTATTTTTCATATTTAAGAAAGTAAAAGACTATTTTTTTGGCCACATTTCCGAGTTGTAAATGAGTAAGCATTGTTCATTCCCAGACGACTTTGTATCGACACACAGGCTCTGAAAATCAGCCAAACAGCCATTGCTTCACTCCTATGGCCATGCTTCTCATCATCAATCAGTCAGAAAACAGCCTCCCTACAAGCTTCTGAAATGGAGAAAATCCATAAGAGCCCAAAGCGTCTGAGAGCTAATCAGTCTCAGTAATCTGAGATGCCCCACACTCACAGATAACAGCCAATCGGCAAGGGTCTCCCTCCAGTACCCTTGCTCCAGAGTCAGCCAGTCAACAGCAGCCTTCCTCCAGTGACCACAGTAAGGTAGCTGAAAATCCTTCAGTCTCTAGGCACTTCACTTCTGAAAGCCCGGCAGTCTCTGAATGTCAGGATTCTGAAAACCTACATAAGATCAACTCTGGCTTTGCTCCAGCAGACTATCTTACAAGCACAGTTCTTACTGTGTCTTGTAAGTTATCTTCAAGCTCTTTGGGTAATGAAGTTGTTCATTCAGCATAAAAAAAAAGTCAGCTATAGGCCAGATGTGGCTCATGCCTGTAATCCCAGCATTTTGGGAGGCAAAAGCAGTAGGAACTCTTGAACTAGGAATTTGAGACCAGCCTGGGCAACAGAAACTGTAATGGCTTTCCCTGGTGTATGTCATCATCAATCTTAAAGCTCAAATGACTATCTGAAGGTACTGCTACCAGAGCATTTTTCGATTCCAAAACTGCAAGCAAATATTTAAGTGCCAGGACAAAATCTACAGCAATAATAAAAAATATAATAGCTGCATTTACTCTACAGATTATCAAAGATCTAATGTCTCACCTTTTGTGGCATAGCCAAGTGTGAATAAAATAATCACGATCAGAAAAAAATTTCTTATTTCTTGTGCAGCATTTTTCCTGTAAAAAAGGATTGTTTATAAGACTATTGTGAGTAAAATCTTCCAGAGGAGACTTCAGGCACATTGGAAAATTTTAGTGGACTTTATTAGTGAACTAGGAATTCATGAGATAAATTGTATAGCTTTTGGTGGGGACCATGTAAATGTATGCATACAGGTACAGAAAATGTGTAGTCAAAGTTGAAGCAAAGCATGAATGATTGTATAGAAGATGTTGACTGTCCTGCCTGTATTCTGCATAATGCTGTTCAAATAGCATATGATGTTCCTTCTACTGATATTGTCACAAAATTGTTATGAAATTCTTCTCTTACTTCAGCATTTATGCAGCATGTCCTCAAATAACATCGTTTTGTTCAACATCATTCCCTTGTAACGTTGATGAAAAAAGTTGTCTAAATTGTCACAGTAGGAGTGTGTGTGAGAGCACCCTGCAGTGAGTTGGCATCCTGGCCAGCGTGGGTTCCCACCTATGCCCTGAGCTGCTGGGATAGGCTCCGGCCACCCTTGACTCTAAACTGGAACAATTGGGTAAATAATTATCTTGTTTGTATTAATCTTTCCCAATAGTATGTATAGCTCACATTTATTTCAATGTTTAGTATTAGAAGTGTTTTGGGTCTTTATGCAGAACTTTGATGATGTTTTTGTGACCAGAAACATGCCATAGAAACTTTACTCTTGTTTACACCAATCAGCCTATGGTGAATTAGTTTCATTATATGCAATTCCACTTAGTCACAGTTTCTAAGAACCTATGGAGGACCTAAAGTGAGGACTTACTATACTTATAAGCAGCGTTTTTCCATTCTATCAGATTCAAAACTTATTGGTCTCTTTAACGAATGTATTTGGGAGAATCCTCATATGAAATCATACTTTAATTCTGAAGGAAAGACCCCCCCCCAAATTCTTGTTGAGTACTTAAAAAGTTTATTAAGTAAAGGCTACTTATTTCTTTTTCATATTTTGCAATTACTTTAGCAAGAGGATTATGCAAATTAAAAGAAGAACATTTTTGAAGTAGTTGTTTAAGGAAATTATTAAATGCCTTAGAGAATGACTTGAAAAATTTATTCCTTTAATTATCAAAGTTGTTTTAATTTTATTTTGTTTTTATTTATTTACTTTTCTTGAGACATGGCCTTGCTCCGTCACCCAGGCTACAGTGCAGTGGTGCAATCACAGCTCACTGCAACCTCTGCCTCCTGGGAGCTCAAGCCATCTGCCTGCCTCAGCCTCCTAAGTAGCTACAAAACTTGTTTTTAAAAGTGGCAACATTACTTTGAACAAGAAAAGAAATTCCAACTTGGATTAATTCATTATTATGGCACTTATTATAACTATGTTTTGAAATTGATACCATCCCTTGAAGAATTTGATTCTTTTATAGAGATATTATTAAATACACTTTCGACATGGAAACAAGAGGAATCATCATATGTATTGTTGAAGAGGAAGGGAATAAAAATTCATAGCAATGCTCTTTTTTGACATTGGACAACATTTTAAAAGTCATTGATCAAGATGCAATATAATCCTTAAGAATAGAAAAGCAAGTTATGTCACCAAAGATGGTATGTTCTTCAACAAATTAAATTCCAAGAGTACTTACTGGGATTTTAATTTTAGGCCAGTACATGCCTAGAATACCAGCTCGTAATGAGCATGTTTTGTCATTGGTAAATGTTAAATGCACAAAAGAATAAAACTAGTTGGATGGGACCACTGTAGATGACGTGTTAAAATGGAAATGGAGTATAGATTATAACCACAAGGAGTTTTATAAGTAAATTCTGGAAAACAAAGAGCTGTTAAGGAGAGCCATTAGGGTGATAAAATTTTAAAAATGGATATGTAATTTTGATGGTTATTATTTATTTCAGATAAACAAGAAATACTTTTTATAGTAAAGTATGTCTTATGTAATATTTTTCATTTCTCTAAATGTATATATATAGGCAACTAGAAGTAAAACTTAACTGGGCATTCTGTTTTATTATTTGCTAACCTGCAACTGTATATTTAGCTCAAATTTAAGTTTTAGTAGAGATTGATTTTTATGTGTTTTATATATATAGCCATATATATACAGTTTATAATAAATTGGGGCACTTTATATATAATTTTGCCTGTTGTATAAGACTTAGTAATATTGCTTGCCTTTTATTGGTTATACAGGCTTAGCTATTTTAATCTTTGTTCTTACGCAATATCATTAGCAATATTATTCTTTTTTTCAGAATAGCATAGTTTTTAGCAGCTTTATTGAGAGAGAAACATACCATATAACCCACTTACTTGAAGTGTACAACTCAATGGTTTTTATTATATTCATATAGATGCAACCATGGCCACAGTCAATTTCAGAACATTTTCACCATCTCAAAAAAAAACCTGTGCCCTTTTGCTATTTGGTTTTGTCCCCCATCCTTTATACTCCAGACCCCCATTGTTTACCCAATGCCTGTGCCACCATTGTATCTTGGATGTAAATAACTGCTTTTGATCTTACAGACTCATAAGTAGAAGAAACCTGCCTTGAGTCTCAAATGAGACTTTGGACCTTGCACTTTTGAGTGATGCTGGAGTGAAGACTTTTGGTGACCATTAGGAAGGGATAATTATATTTTGCAGTGTGAGAAAAGCATGAGATTTGGGGGCCTGGGGGTCAAATGATATGGTTGGGATGTTTGTCCCCTCTAAATCTCATATTGAAATGTGACCTCTAATGTTGGAGGTGGGTCTAATGGGAGGAGTTTGGGTTATGAGGGCGGATCCCTCATGAACAGCTCAGTGTTGTCCTCATGACGATGAATGAGTTTTCACTCTGAGTTAATGTGAGAGCTGGTTGTTTAAGAATGCAGTACCCCCACCCCCTTGCTCCCTCTCTCGCCATGTGACATGGCTGCTCCACCTTCGCCTTCTGCCGTGAGTGAAAACTTCCTGAGGCCCTCACCAGACGCAGATACTGGCATCATGCTTCCTGTACAGCCTGCAGAATCATGAGTCAAAATAAACCTCTTTTCTTTATAAATTACCCAGTCTCAGGTATTCCTTTAGAGCAATGTAAACAGACGAATACACCCATCTTTATGCACTGCTAATGTACTTTCTATGTTTATAGATTTGCTGATTCCAGACATTTTGTATAACTAGAACCATATAACATGGTCTCCTGTGACTGGATTCTTTCACATTTAGCATAATGTTTTCAAAGTAATCTGTGCTATAGCAAGTTTCTTTTTGAGACAAGGTCTCACTTGGTTGCTCAGGCTGGAGTGCAGTGATGTGATCATAGCTCATTGCAGCCTTGAACTCCTGGGCTCAAACAATCCTCTTACCTTAGCCTCATGAGTAACTAGGACTACAGGTGTGCATCACCACACTCAACTAATTAAAAAAAATTTTGTAGAGATGAGGTCTTGCTGTGTTGCCCAGTTATAGCCAAGTGTTAGTACTTCATTCTTTTTTATGGCCAAATAATATTCCATTGTATCGATGTATCACATTTCGTTTATCCATTTACAGCTGATGGACTTTTGGGTTGTTGCTATTTGGGTTGTTACTTACGGTTGAAATCGCTGGGTCATATGGTAAGTCTATGTTTAATCATTTGAGATACTACCAGCCATTTTCCGAAGTGACTGCACTGTTTTTCATTCCCACCACAGTGTGTGAAGGTTCCAATTTCTCCAAAACCTCATCAGCACTTGTTATCTGACTTTTATATTCTAGCCATCCTAGTGGGTGTAAAGTGGTGTCTCATTGTGGTAACAAGAATAGACAGAATTGTGTTAGCTTCTACTATGGTAATTGCTGTGGAGACAAAAGACAACTTTAACTAAAATAATAATAAACAAATAAATAAGCACCCACTCAAGAGGATTCTTTTAAAGCAAAAAAGGACTTTCTGTGACTATGAAGCATTGTTTTTAAGTTAAATAATCCAGTAAAAAATGGAAAGAGAGGAAAGAAGCAGTTGAGAATCCAATCAATGGTGTGCTAATCAAGTGGAAGAAATATTTCAAAAGAAAGAACAAAACTTCTGATCTATGTAAAGACGGAAGTCACCACCTTGAAAAGGTTTGCTAAATTTCAAGCAGGATTAGAAAAATAAGTCATATGTCAATATCTAGATGCAGCCTAGTAAATTTCTGAATGAAAGGATAAAGAGAAAATCTTACATGCTTCCAGACAAAAGACAAAATCTCAGATTGGCATCAGACTACTCAAATGCAGTGATGGAAGCCAGAGGATGGTGGAATAGTATCTACAGGATGTCAAATGAAAGGAGCACAGTCTAAGAAGCCTACTCTCAGCCAAGATGCCATTAGCCTCTCAGAATAAAAAGCAACCTATGGGTGAATATACTATGAGTTAGATAATATATTCCCACACATATCTTAGCTGAGGCAAACGCTAAGAAAGGAGACCTCAAGCTCAGGGAAGCTCAAAAGAAGATGCGAGAGTGATGCACAATTATATTGTTGTTTAAATATAAATAAATAGTGCTACAGAGATAAGGACTTTTTTATGTCAATGCCAAATAAACTCTTAAAATTGAAGACATATGAGAGAAAAATCTAATAGTAGTGTAGAACTAAAAATACCAAAGGATCTCAGCAAATAGGAATTGGAGAAAGGTGGGAGGTAAGGGAAGCTTAGCATTCAAAAGCTCTTATTTAGTGACTGAAGAAGCAAAAACATGATAAGAATGAGCAGAGGGCAATAGGACCCTTTGGTATCTTGTTTTTATTCAATAGTAGAAAATATTTATTAGGACTATGAGAAATTAGAAAATGACCTCCAGTGGGATGGAAAAGTGAGAACTTCTAAAATAAGAGTCACTAGCCCGGGGAATTTGGGAAGAACCTCTGGAAGTTTAATGCCTAAGGGCTGAGTTTCCTGACTCTTAGCATCTGAATTTCACAGACTGAAATCAGGATGCTTTACTGGTCTCCTGATCAAATTTGTGAGAAAAAACCTGCTAGAGAGGCAAAGCAGCAGAATGCACGGAGCACAAACTTTGGAATCAGATAGAACTTGGTCCCAATCAGAAATCTGTCACTTTGCCACTTGCTCTGAGTCTTTGATTGTCCTTGTCTGCAAAATGCGGATAAAAGCAGCTCCCTCACAGATTGTTGAGAAGATCAAGTAAAATAATATGTGAATATGCAGTGCAGTGCCTAGCACAAGTAGCTGTGCTACAATAGTCATTTTTATTTTATTATTACTCTAATGATGTATTTATTATTATTTATTATTTCTTACCCTAGCCTGTTCAGATACTCTGAGGCCCAGAGGACCAGGTCGGGCTCAGCTGGTGAGTCAGAGGCTTTTATTTCAGCATCCTGACCACTGTATTAGTTCTTCCCTATGTGACTTTGCTGTGCAATTTCAAAGCCACTCTCTCATGCTGAGATGACCCAGGATCATTCTAAAATCTCACCTCCCACCTAGACTGGCTATTTGGACCATTGTTTATTTGAATCATTGAAATATCCTTAAATAAATTTGTTCATTGATTTCTTTACATTTTGTGGGGTGAAGACAGGGTGAAAGAGGCAAAAAGAGGTAATTTCATGGCTATTCTGAAAGAAAGAGGTGAAAATTATTTTGTTAAGTAACAGACTTCTGATTCCAAGCATTTTGGATTTTGAAGTTAAAAGAAATGAGGTTGAGTTTGACTTTCCCAGACTAAAATTGATACCTATACATTAAAAACAATTTTTTTGCCAGTTGGGTCTACGTCAGTTTCCTGCCGTTATCTGATACGGGTACGGAAAGATGCATCAGACTCAGACATAGTTAACAGCTCAGATTAACTGCGTCTATCTTAAAAAATTGTAGATGGAAAGAATTGGATGTTCTTGCAGACAAGAGCTGAATTAACATATGCAGGTATATTTGTATCTTGGAGAAAGATAAAGTATAACAAAATAAGGAGAACTAGATTTTCATGAAGCATTAAAACTACATTTAATGATTTGCATGGAGATTCTTCTTTCTGAAAGAAAAAAAATATGACAATTCCTCCACAATGTTCCTAAGAAGACTGCTGCATTTGCTTCATAACAATCTATTTATCCAAGCATATTAGTGATTCTGTATTTTGTTATCTGAGACATTCACACAGAATATTCTGTCCCTATAAAGCATCCTGGATCCTGTCATTGCCTGCATTTATTTTTCTTGCCCCTTCTCACTCACATGTCCCTTCTGGTCATATGCTGTGGGTAACAACACAATTGAGTTTGATAACAGAATTAGTATAAATCAGACCAGTTCATAAATTCTATTTCCCTATGACACTGCCCAACATCAAACTTCACTTTATCTTCCCAAGATGTGTTCCTTCCTGACTTATCTGGGTCAAATGTATAAGATTCCTTCTCCTTGGAGCCTGGTGGGGATTTCACAGTAATCTTTGATCACTTTCTCTCTTCAGCCAATCCACAATCAGATCCTGTGAATCCTGCCTCTGCAATGGCTCCTCTGTCCCCTTGTTTTCTGTCCATTTCCACTGCTAACTCCTAGTCCAGATCTTCCTGTCAAAGCTCCTGCAGGGACCTCTGAAATGACTTTCATGTCTTCAGTTCTCTCCTTCCAACAAACTTACACAAAGAACCAGGTAAAATTTCCTAATGCTCAGCTCTGATCACATCACTATTATGTCTGGATCTCTCTTTATTGTTTACAGAATGAAACCCAAAGTCTTCAGCCTTTGCCCACTGCTTTTCCACTCAGCCTTCCACTCCCACTATGCCCTCTAGTCAAATTGGATTCACAACTTTCCAAACTAGTAAAGCCTTCTTAAATGAATGAGACACAGAAGTATGTGAGCCTTGGCCACCTTAAGACTTTCCATCTCCCTACAATACCCTGTCCTTCAGGTCTACATGTAAAGATCCAACCCATCCTTTAGGCAGAAAAGCTCCCCATTCTCAGGTCCCATAGTCCTCAGTTCATATCTCTTTCATGACATTTATCATTATTCTTTTTGGTTTGGTACTTATCGTGTGTGTGTGTGTGTGTGTGTGTGTGTGTGTGTGTGTGTGTGTTATACTCCTTTTCAGGATGGAGGCTTGTTCTTTTTAGATTTGCTACAACTCCTTGCACAAGGTCTAGCACCTCAGAGGGACTAACAGATGTCTGTGGAATAAATACATTGTTTTATTTATTGAATTGATTTCACCCAAAGCACACTTTCTACAAGTTATTTAACCCCAAAGCTTAGTTTGCTAATAGAGTTCTCTGACATTTAGGCAAATTTTATTGTATTATGGATAAAAACATTTTAATTATATATCAGCAAGTTATATATATATATGTGTGTGTGCATATATATATATATATATATATATATATATATATATGAGCTGTAGGTATTTATTTTTCTGTTGGTGACAATCTGACAGCCAACTTAGGGGCTGCCTGTGATAATAATACATGTCCTATTGGCCAAGAAGTGATTAAGATGGCTGTGGGGACAAGTTAGACCAGGGTCAGATAAATGTTTTTGGCTGCTAGGCTGTGTTTTCTAGAGAAGGAATTTGACAAGGGGGACAGAGTGCTTCCCAGCATAGGATGATGCTGGCAATCTGGGGCAGGTACCATATGTGTCTTCTGATATGTCCAGAGATAGCAGATGTTTCTTTGTACTGCACTTTCCTTATTTATACACATGAAAGAGTGTCCCCTGATTCTTAAATTAATGGGAGTCATGAATCCTTTCAGTACCTCAACCTCTGGCCAAAGGAGGAACTTTGTCTGCTCCCACCAAGAAGCAGGTGCCTCACCCTTTCCTGTTAACAGGTGACTACTGTGCCTGCACATAACCACCACTGCCCAATCTAGGAGGATGTCTCTCTCCCTTATTTGCTGATTGTGGCTGCCCAGCCCAAGGGGTTTCCTGCTAGGGTGATAACACATTGTTCTTGAACAGAGAGAAATAACTTAGAGGGATCATCTTGTCCTAAGATGTTGTGTTGCCTCTCAGAGTGGAAATCTACCTTGTAAATACTCTCTTTGTTCTCTGAACAGTCTGTTGTCTCTGTCCACACCACAACTATGAAGTTATTTATCAGGAACATCAGTGTTAATGGGGGTGAAATGGTGGGGAAGTGGTTACTCTGGTGGAGACTGAGAAAAAAACAGATGGAGCACTTTCCTTCTCTGGCAATTAGGCTTAAATGATTCTTGAGTGGATTCCCCAGTAGCATTGATTGTCACAATGCCCACGTTAACCACTCATGCTCCTGGCTCTCAATACAACACACTTCCCAGAAGGGAATCTTTCCTCCCCAGACTAATAAAATTGGCTACCACAGATTAAGTGTAAGAAACCACTAGGGGATTGTCTAAAAATGCAGTTTCCTGGACTCACCTCCAGAGAGTCCAAGTCTGTGGGTCTAGGATGATCCCTCTAAGTTATTTCTCTCTGTTCAAGAACAATGTGTTATCACCCTAGCAGGAAACCCCTTGGGCTGGGCAGCCACAATCAGCAAATAAGGGAGAGAGACATCCTCCTAGATTGGGCAGTGGTGGTTATGTGCAGGCACAGTAGTCACCTGTTAACAGGAAAGGGTGAGGCACCTGCTTCTTGGTGGGAGCAGACAAAGTTCCTCCTTTGGCCAGAGGTTGAGGTACTGAAAGGATTCATGACTCCCATTAATTAAGATTAAGTGAATGGTGGAGTGGAAAAATCCCACAAAAAAGACATGTGCCAGAGTTTCTGAAATTAGAGACAGCAGAGATCAAAGGGATTCTTTAAAGACCTCTTTAAATCCTGTGGATTAAAAAAAAGAAGTAATTAGGCAGGCAAAACCATTATTGAAATCCCAAGATGTACAGTAAAATTTCAAAGCCCGGCTGGTTTGGTTGCTAGAGGAGTTGGAGGGTTGGGAGGCCCTAATACAAGACCACTTAGTCTATCCTTCACCCCTCACTAAATGTTTGGGTCTGGGGCACATCTAGGGAATCCTAGGGTTCTATGGAGTTCAGTTTTTGTTTTTAATCCTTTAATTGAATGATAAGGAAACTGAGGCCCAAAGAAGCTAGAAGCCTAATAGCCCAGTACAAGTTAATGACAGAGCAAGGTTAGAATTCAGGACTCTTGGCTGAGTGTTCTTTCTGCTCCTTGTAGAGGTTTGGCGCAGGCTAGGAAACAAAGTCAAAGGAGAAATAGAATAAAGTTCCAAAAAGTTACTAAGAAATAATTTAGGCATATGAATTATAGTAGAAGAAACTCCCAATAATAGTCATGAGCATGATATTTCTTCAAGTGTTCTCTGTAGACCTTCAGCATCAGAATCCCCCAGATTTCTGGGGACCGTTGTTAAAAGTGTGTATTTCTGGTCTTCATCCTAGACCCACAGACTTGGACTCTCTGGAGGTGAGTCCAGGAAACTGCATTTTTAGACACTCCCCTAGTGGTTTCTTACACTTGACAATGGCATGCTCTGTCCCCTCCAGCAGTGGCCTTCACACCAAAGCAGGATAGGATAGCACTTAACAGAATGTGTCAGCTGCATACCATCCCCTGTAACTGCTGTTACTTGGTTTTTGACTTTTAAAAATACCTTAGGTAAGGCCAAGTGTGATGGCTCACACCTGTAATCTCAGCACTCTGGGGAGCTGAAGCAGGAGGATTGTTGGAGCCCAGGAGTTTAAGACCAGCCTGGGCAACATAGCAAGACCTCCATCACTACAAAAAAATTAAAAAGAAAAAATAGCCAGGTACAGTGGTACGCACCTGTAGCCCCAGCTACTTGGGAGGCTAAGGTGGGAAGATCACTTGAGCCCAGTAGTTTGAGGCTATAGTGAGCTATGATTGCACCACTGCATGCCAGCCTGACTGACAGAGCAGGACCTTGTCTCAAAAATAAAATAATTAATTATTTTCAAAAAGCAGGATACAAAATAACAGCAAAGTAGAAGGGATAAGTTCTAGAGTTCTACAACACTGTAGGATGATTATAGTTAACAATAATATATAGTTTCAAATAGCTAGAAGGAGGATATTGATGTTCCCAACACAAAGAAATGATGTTTGGGATGATGGATATGCTAATTACCTTGATCTGATCACTTATACATGATATGTATCAAAATATTACCACGTGCCTTAAGAGTATGTACAATTATCACTTGTTAATTTTAAAAAATGAAATTAATTTTTAAAATTGTCTTGCCACAACTCAATGCAAGAATTGGTACCTCAGGAACGTATTAACTCATACCAGAGCAAACACAAACTAATTCCTGTAACAGAGCAGAATGTGGCAAGTGCTATAAGAAAGTGAAAATAAAATTCTATGGGAGCCCAAAGGTAGACAGATTGCCTCCCACTGAGGCAACTTCTGAAATAATTGATATTTGAGCTGGGCCTTGGAAAGGAGCCGCTATGTCCCCAGAGGGCAGGGAACTGGGGCAGAGTGCATTTTAGACAGAATGAGGAGGCAGAGCAGAACCAGTGAGGTAGCAAAGTTCTATTTGTCCAGAGTACGGGGTGGGCAAGCTGTGTGTGTTTGTGGAGGATTGAGGGGTGCTAAGATCTAAGTGCAAACCTGGCTCTATTGGGCAGGAGAAGGGGGAAGTAGATTGAGGGTCAGGGCTAGAGCTATGTGGGGTGAAATCACAGCAGAAGCTAGAATATGGTTGTAACAGACTCAATGCATACAGGCTTAGAAATAAACATTAAGAGAGGTATTTCATTAACTCACCATGGCAATGCAAAGATGGTGAAGGTGTAGGGGTGCTGCTGGGAGAGCAGGCTCCACCAACACCTAATAAGTCCTCGAGGGAAAATGCCTGACCCCAAGTTCTTAGTGACTTTTGTCAGTTTTCTTTGTAATGTGAGCATACTTGATACCTTTTGGGTTTGGCCTCAGGCCTTAGCTAGATTTCAGGACATTGAAAAAAATCCCACCTGTCTCCTGTTACACGGAGCATTAATTCTGATGGAAGAGTTTTGACATGGTTTGGGATCGATGGAGGATGTTGAGACATTGGAGCTTTCCCTTGAGCTCACTCATGAGTCTATCTGTAAAGCGCTTTATCTTTGGAGTGATGAGAATGTTTTTGTAAGTTTCATCAGTAAAAGAAGAGAAAGAAACAACCTAGTCTTGCAGTTTTAAAAGTAGTGTTATATGGCCAGGTGCATTGGTTCATGCCTATAATCCCAGTATTTTGGGAGGCCGAGGCAGGAGGATGGCTTGTGCCCAGGAGTTCAAAACAAGCCTGGGCAACATGGTGAGACACAACCTTTAAAAAAAAAAAAAATTAGCCAGGCCTGGTGGCATGTGATCCCAGCTACTCTGGAAGCTGAAGCGGGAGGATTGCTTGAGCCTGGGAGGGTGAGGCTTCAGTGAGCTGTGATCCTGTCACTGCACTCCAGCCTGGGCAAAAGAGTGAGAAAGAGTGAGAGCCTGTCTCAAAAAAAAAATAAAATAAAATAAAATAAATTAGTGCTATCAAGGGTAAAAAGGTGATGGTCGTTTGGTTGCTATAATTCTTCAATTTATCCTTTTATTCATACATTCAACAAATATGATTTGGTGGAATTGGTTCCACCTTCGACTCCAGAGGCCAACACTGGACTCTGGCCAGGCCAGAGATCACACCCTGTTGGCCATAATGAATGGGTCGGGGATAGTCATTGATGCACTCAGCACCCATAAAGCTAAATTCCTTTCAACATCTATGGAAAGATTGTGAATAAATGATCCCTTATCTTGCCAAAATTGAAATAGAGAGCTTGGGTCATAAGCCTGCAGGTTTGGGGAGTCATCTTAACACACACAGGTAGACTTTAGGATCAGGAAATATGGAGAGCATGATAGAGTCCTAATAAGCTGTTTGAACTCCTTGGCACATGCTTGCCTGATTACTTACCCTTGGACTTTACAGTAACATGAGCTTGCTTTGTTCGGGTCAGTTTGGGTCACATTTTGTCACTTGCAACTGAGCAAACCCTAACTGAAACAACCTGGAATACTGGTCTGGTGCCATGGAATATAGCCATGAACATGGTCCCCAAAGTTGATCACCTTTGCCCTGTCAAATAAGTAGGAATAAAGCACAGCCCAGTCTCAGCCTCTGCTATGATGCAATCATTAGTTGGATCTATTCAGGAAAAACAAAACTACTATCTATTCCATTGGGCCTGAGTATCTCATGAATATATTTTGTAAACTATGAAGTCAGAAACCAGTCGACAGATATCAAACAGGAAAATCATAATCACAATTGTGCTGGCCACATTGTTTACTTTCTGTCCCTGCTTAATAGTTTTTCTTTTTTGTCAAAGGTCCAATGTCCTGGGCAGAATTGATGTCTATTTTGTTTTTTCCATTATGAAGCTGTGTGTCCTTGGGCAAAACATTTCATGTATGTGTGGCTAAGTGTTCTCATTGCTGAAATGGAGCAGGGAGAAATAATATCTACTTAAGAAATAGATCTTTCCTTAAAAGATCTATTTCTCTGAAGTGACAATAACAAATATATATGCAAAAACATTTTAAAATTTAGAAGCCCAGTACAAATGAAAGCATAAAAAAGTATATATATAATTTTTTTTTTTGAGATGGAGTCTCACTCTGTTGCCCAAGCTGGAGTGCAGTGTCAGGCACAATCTGGGCTCAGTGCAACCTTTGTCTCCTGGGTTCAAGAGATTCTCCTGCCTCAGCCTCCTGAGTAACTGAGATTACAGGCGTATGCCACCACACCCGGATAATTTTTGTATTTTTAGTAGAGACGGTGTTTCGCCATCTCGAGGCTGGTCTGCTCTTGAACTTCTGACCTCAGGTGATCCACCCACCTTGACCTCCCAAAGTAAGCTGGTATTACAGATGTAAGCCACCTTGCCCAACCTAAAAATGTACATTTAAGTTGCTCAAGCAAATCTTGTTTTTACTCTGAATTGGTTGAATAACCTTAGCTATAACAATGTGCGGGTACATGTTTAACAAAAGCTTCTCTAGGGTAAAAATACCCTAATTTGTAGTGTTGACTAATTTCCGCAGTAGAAATTCTATCATTATAGTCAATTTCAACCTACCAATTTGCTTGCAAAATTCCTGAATATCAGCTCTAATAGGGCTGTATGAGCCTATACCAGCACAACATTGCTCAGATCCATTGGTTAGCTCCTCTGCTTTAGTTTCTTCACTTATCAAAACACTTGTTTCACTAATTGTAATCATATAGCTTTCACTGCAAGGTGCCTTGCAGTCATCTACTCTTGTAATGACATCCTCTTTATGCTATGACATGCCTAGCAGGGATCTTGGCATCGAAGGCTAATTGATATTTATTTGCATTAATTTGCTTTCTAGTTCTGTAATATGTCTATCCCTCATGAACAAGGAACTGGTCTGGTGATGCTTTTAGGCAAACATTACACATAGTACTCTAGTATGTGGATACTTAGATACAGATATTTTAAGTAGATAACCACTTCCTTCAGCTCGTATAAGAATGTCCCTCAGATTACTGAGGGAGAGTCAGTCTCTCACGGTTGATGTCTCTGTGTGAATTATTCAAAAAAATCACCAAATGCCCCCAGTAAGCAACAGGTGAGTCATATTTTCAAACAGCCCAGAAAGTTATTACATCTCCTTCAACTGCACAGAAAGCTCAATGATAAAAAACAAAAACAAACATCAGGAGTGCCTCAACTCTCCTATAGTGGGGCTGAATCCTAAATTGACCATAACTAGATCATGACTTTTCTTAGTAACAGGGGCCCTAGAGCTTTCTTGGTTGTGGTATATACTCTCTCTATGAGTGTCAAACTTCTGATAGCTTTGGAGCTTCACATGAATACAGCAGGCCAGTGAACAGAGTGGAAATGGCTGAATTGAAGAGCCAAGACATGGAGCAGCAGACTGTGCACTAAAGGGACGCCTTCAAGCAGGGCAGCTGGCTATGACTTTCTGCTGTTACCTCATTTCCTGGGCCCTGTTATCTTGCTTGTTTTGAAATAAAGAAATATGTCAACTGATATTTGTGAAATGACATTATGCACACGGTAATTCATTGCAGAATTGCTTGTAATTATAAAAGTCTGGAAATTACTGAAAAGTCCATCAGTAGAGGGCTAGTTAACAGAACTATGGTACATTCATCCAATGGGATAGCACACAGCCATCAGTACAGAAGAATAAAGAAGCTGTTTGTATCCTGATATGGAAAGATCTCCTTATAAGTTCCCAAAATTGACTTCAGAATGCTACCCTGTGTATAAAAAGTGGGAAAAAATAAATGAGGAAACACAAGAAAGTGATAATATTGGCTACCTTTAGGGAGGGAAATGAAGTGCTTGGGGTTAGGAAGGAGACTTCTCACATTATGTTTCTCATAAAATGGTTTCTCATATTTTAGCATTTTAGAATTTGCTATGATCAGTGTGTCTTACCTATATCAATACATACACACATGAACACACTTTTTTCCCACATATACTTTTTACAGAAATAATTTTTATTGTGGGAAAATATGGTCATTTTAATCATTTGTAAATGTGCAATTCAGTGGCATTAAATAGATTCAGAGTGCAGTGTACCCATCGCCACTATGTATACCCACCAAATTTTTAGTATTCCCACCAAAAACTCTTTAGCCATTAAACAATAACTCCCCATTCTCCCTCCCTCCAGGCCCTTGGTAACCTGTGTTCTACTTCTGATGAATTTGCCTATTCTAGGTACCTTGTACAAATGGAATCATATAATATTTGTTCTTTGTCTGGCTTATGCCATTCTCCCACATACTTTTGTTTTCTAAAGAAAACATCTATCAGCTGGATAAATAAAGTTGTGAAAGTTTGAAATGTTGTTCATGTCTTTAGAAAAAAGAGAACAGATCTTGTGAAATGTGTTGACGTGCCTTGGACAAGGTAGCTCATGCCTGGTGTTTCCTAGAAACCTTAGATAACTCATTGTAACCTTTAAAAGGTTAACTAGTTGCCCAGCTTAATCTCAGAAAATGAAGTCAAATAGCCACCATTTCCCACAAACCTTGGCTCATATATGGCAGAGCTTTTTGAAGAGGGGCCCTAGAGGCCTTCAGAGACTCCATGAATCTTTTCTGAAATTGCATGCAAATTTGTTGCGTGTCCCCTTTTGGGAGATAAGTTCTTTAGTATTCAGAGATTTTCAAAGTGGTCCATAATAATAATTTTGAAAAAGGCTAAGTACCATTGTTAAATAGGATAATTAATTCTGTCCCCTTCCTTGGAACAGATGTAAAAACGCTTTGTTCATCAAAAAGATTGTGTGAGTACATGATTCATGAATCCACGCCAAGGTAAGTCTCTGAATCGGCTTTACAAAAGAAGTCTGTGGCTTAAGAAAATGATCCTTAGAATTTACATCCTTAATAAAAATAACGTGGTACATTTGATTTGGTGGCACACAGAAAACACCAAAGCATCCATGTGTGTTTGTACAAGATTATCATGTAAGGAGGTTGAGGAGTTTTTCATTCATTTCATAAATATTGAACACTTACTATGTGTCAGGTATAGACCAAACACTCAAGATATAAAGTAGTAAATAACACAATGTCTCTCCTCTTATGGGGGCTTGCATCCTATTACTAGGATTTAGACAATAAAGGAGAGAAAAAAGAAATGACACTTTCAGATAACCCTAAGTGCTTCAGAGAGTGCTTAGAGATTTCACTGTTAGATAGTGTGATTGGGAAATTCCTCTCTGGGAAGATGGCATCTGAACTGAAACCTGATGGGCAAGAATGAGCCAGCCACGTAAAGAGCTGGGAAAGGACATTCTAGGCAGAGGGAGCCACAGTGCCAAGCTCCAGCTGCAGGTAAGATTGGAGAAACTGAGTAGTATGGGGTGATTGGCCACCTGTCTCCTCACTTTAGGGCTACTCCTCTTCTACCCTCAGGTCTCCACTCCCTTTTACATCCCACCTACACTTTAGCAAACAGTATGATTCCAGCCCTCAATATTCCTTCTCACTCCTACAAAGTCCTCTTGAGCCCTTGATGCCATCACTGCCTTGCTTATGTGCAAACATCCCACTGACCCAAGCAAACAGTAAGCTCTGGGAGAAGCAGTACGTTGGCTCCTGCATAAATGTTGTTATGGGCTAGAGGGAGCAGGCCAATCACAGAGGCAGGGAGAGTGGTGAGGCCATCTAGATTGAGCCTCACATTCACAAAGTTCTTCACATTTACATTTGACCATCACTATCATACATAGGGTATTATGTCATTTATGTGTGTTAAAGGTGCTATTTATTAAGCACTTATGTATATGTAGAAAACATGTAACTATACCATAATTTTGCTTTTTGTTATAATGGGATACAAAAAAAATGAGAAGTGGCCCAGCCTTCTTTTACCTTGAAAGGCCTAAATATAAAGAGAATGAGTTTTAGAGGATGATTGCTTGAGATCAAATCCTGGCTTCAATCCTAGCTCTGTAATATTTTGGCTAGATACCTTTTGGCGAGTTTCTTAACCATGCTGAATATGTGTATATAGAAAGAGGAATTGTGTTCTAGGATGGATGGTAAAAAGAGCCTCCCTCATACCTAATTTAGATAATGATATATGGATAAGGGTTTTGGACTTCTGAGTTGATATTGTGATGGGATGTAACTCTGTGATCAGGAGAAAGGCCTTCCAAAGGCATTCAATCTAATACTCAGAACCTAGAAATGTTATTTCATGTGGCCAAAAACAAAACAACTTCTCAGATGTGATTAAGGATACAATCTTGAGATGGAGACATTGTCTAGTTCCTCAAAGAAAAAAAGGGAAGTAAATGAGATGTAGAAGGACTAAATCCGCCATTGCTGGCTTTGAAGATGGAGGAAGGATGTTCAAGTCAAGGAATACTGGACAGTCTTTAGGAGCTGAGGGAAAAAGAAACCCACAAAACAAGAAAACAGATACTGTGCAGCGTACAGAAAGGAGTGTAGCCCTTACAATACTGATTCTAGTGCTGCGAAACAGACTTCTGACCTGCAGGGCTATAGAATAATACATCTGCATTGCTTTAACCCTCTACGTTTGTGATAATGTGCTATATACAGCAGCAGAAATATACCAATTCATTAAGGTTACTTTTCAGAACTATTAGTAGGCTCAAACAACTTATAACAATACCTAATACATAGTAAGCATTCGATAAGTGTTAATATCTTTCCAAAGGATGAGAGAGGAAGCTAACATGTAAATACTAATATGAGATATATAAACAATATAACCAATGAGCTACACAGAAACTATTTTTAAAGGACTTTGCTAACTAAATTCCCAGAATTAATTAGCTCTAAGATTATGACAGATATTCCTTAAGAAGTTGCTTAGAGCAGGAAGAGCAAACTCGAATGCACATGCAGGCTTTGCAGGTAACAAATAATGGAAATAGGTGAGTTTGGGACTGCAGCAGATCGGGGGGCCGACCCATTTAAGAGGCAAACCCCAGCCTAGCCAACTAATACCAATAAAAATGCAGTGCAGACCAAGTGTTCTAGATAATTCAAATTTTGAGCAGCTAGAATCCCTCAACTTCTATGAAATCTCCAGTTTTTAAATGTCGAAAACCAATCCACATTTAAACACATACAGATATAGACACACAATTTCCAGGCAAAACTGACCACGTCTGAGCCACACTACAGCCAGAGGCTCTCAGATTGGTGTCTCTGACCAATTAGTGAAGATATTAAGTCCAAAAAGGTTAAGTTGTTTTTGAATGTTTTTTGGCTCTCTCATATTCTTACATCATAAAAGCATTTGTCGGCTGGGCGCGGTGGCTCACGCCTGTAATCCCAGCACTTTGGGAGGCCGAGGCGGGCCGATCACTAGGTCAGGAGATCGAGACCATAGAATGGTGAAACCCCGTCTCTACTAAAAATACAAAAAATGGCCGGGCGCGGTGGCTCACGCCTGTAATCCCAGCACTTTGGGAGGCCGAGGTGGGCAAATCACGAGGTCAGGAGATTGAGACCATCCTGGCTAACACGGTGAAACCCCGTCTCTACTAAAAATACAAAAAATTAGCCGGGTGCAGTGGCAGGCGCCTGTAGTCCCAGCTACTCAGGAGGCTGAGGCAGGAGAATGGCGTGAACCCGGGAGGCGGAGCTTACAGTGAGCCGAGATTGCACCACCGCACTCCAGCCTGGGCGACAGAGTGAGACTCTGTCTCAAAAAAAAAAAAAAAAAAAAAAAAAACCATTTGTCACAGTGCTTTTGTATATCTAGATCTAAGAAACTGATTTATGTGAAGTTTCTATCATGTTAATCAGAAAGACACCTTCAAATTGTGTTCAAATCCACTTTATTTAAATTATTTGGTAATTTTAGCAGTACAAAATCTTTGACTATGACCATGGGACACAGACATGAGTTTATGTTTTGGTTTGTTGTGGTCTGGGGATCATGTACTTTTCTAAATCCTCTGCACTTCCTTTCATTAACAAATGGCAGAGTGCCGTAAGTTCCTCTATTATTCATAGAAAAGAAATTTGTAAGGTAAGACTGAAAAAATAAAATCTACAGATTCACAAAATTATCTTCCAATATTAAGAACATACAAAGTATACTAAAGACATCTACATTTAGTCCTCCAGGTAACAAAGCAAACATTTGACGTTTGACGTTTCTGTTTTTACTTCTTGCTAATTACAGTTCAGAGACCAAAGTATTTCCAAAAGCTATGAAAACCCTCACTGACGCTCCTAGTATGGATTTAATGGAATTAGAGGATAGAACTATGAGAGCACTTGAAAACTTGCCTTTAAAAATCACAAGACTTTCTTTTCCTCAGTGGGACTTTTCTTCTGCAGTAGCTGAGGGCACTATTTGCTTACTTAATGCCTTATAATTAGCATCTGCCTTACAGTAGATCTAAGTATTGGCTTATTTAAGTATATTACTGGATAGCACGTGGTAGGTAGCCTTTTTGTCCAAGGCAAACATACAGCGAACCTTAAAGTAAAACCTCAGAGGGTTTGGTGCCCCTTAGTTGTTCTCCAGCGAGCCCGAAGTTGCCTGTAAAAAAGGGAAAAAAAGAAAGCTGTGTAAGAAACTTTACAAAAGACATTTTAACTCCTTCTAAATAGTTCTGCTTTTGTAGCAGTGTATGAAAACTCAGCAAGGGCAAGGGAGCCTTGTTGTTTTTCCCGCAATAAGAATATCTCTTAGGGTTTGGAATGTGGAAGATAAAGATGAAGCGGAGCGATAATGAGAAAATTCTGCCCTGGCTTCCCTCAGAGGCTGCGCTTTCATTAAGACTCAAGGATTGCTTTGGTCTCCATTTTCACACATTGTCTATTTCTGGATATTCTGATAATTAAAGACTATTCCTCTAAATGACAAACTTATTTCAGAGGTAGAAGACTGCCCTGCTATATTAGTGTTGGTTGCCTTTTTATTTTTAGTAGGAAATGCTTGTTTCTCAAGGAGGAACATGTTAGTATAGTCTATTCTTATTTGTGGTATAAATGGCATAACAACTCTAAGAATAAGCAACATTGGCAAACAAAACAGACAATTTGCTTTAGTTATATCATCAGAATAACCTTTACAAAGGTTAATTATGCAACTTATCCCTGTTGGCCCAGCAAATTAGACCTATGCATAGTAAGTCATGGCAGTAACAGTTATATCAAATAATAGTTTTCACTCTCATTTCCCAAGTAAATGAAAACATTTTCTTTAAAAACAAGCATACATTTTGAAATTTCTCAACTAATGTTTGGATCTAACATAATAAGTTTTTAAAAATAAATTGAAAAGATAGTCGCTAAAGTTAAATAAAACAATCAAGATATATTGGGCCTTATCCATGAATTAAGACTCATCTCATTCTTTGCATACATGCAGTGTAACAGTGCCAACCTACAGAGCATTTAAACCTAGAAGAAATTATACTCACATTTGGAGTTCTGATTCCAAATTTACTATGGAATGTCATTGTGACTTTGTTTTTATGTCCTGTTCTTTGATCAAAGGCATGGCATGTATCAAAAGGTGGACTGTACAAGTGAAGGCTCACAGCAGGTTCCGTATGGCTGATGTTCTCTACTCGATGTAAGCCAATGGAATCTAAACAATATCCGGGAAGGAAAAATAGATAAAGGAGCCTAGATAACAGCTGTAGGTAAAATCTCTGTGAGTCATCTGAGATCATGAATCAATTGTGATGCAAATGGAATAGATATTAATTAGAATTGAACTTGCAGTTAAAGATAGTAAGTGACACGCATGCATTAGCCTCTGCTCCTTCCTGAAAACCCTCTCCAATGGCAGTAAAAAAATAAAAAAGACATCAATATACAAAGACAAAATAGGAAAAGAGAAAACACTAACAAAAATTTGAAAGCTTAGAAAGTAAGATGGATAGCTTTACAGAGCAGAGAAAGCTAAATCCTAAGCTATCCATGGAGAAAACCAAGAAATAACCTGATTTATATCTTGAAACTCCAAATAGCACAGGAATTGACAGCACCAGGTACTTCTGGAAATGAGGGTAAAGATAGGCTGTAGATATAAGAACTGGTTTAAAGCTTGTTTATGAAGTAGAGTCTCAAAACCCTTTTACCAATTCTCTCTCTTCTTTCTTTTCAGCAGCAGAGTAAGGTCTAGTCTCTAGAAAGAGTGTAAGAGATCAACTTGGGACTGATGGAAATCAGGTGAAAAACAGGTGAATTAAACAAAAGCTTCCATACTGAATGGTAAAAATCCCTGCTTTAGTCATCACCTAGCTGCGAGAATGCTGCCAGACAAGATTTTTCTTTCCAGGCAGAAGATAGGAAGCAACTTCTCAGAGAATCTGATTGGCTCAAGAAAAAAGCTTTAAAGATATTGTCGCTGGAAGTTCCTGAAGAAAAAGTCTCTGCCAGACTATCAAAAAGTGAAATCCAGTTGACAAGCTCCACTCATGTTCAGGGTTACCAATTAATTTTTTTGTTCTTGGTTTTTAAATATTAGCACATTGCCAAGGTCACCAGACATTTGAGCAAGGCCTCTAGTATGAAAGACAGAGGGCAGAGCAAACAAAAAAGCAACCTGCAACAGAGACTACTCAGGGGAAGTGTTCAAAAACCTATCATTAATGTTTTCCTAGAAATAAGAGAAAATACCATAAAAGGGACCATAAAACAAAAAGAGGTTGAAGAAACAGAAACCAGAAAAGGGTTGGCAGGAAATGCTGAGGAAGACTCAAAGAACAAAAGGACAAAGACAGAAAATAGAAAAGAAAGAGAAAAAAAAAAAAGAGGAACAGTTCAAGAGGTTTAATATCTAAATAGGAGTTTCAGAAACAGAATTAAAAAAAAATTCAAAGAAATAACCTGTTAATGTTTTCCTGAGTCGAAGGACACGAATTCCCAGATTTAAAAACCCACTGAGTACCCAGCACAATGAATGAGTCATCAAACAAGATACATCACTGTGAAATTTCAGAATACTGAGGATAGAGAGAAGGCACCAAAAGAGAAGATCCCAAAAGTTTCTAGAAAGAAAATAGAAAGATTCAAAAATCAGAATGGGACCAGGTTTTTTTAAAAAAAAACAAAAAAAACAAAAACAGGGTCTCATTCTGCTGTCCATGCTGAAGTATAGCAGTGGGATCTTGGCTCATTGTAGCCTCCACCTCCCGGGCTCAAGTGATCCTCCCACTTAGCTTCCCAAGTATCTGGGACTACAGGCACCTGCCACCATGCCCAGCTAATTTTTGTATTTTTGGTAGAGATGGGGTTTCAACATGTTGTCCAGGCTGTTCTTGAACTCCTGGGCTCAAGCAATTCTTCCATCTTAGCCTCCCAAAGTGCTGGGATTACAGGTGTGAGTCACCACACCCGGCCAGCCCTAGGCTTTTGATAAGAACACTAGAAACTAAAAGACAAAGGAATTACCCTCATGGTTCTGAGGGAAGATGTTTATCAGGTGATAATCCATAACCCAGCTAAATTATCAATCAAGTTGTAGGAGTTGAATATAGAGATATTTAAATATATGGGGTCTCAAAAATTTACCTTCCATGGATCCTTTCTTGTGGAGCCATTGGAGCATATGCTCCACCAAAACAAGGGCATCAACCAAGAATGAAAAAAAATCATGAGATCAGTAAAGAGGGGATCCAGCCACAGGAAACAGCAAAGGGAAAGCTTGAGAGAATGTAAGCCTTACATTGTAAGGAATCTCAGGATCACAGCTCACCCCTGGCCTAGAGATCAACGAATCTGTGCTGAAGCAGTCAAGAGGCCCTGGGAGAGAGATCTTCAAGAAGATTAAACACACACACACACAAAAACAAAACAAAACAAACAAAACAAAAAAACGAGATGAAATACTCAATTAAAAAATGTTAATAAACTTACACAGTTACAAGAAAGTTTCAGGGATTAATCAAGTAATGAATTTAGCATAACTAATGTAGGCACCCCATGAGGCTTTGTGCTTTCTTCTTTATGATCTAGCTCCATGAGTGCACATCATAAAGAAGAATGAAGCATAGAACCAGAAGACTTAAGTTCTACTTCTAGGTAATTAGCGATGCTATCTTTGAACAAGCCACACATTCTAGGATCTTTCATTTTCCTTATTTCTAAAACTGGTGCCTAATTCTCAGATCTGCAAATTCTTTGATCCTGTAGCTTGTTGTGTTCATAATATACTGGCTAAAGCACAGTTTTGAACAAATGTTCAACACTGCAGGTCCACGCATCATCTAATGCATGCTGACAATCCTGCAAGCAAAGACCCTGCAAAAACAAGACACCCATCCTTTAGAGAAGCTCCTATTAATAATCCAGGCATTATTATTATATTTTGATCTTTGCTTCTTTTTCCTTTATGGTCATGGTGTACCCTCTGTCACAGTAATACTGGACTTTTCTTGGGGGTATTTATGAAGCAGAGTTAGGTCCAGGCCCGGTCGACCTTTTGCTCATTACAATAGGCAACTTGGTCTCCTTGCCCCAGTCCTCCCTTCTCCTCCACCCTATGTTGCATGCTGCCACCAAATCGATCAAGATATTCCCAATTATAACTCTGCTGACCAAAGAAAGTCCTTACTTTTAGCTGGTCTTGCAGGCCCATACCCTGAGCTCACTTTACTCTCCTGCTAATCCACTGACCAAACCCATTCTTCTTTCTTTCCTTCCCCCAATGCTTGAATAGTTTCCATTTTTTACAACAATTGTACCTTCACTTGTGCTCTTCCTTGTACTTGCAACATCCTTCCCCCTGATCACTATCCATCTCCACCCCTACTCCTGCATCTGTAAGAATCAGAGGTTGAAAATTTGTGGCTTTTAAGTTATTTGGGTAATTAGTCTACAGAAATAATTAACATATCCCACCGAATATTTTAATAATTGGCAAAATTTCATATAAAACCCAGAATTTCCAACTTCTATGGAAAAAGAAACCAGGTTGATCTCACTGGAGCTGGGTGGCCACTGCTGTCACCTTAATATGAGGCTTGTATACTCCAGTTCATACCAGGCCTCACCACAGCTTTATCCCTGATGTATACCACTTCCTTATCTGTTGAGATTCTATAGGTTTTTGCATTGAAGACCTTTAAAAAGCTTACCTATTCTTAAAGATCTGATCTATTTTCACAAGCACTCTGACTCCAGCTGAAAGTAATTATTCTGAAAGGTGTGTGAATGCTTTACTTCTGAAATTATTCTGAAAGCTTTACTGTGAATGTACAGACAACAGAATTTTCTTGGAAATCTGGTGTGCCTTATAGATAGCAACCCTCACATTATTTGGGTAAATGAATCAGAGCTTCCTGCCACATAGGAAACTAACATCCTTGTGTTATGTGAATGAGCGACAACTTCCCATACAATTTGATCTTTGCAAGTGACTTGTATATAGGCCAAATATCGAGGCCAGTAAGATTTATGGAGAAAAAAACTTGCTTTGCCAAAAAAAAATCCCCCAAAGCTCTATAATACTTTATATAGGTGGGGTACATGCTGATGAAGAACATAGGTTTTTCAATCAAATTGCTTAGGTTCAAATTCTGGTTGCCACTTAAAAGCTGAGTAACCTTGGACAAATTGTTTAATCTTCCTATGTGTTGGCAACCTCCTACGTAAAAGGGAATAAAAAACTATCTATCTGTCTCATATACATTTTAATGAGCTTTTTGGAAAGTTACTGTTCCTTTTAGGAATATGGAAATTAATCACTGCCTCTCTTGAAAAGTATTTGGCTATCCCATATCCCATTTAGAAAAGATAAGGAATTCTTGGTAAGATATGTATAAATCACTGGCCAATAACGTGCTTTGTAAAATTTCCCTCGAGGATACTTTTTAGGTATGCTATATGTATTTTAGAAAAACAGAGACTAGCTAGCATTCTTAATTAGTTACAGAACATTTTGTTCTATTTTCTAACACAAGGCTAATGTTTCCAACTTGATCTCTTTTGTTGAAAGACTCCACTGAAGTAAATTCATATTTTATTTTAACTGTCTTAAGTCTTGGCAAGTAAATGACTTTTCAGTGGATACTGATCTGCATGCATATGTTTTCAATAAGTGATTCCAACCAAGATACAAAGGCTTAAAAAACAAAACCTGCTATGTTTAAGTCATTTCCCAAGTATTTTAAATCATGACTCATGATCCAGGTTCTACTGCATAAAAAGTGTAAGTAACCAATATTTCAGACAAAAGGTCATGGTTCTTCCCACTTGCCCTTAGAAAAAGAATAAGATGTTACCATTGATGTAGGCACACTGGTTTTCCCTCAAGACTCTTTCAGACTTCTTGACCATCTCATTGGATTTTTTGTCAGGCCAGGCAAATAATGTCTCCTTTAGATTTCCCTGTAGCATCTTCAGAAAGCAGTGGGAGTTGGTATGATCATGAATACTGCTATATGTACACAAAATGACAACTGAACTCAGTAGATGGTCTAGTATCCAGACCTGCAGTAACAGTCTTCCCAGAACTGACACCTGCATACTGTCAATAAGCTATCTCCCCAGCCAAAATCCATTTCAGCTGAATTTTTAAAATGTTATCAACTTACAGTTCAACAATGTTCAGGGTAAAGTAATAATATATCATCTATATCAATTCATATAAAAGGTACAATTTTGATGCATACCCCTACTAATGAACAGTTTTTTTAACTTTGTTATACTACTTTGATAACAGAAACACAAAACCAGCAACACTTTATCTTCCCCCAAATACATATAACTCACTTAAACTGGGCTAGAATTTGATTATGAAAGTACATTAGAGAAATTTTAGAAAGGATTAAGACAATCATCCATAGTAATTGTACCACACTGAGAAGATCCACTTAACATTTAATGTTTTTTCCCCAAGGCTTTTGTCTTTTCTCCTTCCTTTGGGGAGCTGTGGGAGAGAAGGTATCTATATGTGTATTACCATCCTAAAGTTACACTGTATATAAAATGTTAACATTGTGTCAATTTACAGTGCTCTACCTGTGATTACCTTCCAACATTGGTGGGAAAAAGTTAATTGGATTTGAGGAAACAAAGGATTTATTTATGCAATCTCAGAGTGAATAGTATTTAAGTATATGAAGCAGTCGTGGTTACAGGGTTAATTAAAATATATGTATCTATATACATTTTGGGTATTCATTTCATCTATTGAATTTTATTAATTTATATATGTACCATAAAAAGAATTTGTTTCCTAAATCCACAGAGTCTAGTCCCACTCTGGACATAATGTGCTTTCAAAAATATTGAGAGAATGAATGGAAACACTTCATTCCATATGAGTAAATAAATGCACTCTACAGACCTAACTTTCCAAACACTTATAAATTCATGTTTTCTTTCATAAAAATGGATCTAAATTATTGCTTTTACCATTCTCAAGACTGAGAAAGGTATGTTTCAAAAGAGAGTAATACTTAGTTGATAATAAGACTGTCAAACGTGAAACTAAAGATAAATTAAGGAGCTAAGTTTCAAAGAATCAGTATAAGTTGCCTTTTCAGTAAAGAAACTAAAGAATTAACTTGAAGTAGAAAGAAATTTTCTGAATTTGCAATGCTTTTCTAGCTTCAAATCTCCATCCTTTGGTCTTTGGTCCCACGATTGTTTACACACCTCAAACACCACAAATGTCAAGTGTAAACACAATTTCACATAAAGTTTTACTGCACAGAAAACAGAGTATGGTTAACTTAAGGGGGTTACTTACCTCATTTGATTTACTATTCATTTTGGGGGCTGGTTTTAATATGTGTAGTGTATGCCTGAATGCCCTGTGCTAATTCCATTGATAATTTTTGTTGGGATTAGGGAACATTGTGAACAAGTAAGTAGAAAATGAGGGCTGGGTGTGGTGGCTCATACCTGTAATCCCAGCACTTTGGGATGCCGAGGTGAGTGGATCACCTGAGGTCAGGAGTTCGAGACCAGCCTAACCAACATGGTGAAACCCCATCTCTACTAAAAATACAAAATTAGCCAGGCATGGTGGTGCATACCTGTAATCCCAGCTACTCAGGAGGCTAAGGCAGGAGAATTGCTTGAACCCAGGAGGCAGAAGTTGCAGTGAGCTGAGATCATGCCATTTCACTCCAGCCTGGGCAACAAGAGTGAACCACTGTCTCAAAAAAAAAAAAAAAAAAAAAAAAAAATGAGATTTGTTACTACTTGTAAGACCTGTGGCTAGCCTGGTACTATATTTTTCATATGCTAGAAAACATGCTCTAATAAATATCTGTGAATGAATAGTTATTTTACCTGCCATGTCCTTCACCCCAACAGAGAATCATCAGATTAAATTTTCCATTTCCTTGATCCACAAGATTTCGGGTATACCTAAAAAAAAACAATATATTCAGAAGTTTTAAGTTCGTTGCTGAAACAAGCACTGGAAAAAATAAGTGTGTCACCAAGTACCATTTATTCACAAATGTTAACATTTCCACCTCTAAGCAACTTTGAATGCAGTTTTCTAATTAGAAATCCAACACAAATGAAAAATCCTTTTTCACAGTTCATTTTGAACCGCTGCATTTACAGAGGTAGCTGC
Source organism: Homo sapiens (assembly GCF_000001405.40). Lineage (NCBI taxonomy): Eukaryota > Metazoa > Chordata > Mammalia > Primates > Hominidae > Homo > Homo sapiens. Next base: position 115,813,473 of record NC_000005.10, read on the forward strand.
TCAGTTTTAATTAATGGCACGGGAAAAATAACAGGAAAAAAACCGAAATTGCATGTTTCTCAATGTGACAGCCTCAAACTGATGGAGTAAGTTTCTCAGAGAAAGTATTTCCAAAGTGCATTACTGGTTGAGGCAAGAATGTTGCTATTGTTTTTTTTTTTTTCTTTTTTCTGCCTGTAGCTAAATCAAGACTTGAGAAACAAGGTTTCATTAAATAGCTGTTCTAGAATTCTTAGTTTTACTAAAGCCTAGACACAAACCACATTCAAAAGCCCTTATAATGAAAAGTCTTCCACAAATACCGTGGGGGCTGATCTAACTACCAGAACAAAGAAGACTACATTAGTGAAGTAAAGAACCCTCTAAACCTCTTACAATTAGGAGAAACCAGTAACTGGCAAACACATACACACAGACACACTCACCACAACCAACCACCACCACTGCCACCACCAACAACAAACTGCAAACCACGACCACGACTGTGAAAAAAGCAAAATCAACGTCAAAGTTTCTATTGGTCCAAGGTGTACTGTTGACAGCATCTAGTTAGCAAAGTTTCATAATTATGACATTCATTTAGACTGTCATGTTAAAGAAAAGGGGTCTTTACTCCATTTTTTGGGAGTTTTTTTTCCCTTCGTCATCGGTTAACTCTTGTCCAGCATGCCCCTTCCATCCTGTCCCATTCCTCCCCACCCCGAGGTGTCCGAAGAGCATGATCCTAGAGGGAGTTACTTAGTAAGTGCTTTTTAGCCTCAGTTTTCCCTACTTTGTAGCCTTTATGACCTAACAAGAAGCTGTGTACACAACCTTCAATTCACAGTAAACTGAGTTCCTGCAGAAGGATCCTAATTCTTCCTCCAGAAGTCTTAGGATAATCTTTGTTGCTTCTCTGCAGCTTCTTTCAAAGAATTCACAGCCTGGCCCACACGGGAGCATATTCTGTCTTGATTCTTCTGCACTGGCCCTCCCAAAGTCAGAGAACAGAATCCTTCACAGCGCTAGGCACCTATTTAATGCAAAAAATACTGTAGAATTGACTTCTCTCCCATCTCCTGTCTTCCCCCAACTGCCCCCTCGGGACTACATCCATTATGTTAATGAGCTGTACCTCAGATATCTGTGAAAAGACCGATCAACCCAGCTGGTTGCACTTCAAAAGCTTTAGAGTTTGTCAATCGAGACTAGTTCAAGGTCCTTGAAAATACACTTGTTCTAAAGATTAAAGATTAAAAACTGTTACAACCTGTCCTGGTTTAACAGTGGTTTAGAGTGTAGGCTCTGGAACAACAATGCTAACCCCGGGAGCCTGGAGCCGCTATCGATAGAAGACCTAGTGCAAGTCATTCAACTTCTTCATTGCCTGCCATTCCTCATATGTGTCAAGTGTCTGGAAGAGTACCTGTCCCATAACAAGTCTTCAATTACCTGGAGCAAATGCAAGAAAATTTAAAAGCTAGACTCTCTGCTAGCTTTCACGGCTACAGAAGGGCTCTACCATGAACTAAGCTGATAGGAGCCAAAGGAATTTCCTCAAGTCACTTGTATATGAAAAATGGGATCCTTAGTGGTCTTCACTTTTTCTATTTCAAATCCTAAAATACAGTTGAAACCGCCCATGCCAACAAAACTTTACGAAACATCCCACATGTTGAAGAGTGACTAAAAGAACCTGCTCCCAAGAAAAACAAACTTACTTCTTTCCTTATTCTTTTCTTTCACTTACCCCTTTCTCCTAACCCTAAACCCAAAAAACCACAAAGACTGACGCACTAACTGCTCAGAAAAAGTAGAACCTCTCACACTTCGGGGTGATTAAATTTTACCTCTGGCCCCGGAGGATTGGTAGAGAGATTCGACTTAATCACCAAGCCGGGGCTGCAAAAAAGCCAGCTTACCAGGGCACCTCACTCAAGTACATCTGGGAAGTAGGGGTCTTTAATTTACATTACAGATCGTCAGAAGCAAGGATAAGATAAATCAGATCATTTGGGGGCTGAAAAAAACGACGGTCGAATATTTAATCTGCGAAACTTGGCAGTGGATTTGAATAAACCCACAGTCGGGGAAGTTAGTTAAATTGGTTTGGGAAAGGGAACAGCAGAAATTCCGTAGTGGCAGCTGACGGCCACAAGACGCTATTTTACATGAGTAAAAATGCTTGCTATAAGGTGCCCGGTTGCAGGCGACCGAAGGCGCAGTGATGGAGAACTGACGCGGGTGACTTGTCTTCTTCAACATCACACACTTCTCCCGATGGCTGATGTAGTGCTCCCCTGGGAGCACCCTCTGCTAGTCCGGCCAGACGGTTCCTTAAGGTGTCAGGAGGGCCCGAACCTGAGTGCGGTCTCTCCGCATCTCCGCGCCCGGGGTTAACGATGGCTTGGGAGTGTGGGCATTGCTCCCGAGGCCAGGGGCAGGAGGACTGGTGGTTTAGAAGCAGAGGGGTTTGCGGGAGAGAAGAGAACAGAAAATCTCGCAGACGCGCGGTGGCCTCCCTTCCCGGCGCCTGTCCGCCGTTCCCGGCCGGAGGTCAGCAAGGCCAGTAGGATCCACCTTCCGCCTGCGCTGTGGCCGCGGAGCCCCAAGCGAGTCGTGCCAGCCCCGCGGCTGGCCAGCGAGGGGGCGAGCGGCGGACGCAGCGCGGCCCGAGCTTCCCGAGCCAGTCACTTTGGGCTGCGTCCCCCACGTCCATTCCTCCTCAGACGGGGCGAGTGGGCGCCGCCTGGCATTGAAGCTGCAGCGCGCTCACCTGTACTGGTCGAACTTGGCGTACATTGCCCACTCGGTGGGGTCGCTCTCGTAGGCTTCCATGATGGCCTGCACCTCCTCTACATTGACCTCATCGCCGGCAAAGAGCTGGTGCAGGATGCGGATCAGATCAGCCAGGGTCCGTGGCTTCAGCACTTCGGTCTGTTCCATCTCGTGGGGAGCTGGCTGCGCGCGCGTCTCACTGCTGGGCTGCGGTGGAGGAGCTGAGCGAGCCAAGGAGCTGGGGGCGAGGGAGCCTAACAGCCCGCTAGACCGCTAAGCAGACACACACGCACAAACCCAGCATTAGAGTGCCGAAACGTAAGGATGTCGTCGCAGAGACAGCAAGAGACCCACCCCCAGGCCCCTGGCAGCGCAGTGGATCCGGGATCGCTGGAGACGCGGTGCACACACAAATCAGGTTCAGATCTGTGGGGTTCATCCTCCCGGGCCCCTTTTAAGCGCTTGGAGTCACTAGGAATGTACCAACGGCCCTCGGAGGGAGGACGAGGCGGAGAGCCACCCAAGAAAGGTGGCGGAGGCGGGGAGACCCTGCGGGCACGGCTCACGCGCACATCCCCGGCTTCCCCGGGCTCCGCGCCTTCCCAAGAGCCCCGTTGTCTCCGGCGTCCCAGGGATCGCGTGGGCTCCGCGCAATCTCTCCCCCACTTTAACGGCGCGTTTTAGCCGCCCGGCCTAACGCCTCTCCCCGCTCCACCTCCGCCGCTGTGGTTCGCGACGCTGGGACGTAGACAAAAAGGGTCGGAGGAGATGGCTGCGGGGACTGACGCTGAGTAAAGGAGGAAAAGAAAAGGGAAGGAGAGGGACACTTCTTCCAAATAGAGAATTGTGAGGAGCCTGCGAAAATTGAGGATGGATTCCACTCCTAGGCCAGAGAGTGCCTGTTTTGTCGATTGAAACTATCCACGATATGCCCCAGGCTAGGTGAAAATAAGTCCAAGACTTTATATATATATATATTTAAGTATACACACACACATATTTTTTAAAATGCGTACTGAAATATATTTTGACAAAGGAGACTCGGGTCTCTAGTAAGACAATTAGTGAAATGATGGAAAACCAAGAACTCTTTGATTTTAAAATCAAATATTTTCTTTTAAAAAATATCCAGTGCAAATAACCTGATATTTCATTTGATGGTGTAAAAGGGGGCTTTTTCTGAGGGGATAGGGCGGGCTCTGACGCAATAATTTAAGAGGCTATAATTATATTTGAATCTTTCAACCTTAGGCATGTGCTTGAAGGAGCCTGCTAGTACATACATATAAGGAAACACGTTTCTACGTCATGCATAGCACCTAGTACGTTGGGAACAACACAAATCAAGTACAGTAGGATTTAAATGAGAAAGATGTGAAAGGTGGAAGAAATGCAAGTGTAGATTTCTTCCTTCTCATTATGGATGGACGCAGGGAATAATTTGGATTTAAGGTTATTAAAGTTCTAGACTTCTGAAGACCTGTTTTTTTCTAGACTATGATCACCCTCCCTCGTGTATATACATGTATACAATGAAATTTACTTGTGCCAGGTAGTCTTAAACATCTCTGGTAAAACTCGCTACATTATATTCTAACAGTGTTGTTAAAAGCGGAATCACCTATTGTTCAAAAATGGCTACAAGTAGAAAGCATTCCAGAAGCCAGCCTTGGTGATGTGTGTTGCTGCGGGGTAGTGAATTAACAAAGTATTTTGTGACAGAGTAACCTGTAAACTTTTCATGGTTTCCTCAAATTATTTTTTATTCTTGGCAATGTTTTCTATTGAGTCTCTTAATTACTTCATTTCAGCTAGTCTAATCCATAAATGTTTGGAATGAACAACAAAAATGAAATGCAAGCACAATTTATCTTTTCTGCATTTCAGTTGATAAAACTTCTAAATTTTTCTGACAATTCATTTTCTTTCTCTGACTCCTCTTTTTCTTTTTACATTTTTATGAAAGTAATATATTCACGTAGTTAAAAAAAATCAATAGTACTGGAAGGTCAATGAAAAGCAGCAGGCCCTTTTAACCATTCCTGACCATCTGTCCTGTGCTTAAAGAGTCAGTCTCTTAACTCTTCTAACTATTCCTTGTGGTAGTTACTTCCTTTTTCCAAAAATAGGCTTATATTTTTTTTTGTTTCAGCAATTTTAGATATTATCTAGTCATTTTACATTATGATAGCTCCATTCGTTTATTATTCATTCATTAATTTATTCAACAAATGTTTTTTCGGGTGAATAGAAATTTTCATTTCACCTGAGTAAATACCTAGGAGTGAGATTGCTGGGCCATTTAGTCAGTGCATGTTTAAATTTGCAAGAAATTGACATACTAATTTGCAAAGGGTCTGTGCCATTTCACATTCTCAACAGTGATGTATGAGTTCTAGTTGCCCCGCATCCTCGCCAGGTATTGTCAGTTTTACCAATTTTGGCCAAATAGAGGTGTGCTGATATTGCATTGTGTTCTTCATTTTCTATATCTCTAATTCTTATGGGCAGGTCTTTGTTCTTAGAGCTCCCAAGATGGTGGCCACCGCTCCCAGGATGGCAGCAAGCCTTTTGTTCTCTGAACTGGGGTTCTTGGCCTCATGGATTCCAAGGAATGGAACCTTGGACCATGCGGTGAGTGTTATAGCTCTATTAGAAGCCGTGGGTCACAGAAGAGAACCGTGGAACCCAGCTACTAGTGTTCAGCTCAAATAGGACGAACCCGGGCACTTAGCCATGCAGGAACAATGGCAAGCCTTTAGCCGGATCGGGAGTGGCAATGGGTGCCTCGCTGGATCAGCAAAGCAGCGGACACCCTGCCGGATCTGGAGGGGTGGAAGTCGGTGGCGGGTCTGTGACAGTGGCAAACAGCAGTGGTGAAAAGCGAGCGAAAGCTCAGCTCGAGCCATAACAAACACAGACCAGAAGAGTGTGCAGTTGCTAGATTTAATAGAGTGAAAACACAGCTCCCATACAATGCGACGGCACGCAAAGAGGGTTGCCACTCCCTGCTTTAATGCCTGGGTTTATATCCGGATCATTGTCCCTCCCCCATGCTCTCAGGCGATATATTATTTGACTATTTCTTTACCTCCTGCTTTAGCCTAATTTGTATTTTAGTGAGCCCTCTTTACTGCCTGATTGGTTGGGTGTGAGCTGAGTTACAAGCCCCGTGTTTAAAAGTAGTTGCAGTCACCTTTCCCAGCTAGGGCTTAGGAATTCTTAGTCGGCCTAGGAAATCCAGCTTGTCCTGTCTCTCATAATGACTAATGATGTTGAGCATATTTTTATGTGATTAGTTATTTGTAAATAATTTTTGGTGAAATATCCAAGTATTTTGTCCTTTTAAAAACTTAATTATCTGTTCTTATTGTTGAGTTTTAAGAGTTTATTATATATTCTAGAAACAAGTCAGATGTGTGATTTGTATATATTTCCTCCCAGTCTGTGACTGGTCTTTTGTTTGTTTTTTTGGACAAAGGTCTTGCTGTGTCACTGAGGCTGGAGTGCAGTGGAGCCATTGGCTCACTGCAGCTTTCAACACCTGAGCTCAGGCAAGCCTACTGCCTACGCCTACTGAGTGGCAGGGACTACAGGCGTGCACCACCACACTTGGCTGATTTTTTATTTTTTTGTAGAGATGTGGTCTTGTTATGTTGCACAGGCTGGGCTTGAACTACTAGGCTTAAGTGATCTTCCTGCCTCAGCCTCCTGAAGTGTTGAGATTATAGGCATGAGCTACTGTACCTACCCTCTTTTCAACTTTTTAGATTCAGGGGTTACATGTGCAGGTTACCTGGGTATATTGTGTGATGCTGAGGTTTCTGGTACAAATGTTATTGTCACCTAGGTACTGAGCATAGTATCCAACAGTTTCAACCCTTTTTCTCCTCCATCCTCCCTCTAGTTATCCCCAGTGTCTATTGTTGCCATCTTTATGCCCATCTGACTCCACCTCTTGACCTTCAAAGACCTCAAGGAACTTTCTTAATATACTGATATTGACACATTTTTATTGTTTCTTCTCTCAACTTCCTCCCTTCCCTCACACTCAGGATTTCATTGATTGTCTGTATGTGGATGCCACCCACATTCCCTTAGTTTTACATGCAGACTGCAATCTCCAACACCTTTTGGCACCTCCGATGCAGTATGTGTGAAACTCCTTTCAAGAATGCTCTTCCAAACTCCTAAAGGTTCTATTTCTGCAATGAGGCACCCAGGCTCAAAAACCTCATCCACTGCTGCCTACTCCTTCCTTGCATCATTATCCAGACCCCATTCAACCAATTGCCAAGTTTTGTATCTCCTTATCATTTTCTCTACTTTGTATTCTTATTGCTATTCCACTATTCAAACCTCTATTTGATTTTGGCTGGATTATGGCACTGGCCTCTGAAATGGATTCCTTGGTTCCAGCTTTCTCCCATATGTATCCTTTATTCACAATTGCTTGATTTCTTAGCCTAAAGCACAGAACTGATGATGTTGTTTCCTGGTCACATTCTTCCAATAACTCTAACTTTCCTATACAATAGGTCTTATCAGGCTGGCATTAATTTTTTTTTCATATTTTGGCTGTAAACTACCTTTCTTGATATTTCGCCTTTTATTATTTTTCTTTATGAATATATCTTTCAGCCAAATTGAATGTGCTTACCAAATCCATTCTTTTGCTTAAGCTTTTCCTTCTGCTTAAATCCTAGCCAGCCATTTCAACATGTCCCAATCTTATTTTAAGATCCAGCTTTTACTTTCCTGTCAAATGTGCCATTTCTCCTCCTCCTGAACAATGGAACAATCACTATCTTCCTTAAGGCACTTACCATTTCTCAGCATGTATTGCAATTACTTACGTGGATCACTTTGACAGTGAGAACCTTTAAGACAGGCTCCTCTTAAATTTTATTTTTATATCACCATCAGGGCCTAGCACACAGTATTTTGTGCAGGTTAGGCACAAATAGAAATATTTCTTAAGTGCATGCATAAATGAAATTAGTAAAAGCATATTGGCTAGAGTTCCTCAATACTAGAGTTATTGGCTAGTAAAAGCATTCGTCTAGTTCCTCATTCCTCTTTAAGGATCCTAGGGTTGTGATTTCAAATCCAGAAAAGACTTTTTTCAGGTTCTTTGCAAAGGACATCTGAATTCTTCCCAACAGTGTTGCATATTGTAACCTAAATGTAGTCATTAAAAAAAGTTGACATTATAGACTTTATTAACATAAGTAGAATACCTAGATCCAGAGAGGTAGCTCTACTGTACTCTGAATTGTCCAGGGCAATCAATGACTGTCACATTTTCAGACAGGCATTGACATGGTGGTAGATATAAAGAGAAGGGAACTATCCAACATATTTTAAAAAGCATGTACTATATGCCAGGCACTGCTAACAAAACTAAGCCACTGCCCTCAGAGGGCTTACATTTTAATGGGGTTGGGTTGGTAGGAGGAGCACACCAACAAATATTGTATACAGCATACATGGAGAAATGGACATACAAATACTTGATAAAATACACAATGGAGAAAAATAAAACAGGGGAAGTTGGGTAAGTAGAGTGGCGAGTTGCTGTTTCAGAGGGAGTTCAGGGGAACATTTCCTTGAGGTGGTATTTGAGCGAGGACTGAAGGATATTAGCAAGACATTTGTCTAGGGCAAGTTTCCAGGTGGAAGAACCAGTAAGTGCAACAGCCCTGGGATTGCAGAAAGCTTAGTGTTTGAGTAACAGCATTTGGGTGGCAGAGTGTGGGGAAGTGATGACCACATATCACATAGGCCAAGGTAAAGACTTCAGCTTTTACACCAATATAGAAAGCCACTGGGGATTCTAGGCGAGGAGAGAGTACATACAGAGGAACCAACGAGTTAGTTGTTGCAATTTGAGTGAAAAAAAACTATGATGGTGGCTCTGTCCACAGTGGTAGCAGATAAGAAATGGCTGGACTCTGAACATGTTTTGCAGGTAAATCAGTCAGGCTTTTAAATTTTTATGGATACATAAATGTACATATATATGGGGTACATGTGAAATTTTGATACAAGCATACAATATGTAATGATCAAATAAAGGTAACTGAAATATCCATCACCTCAAGCATTTCTCATCCTTTGTGTTATGAACATTCCAACTCCACTTTTCTAGTTATTTTTTGAAGTATATATTATTAACTATAGTCACCCAATTGTGCTACCCAACACTAGATTTTTTTCCTTCTAACTGTGTATTTTTTTTACTCATTAACCAACCCTTTATCATTCCCCTTTTCCTACTACCCTTCCCAGCCTCTGGTAACCATCATCTACACTGTATTTCCATAAAAGCAACTTCATTTTAAGTTCTGTGATAGAAGTGCTGAACGTGCAGGTTTGTTAAATAGGTATACATGTGCCATAGTGGTTTGCTACACCTATCAACCCATCATCTAGGTTTTAACCTCCACACGCATTAGGTATTTGTCCTAATGCTCTCCCTCCCCTTGCCCCCAACCCACCCACAGGCCCCGGTGTGTGATGTTCCCCTCCCTGTGTCCATGTGTTCTTATTGTTCACCTCCCACTTATGAGTGAGAACATGACGTGTTTGGCTTTCCATTACAGTGTTAGTTTGCTGAGGATGATGGTTTCCAGCTTCATCCATGTCCCTGCAAAGGACATAAACTTATTCTTTTTTATGGCTGCATAGTATTCCATGGTGTATATGTGCCACATTTTCTTTATTCAGTCTATCATTGATGGAAATTTGGGTTGGTTCCAAGTCTTTGGTATTGTGAACAGTGCTGCAATAAACATAAGTGTGCGTGTATCTTTATAGCAGAATGATTTATAATCCTTTGGGTATATACCTAGTAATTGGATTGCTGGGTCAAATGGTATTTCTGGTTCTAGATCCTTGAGGAATCACCGCACTGTCTTCCACAATGGTTGAACTAATTTACACTCCTACCAACAGTGTAAAAGTGTTCCTATTTCTCCGCATCCTCACCAGCATCTGTTGTTTCCAGGTTTTTTTAATGATTGCCATTCTAACTGGTGTGAGATGCTAGCTCATTGTGGTTTTGATTTGCATTTCTCCAATTGATCAGTGATGATCAGCTCTTTTTCATGTTTCCTGGCTGCATACATATCTTCTTTTGAGAAGTGTCTGTTCATATCCTTTGCCCACTTTTTGATGGGGTTGATTTTTCTTGTAAATTTGTTTAAGTTCCTTGTAGATTCTGGATATTGGACCTTTATCAAATGGATAGATTGGAAAAATTTTCTCCCATTCTGTAGGCTGCCTGTTCACTCTGATGACAGTTTCTTTTGCTGAGCAGAAGCTCTTTAATTTAATTAGATCCCATTTGTCAATTCTGGATTTTGTTGCAATTGCTTTTGGTGTTTTAGTCATGAAGTCTTTGCCCATGCTTATGTCCTGAATGGTATTGCCTAGGTTTTTTCAAGGGTTTTTATAGTTTTAGGTTCTACATTTTAGTCTTTAGTCCACCTTAATTTTTGTATAAGGTGTAAGGAAGGGGTCCAGTTTCTGTTTTCTAAATATGGCGAGCCAGTTTTCCCAGTACCATTACCATTTATTAAATAGGGAGTCCTTTCCCCATTGCTTCCTTTTGTCAGGTTTGTTGAAGATCAGATGGTTGTAGATGTGTGGTGTTATTTCTGAGGCCTCTGTTCTGTTTCACTGGTGTATATATCTGTTTTGGTACTAGTACCATGCTGTTTTGGGTACTGTAGCTTTTGTAGTATAGTTTGATATCAGGTAGTGTGATGCCTCCAGCTTTGTTCTTTTTGCTTAGGATTGTCTTGGCTATACGGGCTCTTTTTTGGGTCCATATGACATTTAAAGTAGTTTTTTTCTAGTTATGTGAAGAAAGTCAATGGCGGCTTGATGGGAATAGCATTGAATCTATAAATTACTTGGGGCAATATGGCCATTTTCATGATATGGATTCTTCCTATCCATGAGCATGGAATTTTTTTCAATTTGTTTGTGTTCTCTCTTATCTCCTTGAGCAGGGGGCCTTGAAGGCCCTTCATGTCCCTTGTAAGGTGTATTCCTAGGTATTTTCTTTTTTTTTTGAGACGGAGTCTCACTCTGTCGCCCAGGCTGGAGTGCAGTGGTACGATCTGAGCTCACACTGCAAGCTCTGCCTCCTGGGTTCACACCATTCTCCTGCCTCAGCCTCCCGAGTAGCTGGGACTACAGGTGCCCACCACCACACCCAGCTAATTTTTTTTATTTTTTTATTTTTAGTAGAGATGGGGTTTCACCATGTTAGCCAGGATGGTTTCGATCTCCTGACCTCGTGATCTGCCCACCTCGGCCTCCCAAAGTGTTGGGATTACAGGCAAGAGCCACCGTGCCCAGCCAGGTATTTTCTTTGTAGCAATTGTGAATGGGAGTTCACTCATGATTTGGCTGCTTGTCTTTATTGGTGTATAGGAATGCTTGTGATTTTTGCACATTGATTTCCAGTCCTGAATATCCTTGTTAATTTTCTGTCTTGTTGATCTAATATTGACAGTGGTGTGTTAAAATCTCCCATTATTATTGTGTGGGAGTCTAAGTCACTTTGTATGTCTCTAAGAACTTGTTTTATGAATCTGGGTGCATCTGTATTGGGTGCATATATATTTAGGATAGTTAGCTCTTCTTGTTGCATTGATCCCTTTACCACGATATAATGCCCTTGTCTTTTTTGAACTTTGTTGGTTTAAAGTCTGTTGTATCAGAGACTAGGATTGCAATCCCTGCTTTTTTGTTGTTGTTGTTGTTTTCCATTTGCCTGGTAAATATTCCTCCATCTCATTATTTTGAGCCTGTGTGTGTCTTTGCATGGGAGATGGGTCTCCTGAATACAGCACACTGATGGGTCTTGACTCTTTATCCAATTTGCCAGTGTATGTCTTTTAATTGGGGCATTTAGCCCATTTACATTTAAGGTTAATATTGTTACGTGTGAATTTGATCCTGTCATCATGATGCTAGCTGGTTATTTTGCACATTAGTTGATGCAATTTCTTCATAGTGTCATTGGTCTTTATATTTTGATATGTTTTTGCAGTGGCTGGTACTGGTTTTTCCTTTCCATATTTTGTGCTTCCTTCAGGAGCTCTTGTAAGGCAGGCCTGGTGGTGACAAAAATCCCTCAGCATTTGCTTGTCTGTAAAGGATTTTATTTATCCTTTACTTGTGAAAGTTAGTTTGGCTGTATATGAAACTCTGGGTTGAAAATTCTTTAACAGTGTTGAATATTGGCTTCCACTCTCTTCGGGCTTATAGGGTTTCTGCAGAGATCCACTGTTAGTCTGATGGCTTCCCTTTGTAGGTTACCTGACCTTTCTCTCTGTTGCCCTTAACATTTTTCTTTCATTTCAACTTTGGAGACTGTGGCAATTATGTGTCTTGGGGTTGCTCTTCTCAAAGAGTATCTTTGTGGTGGTCTCTGTACTTCCTGAATTTGAATGTTGGCCTGTCTTGCTACGTTGGGGAAGTTCTCCTCGATAATATCCTGAAGAGTGTTTTCCAACTTGGTTACATTCTCCCCATCACTTTCAGGGACCCCAGTCAATCGTAGGTTTGGTCTTTCCACATAGTCCCATATTTCTTGGAGGCTTTGTTCATTCCGTTTCAATCTTTTTTCTCAATCTTTCCTTCACGCCTCATTTCAGTAAGTTGATCTTCAATCTCTGATATCCTTTCTTCCACTGATCAATTCGGCTATCGATGTGTGAAAAGAACTCCTGCAGCTAGCTCGGTGTCTGCCTGAACAGCTGCCCAGTTTTGTTTTTGAAACCCAGAGCCCTGGGGGTGTAGGCACATGAGGGAATCTCTTGGTCTGTGGATTTCTAAAACCAGGGGAAAAGTGTGGTATCTGGGCCAGATAACACAGTCCCTCACAGCCTCCTTTGGCTGGGAAAAGTAGGCTCCCCTGCTCCTTCCACTTCCTGCATGAGGCGACACCCCACTCTGCTTCTGCTCACCCTCTTTGGCCTTACCCACTGCCTACCCAGTCCCAATGAGATGAACAGGATACCTCAGTTGGAAATGCAGAAATTACCCACTTCTGCATTCATCTCACTTGGAGCTGCAGACTGGAGCTGTTCCTATTTGGCCATCTTGCCAGCCAATCCTAAAAGCATTTTTTTTTTAGGCTCCCACATATGAGAGTATGTGCTATTTGTTTTTCTGTGCCTGGCTTCTTTCACTTAACATCACAATATCCTCCAGTTCCATGTTGCAAATAACAGGATTTCATTCTTTTTTAGGGCTCAAGATGACATCATGTACACTTTCTTTATCCATTGATCCATGCATGGACTCTCAGGTTGATTATGTATCTTGGCTATTGTGCATACTGCTGCAATGCAGGTATCTCGATATACAGATCTTCTTACCTTTGGGTTTACAACCAGCAGTGAGAATGCTGGATTACACAGTAGTTCTTTTCTTCATTTTTTGAGGAAACTTCATACTCTTCTCCTTAGTAGCTTTAGTTATCTACACTCCCACCAACAGTGTACAAGTATTCTTTCTCCACATCCTCACCAGCATCCATTATTGCCTGTCTTTTGGATAAGTCATTTAAACTGGGGTGTGATAGCTCATTTAGTTTTGATTTGCATTTCCCTGGTGATTAGTGATGTTGAGCATTTTTTCATATACCTGTTGCCCGTTTTGATATCTTCTAAGAAACACCTATTCAGATCTTTTGCCTATTTTTAATTTTTTTTTGCTATTAAGCTCTTTATATATTCGTTTTTAATTCCTTGTCAGATGAGTAGTTTGCAAATATTTTTGCCCATTCTGTAGCATATTTCTTCACTTTGTTTCCTCTGCTGTGCAGCTTTTTAGCTTGATGTCATCTCATTTGCTCATTTTCACATTGGTTGTGTTTTTGAGGTCTTACAAGAAATCTTTGCCCAGCTTAAACTTTTGGTTTCCCCAATTTTCTCTTCATAATTTCAAGTCTTACATTTAAGTCTTTAATCTATTCTGATTTTTGTATATGGTGAGAGAGGGGTCTAATTTCATTCTTCTGCATTTGGATACTCAGTTCTGCCTGCACCATTTATTATAGAAGAGATTGTCCTTTCCCCAATGTATGTTCTTAGTGTCTTTGTCAAAAGAGTTGACTGTAAGTAAATACATGGATTTACTTCTGGGTTCTCTATTCTGTTCCCTTGGTCTGTGTCTTGTTTTTATGCTTCTATCATGCTGTTTTTGTTACTATAGCTTTGTAGTACATAATTTGAGGCCCAGTAATGTGATGCCTCTGGCTTTGCTATTTTTGCTCAGGATGGCTTTGGCTGTTCTGGGTCTTTTGTGGTTCCATACAAATTTTAGATTTTTTTTTCTCTATGTCAGTGAAGAATGTCACTGGTATTTTGGTAGCAATTGCATTGAATCTGTAGATTGCTTTGGGTAGTAAAGCTGATGGATTGAAACTGGGTTGGAAGAGAGTCAAGATTCTAAGCAACTATAGGGATGGATTTATCATTCTTAAGACAAGACTTGGGAAAAGTGGGGCAGGAAAGGGGGAAAGGTATGTTTTGTAGATGTAGATAAAAGAACTGGGAACAAATACTTGGAGGAAGCAAGGAGGCAGATTTTGCCATGTTGTAAGAAAGGCAGTTATGAAACAAATAGAGCCATCTCAAAATGGACAGGACATCCTTTTTGTCTATCACTAGAAGTAATCAACCTAGATTCATGTGTATCAGCTATGACAGAAGGAACTATGGGAATTGATTTATAAGGATTCCTCTAAAGATTTTACTCACGTTTTATCTTTCATTAATATTAAATACGAAAACATGGGTATAGTAGCTAGTATCAGGTATCAAATTACTTTCCATTATTTCTAAAAATTCTATTTTAAAAACTTCCGAGATTTAAATTCAAATCTGAAAATCTGTCCTACCCCCTTGAGTCAACATGAAAGTGACTCCAAGAACAGGGACTTTATTAGTCTCTTATGAGCTTTATTAGTGTTATTCCAATATTTAGGACATAGTAGGCACTCAATATGTGAATGACAGGTTATACGAACAAACTGAAGTTTATACTTACGTTTCAAGGTTTTTGATATTGCCAAATGGCCCCCTAAAAGTGATATACCAACTCATATTCTATTCACCAAAATATGACAGGATTTCCCCACAACTCTGCTAATAGCAAGATGTACATTATTTTTATTGTCAGTCAGCATTGTTTTTATTTGTATTTTTTGTAACCAATGGGGTTCAAGGTGTTTCATGTTTTGTTGGCCATTTGTATCTTTTTGTGAATCGAAATTTGGTATGTTTTGCCTATTTTTCAGTTGGTCTTTTCTTACCAATTGAAACAAATTCTTCATATACTTAAGACATTAAAAACACTGTCATATGTTGCAAATATTTTCCATTACCTTCTGCTGTACAAAAACTTAAACTATACAAAATTTCCTTTGTTTTTAGCTGTCATACTTTGCTAATCACAATTTCATTCACTCGATGTGTTACATTACTAATTATTTACATATAAGGAAATGTACTAAGTATTATGTGTGTGTGGGTACCAGATAAAAACCAGAATAACTGGACACATGGCTCTGAGGCAGTATGCAATAAGTGATTTAATAGTGGTAGTTTGCTCTAAGTGTTTTTATGAGAGAAAGGGTATCTTCTCCTTGAATGATTCAGATAGCCTTTAAAAAGTTAAAATCTGAATCAGGCCTTGAAGAAGAGTTAGGATTTGAAAGGGTGAAGGTGTAAGTAAACTGCACGAGCAGAAGTAGATAACAGAA
This sequence comes from Homo sapiens, assembly GCF_000001405.40. Lineage (NCBI taxonomy): Eukaryota > Metazoa > Chordata > Mammalia > Primates > Hominidae > Homo > Homo sapiens. Next base: position 115,829,020 of record NC_000005.10, read on the forward strand.
AACACAAGGCATCTTCAAAGAATGGTGAATAATCCAGTTTGGGTTAAATAATGTAGGCAGAGTATTTATATAAATACGATTTGAACTGTATTCAAATAGTAGTATTTGCTGAACTGTTTTCTGAATAGTTTTCATTACGTGGCCTGTAGCTGGCTTCCTTAGTGCCAAAAGTTTACTCAGCATATTATAATCCTTGGAAAATGAAGCAGAAACTGCATGAAAAGAGATTTTTATTTTCACACTCCTTCAACACCTAAGGCTTTCTCACTTTGTGTTACAACTAAATTGGTTGACTAATGTCATGTAATCTGAGAAATACACTGTACTTCGTTCTAGTAGATATTTAAGGTCCCTTTAGGACTGAAACTTACAGAAATCAGATTCCAGGAATTATCCAATCTCATTTTGATTTCGGATAAACATTAATTTGCCTTATTCCTTAAATATGGTGAATTCATTATGAAGTCTTTGGCATACTTTTAAAGATGGAAGTACAATATTGCAATATTATACATATACTTTGTGTGCCATGGGTCATCTATGCACAGTAAGATGAAGCATGATATTAATGACATCTATTTAGTCACAAAGAAAATTTAAAATATCACCTGAATGTTCAGTTTTTCCCCCAAGTTTAATCAGACTTGAGAGTTTAAATTAAAAATAAATTGTGTTGTAGGTTCTAGTCACCCAATAACTTATCGGATCCAGGCTTAATTATTGTTTAATGTTGCAAATTTAGCGCAGAATAATTCTTTGAGTAAAGATCAAGAAATAATTAAATATGATTTGAAAAAGTACAAAGTCCAGGCCCGGCACGGTGGCTCACACCTATAATCCCAGCACTTTGGGAGGCCAAGGCGGGTGGATCACCTGAGGTCAGTCAGGAGTTTGAGACCAGCCTGGCCAAAATGGTAAAACCCTGTCTCCACTAAAAATAACAAAAAATTAGGCGGGTGTGGTGGCAGGTGCCTGTAATCCCAGCTACTCAGGAGGCTGAGGCAGGAGAATCACTTGAACCCGGGAGGTAGAGGTTGCAATGAGCCAAGATTGTGCCATTACAGTCCAGCCTGGGCAACAAGACCGAAACGCTGTCTCTTTAAAAAAAAAAAAAAAAAAAAAAAGTGCAAAGTCCTATGTATTCTTCAGAGTTGTTAGGAAAGAAAACAAATAAGGTTAGCTACATATTTAGCTAACCTTAGATTTAATAAACTATTAAGTTATTTAGGTCAAAAAGAATAACTAAATGGATGCTACAAATTTCAACCAGTATTTTCGATTTTTTGAGGTCTATCATCTGAACCCTCAGTGGCAAACAATACGAAAATTCAACATATTTTTATTTGTTAAATATATGAATATAATTAAATATATTCCTTCAGTAAACTGAACTGGACAAAACTAGAGAACAGACCTTTTCCATACTCATTTAACTTTAAAATGATATTACTTTGAATTCTACTACATACCATCTTAGATCCTGTTTTGAAATTCCATTCACATTACATTCGATTTACTAGAATGCCTTTTTTTTTCTTTTTTGAGATGGGGTCTCACTCTGTTGCTCAGCAGGAATGCAGTGGTACAATCACGACTCACTATACCCTTGAACTTCTGGGCTCAGGGGATCCTCTTGCCTCTGCAGCCTAATAATTTTTTTTTAATTTTTATTTTTTTGTAGAGTTGGGGATCTTGCCTTGCTAACCAGGCTGGTCTCAAACTTGTGGCTTCACGCAATCCCCACACCTCAGCCTTCCAAAGTGCTGGGATTACAGGTGTAAGCCACCATGCCTGATCTGGAATGCTTTCTAAAAATATGGCATTATAAACATAATACTAAAGAGAAAAAAAGGTTAAATTTCACTTCAAGAAATTATCAGTCTAATAGCATCAGTAAAAATGGCACTTTTAGTCATGGCATAAAATATACAATAAGGCTATTTTTCAATTATTGTTTTCAAGTTGGAAAATGCATTATGAAACACTCAAAAAGATGCTACTGGGTTTACTCATCAAGTGCTTTTGACACCATATAAATGACAGAGTAACACCACAGTTATGTGATTGGGACTCAAGAATCCTTAAATGTTAGGACTGAAAACAGGTATATGACTTATTTGTCCAGAATTTATATTTTTCTGTATCCCAATAAAATAATTAAGCCATGTGTATTGTGTAAAATTACAGTCTTTCAGTCTGTCCTATGTGCTTGCTCTCCTGGCTAGATATTAGCTAAAAATTAGCAAAAACAGCCATTTCCCCTATTATTCCCCAGCAAAGATGTGAAACCAAAACGCCTAACCTTTTCTGCCTGGTGGACTGCCCTCTACTGGACTATTTGAGGTATTCAGCCAGCAGGTCAATGTGACTAAAAAGGTAAACATAGAGATAAATGTAAACATTAAAAAAAAAGGAACCCTTTAGTATATTAACTTTTACCATGAAAACAATTTCAGTCATTTTGAGAACTGACAATGAAGATGTTTATACAGTCTTAGTCTCCTTTTCAACCTTGGAGGCAGATCTGCAGCAATAATAGTAACAAGTAGGAGCAATGGGTGTACTATCATGACCATCTTTTATGATGACTGGTGCATTAATACAAATCACATTTTTCTGAGTCCATTCATGCTATGGATGTTTTCTTATGCATAAACATAGAGTAGACACATACTAAATAGATCACATCTGTTAAGTCTCTTGCCACAAGCATCAAAACTTTTCAGAGCTGTCTCTTCCGTGAAAATCCATTTCATGTAGTAGCAAGTTGATTTTCTTTGTGGTTCATCCCCACGCCTGAGACTTGCAGTAATGTAAAACCAGTTTACCATCACTGCCAAAACACTACAAAAAAAAAAGGCAATAAATCAAACTCAATCTTTTATTATTCTTAGATGAAACTAAGAAGATAAATGCCACATGTATCATAAATATCCACACACGTATATTAAGTTACCTATGTTACAGGCTATCTCTTTCAAAGGATGCCTGTTTCTATCAGACACATATTAATAATCCTAAGTGTTTAATAAAATCTGTCCTTTAAGCATCTTAGGCATGAATGAGCTTATGTATTTTAATCTTGTCCTTTCTCTACATGTCCAACCACAATATATGTAATTTTAGCTGTTTTCTAGTAGTGGTGCTAGTATGTGTACTCTAATAACTATTACAATGACTCTGTAAGATGTTAAACAGTCATTCTTATGCTGTTTTCTCAATTTCTTGTAGGCAGATTTGGATAACAGATTATAAGAACAATGTAGAAGAAATCAAATGTAGATAAAGAAAAAGCCTTACTTTATGAGAATCATGAAGATGACTTTGAAATGTAATTTATTCCTTGGTTCTTCAATCATTGTATAATTTATTAATATCTTTCTATGATCAAGATGTTAGATAACAGAACAAGAAAGTCATCTTTTCTACCCCAGAAAATTAAGAATGGCATGCCATCTCTTGAAATAAAAATGTGAATTAACAATACTACACAATATACATATTATACAGATGTGCATACTCGATTAAGAAAAAAAAGCAGTAATTTCTTTCTTTTTTTTTTTTTTTTTTTTTTTTTTTTACCTCATAGAGAGTTCCAACTTCTTGGTCTGGGGAAGGAGCAAAGGACTGATTCACATAAATAAACTACAAGAAAGGAAGGAAAAACAGAGATGTTTAATGGTATCCTGATTAATCTGCATTTTTCTGCATTCCAATCAGCTAGCTATTTTGTATTGTTTTCACAATTGAAGAAAGCTTCTCTGAACTCCTAACTTTTCTAAATAGTCAATTTAAAGAGATCATTACGAAGATCTCATTTTTCCTCCAGAGGAATAAAAATAACACAATTCCAGTTCCTAGAACAGTGGTTCCTAACTTTGTATAACTAAGAAACTTTTAAATATTTTTTACAAATAGCTTTTGAAGAGCTGGCTATTCAAGAAATTACATTATCGTAAAAATGTCCCCACTTACCCACAAAGAATTTCTCCTAAGATAATTACACAGGCACACAGCCAAAAATCAATATGTCTAATATTCAAGGTAGTTTGTACACTTTCCTTGGGTAAATGTATGACATATATACTTAGGTTTTTTAATAAAGTCACTTACAGGCAAATGAAGCAGGAAAAAAAGTAACAATTAAAACCTTATAACCTTGCTCTTTAAAGGATTCACTGCTCAATGTTTCAGTTTAGTCTGTTTTTACTAAAATATTTCTAGTACTTAAAGTCACAGTGTTGAAGTGCCCTTTAATAATTTTCTTTTTGGAAAACAAAACTTTATTTGCAGGTAACATATTTAGTTTTCCTTTAATATCCAAATTTGGGACTAAAATGTCCTGGATTAAACTTAGTATTTAAAAAAAAAAGTATCAGAATAGTTGGTTGACAGATACTATTTTGATCACCAACCATGAACCATCAATATTGCTTGCATCTCTCTTAGCCAATATAGTGTGGTGATTAAGTGTATAGGCTCTGAGACACACCTGGGTTTGAATCCTGGCTTTACAAATAATCTCTCATCCTCTTTATTTGTAAGATATGGAAAATAATAGGACCTATACCTCTTGGGTCTGTTAGGAAAGACAAAATGAGATAATACACTAACTTTCAGTGCCTGGTATATGTACTCAATAGACGTTATTGTTAAATTATCTTTAAATAGTTCATGCTGAAATATCAATTTGTGGTTATGGCTGAGTAGAGTTCTGGCACAAAAATTTCAGAACTGTAACAGAAAACAATGTGCATTATAATGTGAATTTTTTGTAATACAGATATAATTTGTGTTCAGTGCCTGACAATTTATGAGCAAATCCAGATTTTACTCTTGTACATTATAAATGAGGGGAAGGGCTCTCAATAACAGCTTAGTTTATCAGTGTCTATGATGTGCTGAGAATTGTACATGGAACTATGAAGATTAATGTGATCTCTTCCCTCAATGAGCTTATAATCTGTAGGAGAGGCAGAGACACACATGAATAAATACGGGTGAGAAAAGTACATCTAATGAAGTATGTAGCGTACAGAAATGTACACTACTCTAGCCTAGCAAAAGGGTCAGTGATGGCTTTGTGGGAAATAAGAAATAAGCAGGATTTAACCAGGTGAAGAAAGCAGTAATCAGGACTTCACAGGCAAAGGAGACAAAGAGTAAGATGGTGTTGTGTTCACAGAAAACAGCAGACTCGATGGAGCAGAGAACCAACCAAAGGCATTCAATGTGATTTTGTAACAGGTGTTAACTGGAAATTTTAAAAAAGCAATTCAGTTAGTTCAAAAGACAGAAAGACATAAATCTGTTTGCATACTATAAAGCTCTATATAAGTAACAGGTTAACATCATCAATTCCACTGCAGAATCGCTAAGTGGCGTATAATTTGTTACTTTAAAGTACATGTAGTTACTCCAGGTTTGTGAAAGTAAAATTCCATGGAAGTATTATTTCCAAACTGCAAGAACTTGGGCAGACAAAATTAGTTAGTTTTATTAATTACTTTGCCTTTAAATCAGCTTTTTTTTCTTTCTGCTTTTAAATCAGCAGTCTTTAAATTGATGTCTCTAGTTATTCTGGTTATAAAGCTCTCTGTCTAGTGGATTCCTCATGGTTCACTGGAATAGCATTTTCTGCTAATAGTCTGTGCCCCGATTAAGTCAGTTATGCAGGATATGAAAGCCTTATTTCACACTTTTTCCTTAAGCATCTTTGCTGTCAAAGTTTGACGACAGCCTAACTTTCTAAGTCATGCCCTCTTTCCCGTCCCCTACATTTCCAAATGATTTCAAGTCCAGTAATTTTAACAGAATGCATCCTGATGTTCATTATTCTGGGTTGATACTCTCAGGTACTTCAGATGTTTTTTCAATATGTAGTTTCAAATCTCTTACCTTAAATGACATTTTTACAGTATTTTTTCTGTTCCCTTGCTCTGGTTTTCTTCACAGACTCTTGTCCAAAGGTTGACTCACTTTTTAAATTTTTTTCATCTTCTATTTTTCTTAACATATTATCCGTTGTTTATGTTCCTCCTACTTTAGTCTCCATTTCTGAAATAATTTTCTTTTATTTCTAATTCTTTTCCTGAGCTTCATTTCTTAGTTTTACTAATGCTGATCGTTTTTCTTTCATGTCTTATACCATCTTATTGTTTTTAGCTCATTTTGAAATACAAGGTTACAATTTTCGACTTGTCTTATAGGTGTATATTTCTGGCTTGATTTCATCGTCTCTAGGGATGCTGTTCTTTTCCGCATCTCGTTTTTCTTGTAACACTGTACGGGATTTGACCTTGTTATTCCTGTTATTGTTTTTATGTGAAATTAGTTTTCCTCAACTTTTAGAATGAGGTGAATTAGGGTAGTTTTTCTAACTTCACAGAGCTCCCCTTGTTGTTTTTTGTATACTATTCAAAACGATGGAGGCCTGCTTTGAGCTTTCCAGGCTCTGTTCCCCACCATTTTGATCTGGTCTTTCTCTTTCCTTCCTTTCTCATGTCCCTACCCTTTTCAATTTTCATTTCACTTCCTGAAATTTCTCCTCAGTATGGGGTCCCAGAGCCCTCCTGGGTCCATTTTGAGATTGTTTGAGCCCTTCAAGTCCTTAGTGCAAATGTATTGTCATCACGTGCTACAGAAGAGGGCAAAACTCCTTAGTCAGCTTCTATTCTTAAATTGGCTCACTTTACTTCCCGGTCAGGATCTATTAGCGTTTTTGAGGTTCTACTTTTCTCAGTGCCGTCAGATGCCAACCCTGTTTCTTACTGCTTCTTTCAGCACAGATGCTGATACCATGCAGGTCCTGTGGTTGCTGGTGGTTTGTCCCCACCAACATGTGTTTTGGGGCTCATGGGGATACCTTATCACCTAGTTTTGTTACAAATACTAATCAGGGGTTTTTGGTTTTGCTATCTAGTTGACTAAGTTTTGTGAGAATTTCAGAGAGATTCACGTGTACCTTCTGATTCCACCATCTTCCCAGAATTCCTAGCATTACTTTTTTTCCTTTAACATCCATTTTGCTAGATAAAATTCAGGAGGTATCAGTTTTAGTTTAATCTAGGAAAATGACAAAATAATTCTTATGTTTCCTATTGCTTAAATGGGAAAGGATAATCATATTCACTACAGAGGATTTAATTTAACCCTTATGAAATTGTTTTCATAGGGTAAAATGGCTGAATGATGGCAATTTTATATGGTTCAACCTACTATGTATTGGTATCAATCAAGTCCTTTCAGGTTACTGAATGAATACAGGCAATACAAAATTTCAAGACTCTTAACACAGAACACAGTATCATTTCATTTTTCTTAAATCTCCATGTATTTCTAAACTAATGCATTAAATTACTCAGTACTCTTATTTTACCAACTCTTCATGTTGCATCTTTAGCAAAGATGCAGCCTCTGCTCATTTCTCTCAAGTGTATGTCCTCATTCCCCTGACTTTTCCATTTAGCTTCACTTTTGTGAGAGCACTTGCAGCCAAACTCTTAGATCAGAGTCAGTTTTTTGCTCCTCCCTGACAAAAAGAAATTCCAACATGTCCTGCTTTAATGATAGTTCACTTGTTTTACCCATGCACACGCCTGTGTTCAGAAGCAAATATTTCCCCCAGTGCCCCCAAAAATTCCTGATTTTATTTAAAAAATACTTAGCAATTCTTCAATTACCTATCCACTCATGCTATCTGAGTTAATACTATCCAAGATTGTGATCTATTTGCAGATAAAGGTGTCTCATACATATAATTATGTATATATAAAAAACACTTAATGTGCCAAATACATGTAGACATTTAAATTTCTGTAGTCAAATGCCAAATTAAAATGCAGTGGCATTTAAAGAATTAACCTTTACTACAACTGCCACTGTGAAGTGCTTAACGTGTACTGTTAACATGAAGTATTTCCTAGTTCTTTCACAATATATGGCAAAGATACATTGCTTACCTCAAGAAAAATAGGAAAAAAGTAACTGCTATCAAAACAAACTGAAAAAATCCAAAACTTCTGTAGTAATGTACAGATATTGCAATGCTCTATGATAGATTTTTATGCATGGGTATTCATGCATACTTTCATGTGACTTTCTGAGGAAAACAATACAGGAGGCAAAAAATAAATACATAAACTGGTTCACATTGTAAAACAAATCTAAAACATTTCATTTCAGAATTCCCCAGAGAATCCTTTGATAAAGTACATAAACTCCACTAACAAGAGATAAGGCAGGGCACAGTGGCACACTCATGTAATTCTAGCACTTCTGAGGCGGCCCCGTCTCTACTAAAAACACAAAAATTAGCCAGGCTTGGTGGTGCACTCCTGTAATAATCCTGGCTACTAGGGTGGCTGAGGCAGGAGAATCGCTTGAACCAGGAGGAGAAGGTTGCAGTGTGTCACTGCACTCCAGCCTGGGCAACAGAGCGAGACTGTCTCAAAAAAAAAAAATGAATAAATAAAAATAAAGGGATAAAAGGGCATAACAAAAGCGACATATGTGGCTCCATATGCATTTCTATAAACAACAGTTAATTCACTGTTGCCTAGGAACTACTGCAAATTTTTGTAGGAAAACATCACCATTGGTTTCATACCAACTGTTCTGAGGCCACAAGTTTAAGAAACTTTTTGATGAAGTCAATGAGTCCTTGGATGGTTCGTGTTCGCTCTACTGCCCACTTCTTTGTTTTCATAATAGGAGTGTCTCCCACAGCCTTTAGCAAAATGTCAACTGTAAAAGAAGAATAAAATTTACTGACAATTACACTGAAACATCTAAAGAGAATGGAATATAAAAGACTTAGAAATCAGAAATATTTAATCTACATCCATCTTACGTATTTATGATACTGAAGATATGTGAGAGATGTAAAAATGTTAGATTCTTTTCCATCATTTTTTTCTTGATCCTACAAAGTTCTCCCAACAGGACTAATTTTTAAAATGCCTTTTATCTTAACAGGCAGTTCCAAAGAGAGGAAATACAAATGATCAATACACAAACAATATTTAAGTTCACAAAAAGCAAAGTAAAATAATGTCATGTCCCTTTTCACCCACCAAACTAGTTAAAATTAGAGTAATTACCAGTGTAGATGATACTACTTTTGAGAATGTAAAATGGTATACCCTTTGTGGAATGCAGTATGGTAATACAGATCCTAATAAAGGTATACTTTGATTCAATAATACTTCTAGGAATCCAGTGTAAGAAAATATGAGATGTGTGAAAATTCACTTAAAAAGATTTCACCTCCATTTAAGCATTTATTTTTATATGAAACACTGGTAAACCTAAATACCCAAAAAGGATATTTGGAGGTGACTGATTAAATAGAATGTAGTAAACCGCATACACTTTTAACTGCCTGGGGTTCGAATCCTGGCTCTGCCACTTGCTGGGTATATATGTGGATATTTAATCTCTCCAACAGCATGTATAATATCTTAAATTCATTAAAAACCATCACAAACACATTCACATAAATATGGAAGAATATGCAACAAAATGATATTTCTCAGTAGTGACATTGTAGGCAATGATTACTTGGATTTACTTATGCTGTTTGTAACTACCAAATTTTCTGTAATAAACTTTTTAATAAAGGAAAGCAATAAGTTATTAACAATAGAACAACCAAAGCCAAAAAGAAGTTGCAGAAAGAGAAATCTTAAGGTTTCAACGATCCAAAACACAGATATGCAAACCCAAACCCTATGAATCTGTCTCTCAGACATAAAGTTATTTGCTAAAACAAAACAAACATACATCTGGCTGGGCGCGGTGGCTCACGCCAGTAATCTCCACACTTTGGGAGGCTGAGGCAGGAGGATCACTTGAGGTCAGGAGTTCAAGAGGGCCCAGTCCCCTTCCAACTTCTTGTTCACGACCAGCCTGGCCAACATGGTGAAACCCCATCTCTACTAAAAATACAAAAACTTAGCCAGGCGTGGTGGTGCATGCCCGTAATCTCAGCTACTTGGGAGGCTGAGACAGGGGAATAGCTTGAACCCGGGACGCGGAGGTTGCAGTGAACCGAGATTAAGCCACTGCACTCCAGCCTGGGTGACAGACTGAGACATCCTCTCAAAAAAAAAAAAAAAAAAATCTACAGTCAAAAAGCAAGACACATTGAAAGCAAAACAGTGTATTGCTGCCCCCTAAAGTTAACTCTATTCTATTACACCCTTCTTGCTCCATTCTTTAGGTATTAAATATTGGGGCCAAAAGATCAGAGGTCATTTTATTCAAGTTTACTCCTGGAATGAACGCATCTAGAACACATGATCTTTATCTTCCTACTAAAGAACTACTTAATTATCCTAGGTCCAGTTATCTTAGGAATAGGAATGAATTTGGAGATAACGTGGGATTTTAGTTAGCCTATCTTTCATACCTCCTTTCACTGCTCCCTCAAATCCCCTGGGGCTATCAATAAATCGATTAATTCAATTAAACATTTCCAGAAAGTGAAGCAGGAAATATCATGAGTTATGCTACCAAGGATGAAGTGTAAGACAGTGAGAAACCAGAGAAGGAAAATAATTTAATTATAGCTGCCCTCTCTTTTTAATTTTAAAGGTGATTTGCTTGTAGTTCTGAACCCGGATACACATTAGAATCAACTAGGGAAACACTTACTCCCCAGGAAACCTAACATACCTCCAGTGCCAAAACCTTGGTCTGTTTCAACAATCTTTCTTCTGTAGATTAACAAAGGCTGAGGATACAAAACAGTTAAGCTGCTTTCATCATATTATCCTCAACAAATAATGACAAGCACAAGGTAGGAATAGTTAGAAACTAAGTTTTATATTGGAGAGGCAAACTCAAATGCTAACAAGAGCCAGAAAATAAAAATCTCATCCTTAAATGACAGTTCAATTTGCAAAAAAATACTGTCCAGACCAAGAAAATATGCCCTCGGGCAATATTTAGATTGTAAGCCATTTTTTTTAGCTTTTGTTTTGCACAGCTATCATCAGAGTCAAGTAACAAGTTTTGACTAAGACTGTTAGACCTTAAAACGAATCTCCGAACGTCCGCTCTTGCCTATAGTAAATTGGAAGAAAAAATGCAACAAAACACTGTAAAACCTGCGGAATTCTTTTGAAGAAAGATTCCAGTGGCTATCCATGGAAATACTTATAGTGCATCAGGTGGAAATGGGAGTCTGATTTAAAGTGGGAAGGGGGGCAGTCTTGGGAGAGAATTATCCTCCACAGTAGCAGAAGTTGAAGAAAAAGCAATGAGACCAATGTCTTTTTTTTTTTTTTTTTTGAGGCGGAGTTTCGCTCTTGTTGTCCAGGCTGGAGTGCAATGGCGAGACCTCCGCCCACTGCCACCTCCGCCTCGCGGGTTCAAGCGATTCTCCTGCCTCAGCCTCCCGAGTAGCTGGGATTACAGGCGCGCGCCACCACACCCATCTAACTTTTATATTTTTAGTAGAGATGGAGTCTTACCATGTTGGCCAGGCTGGTCTCGAACTCTTGACCTCAGGTGATCCACCCGCCTCAGCCTACCAAAGTGCTGGGATTACAGGAGTGAGCCACCGCGCCCGGCCAGAGACCACTGTCATCTTAAGACAGAACGGGGAAAACGTCTAAGGACGAAATCAGCCTCTCTGAATCGAGGATGCTTATATGCTGCTTTTCCCATAGGCAACTCTAACTCTAAACAGAGTGCTTTAGAACACGTAATTTTAGCAATCTCTTTTACAAAGGGAAACATTCTCAAGCAATAAAGGGTTGAGGATAGCTGACTCAAGCAATGAAATAACTCACAAAGGTTCCAAAATGTGTTTCTTAAAAAGGTAACATCTATGCCTTTAGCTTTCCCTTAGCAGTCTTCATTCTGCATAAGAATTTGGTTTTTGGTTTAAGGAGTGAATTCACAACCAACTGGGAGGGGGAAAAAAGCAAAAGCGAGTTAAGTTGGAAGGCATGAATTCTAATCCAGGCTTTGCCAATGACCACCCCTACCACCATAAAACATTACTCAAATAATTAGCTCCTGTGTTAAGTACCTGGAATTACCGAGACCCCCCTCCCCCCGCCCCACTCAGCTCCCTCCCTCCTTCAAAGAGCTCGCAGTCTGGCCAACTCAAAAAAATACAGTATAAAAATAAGTGTGGCAGCCAAGTATCAGGCCCTACACCGATAGACAGAGATGGTATTTTAACACTCAACTTAAAGGCCTTAAAAATCAAAAAGTACACTTCTTTTCTTCTGATGACTGGTCAAAATGCAGGTCTAGGACAGGCGCTCCTCTAAATTTTGCTTCTTTACTGGCCGCCACCCCTACTCGGATGCAATCTGAACCTCCCGCCTCTCTGCCCGGAAATAAATTCAGTTACTTTTTTTCTTGGTGTCGCCAGCAGGTTCCTCTGTTCCCGGGGAAACTGCAGCGGAAGACGGGGGCTCCGGGGTGGTTGTTTCTGGGGAGACATCCGTAAGTCCTTCCCCTCCAGCAGCAATTGAAGTAGGAAGCTGCAACACAGACTGCGGCTCCTCCGCCATCTTGCTTGGAGACACTCGAGAGCGGAAGTAGCGACTGAGCGCGTGCAGTGGGCGTGCTTTTCTCCAGGGAGCGTCGCAAAGGAGGCGCCGGAGTAGGGGGACGCAATTACACAGTGAAACTTGGTGTTCCCGGCTAGTCATTCAAATCGAAGCTGTCGCAGACCTCTGAACGTTAGTAACGCAACATGTGTTTCTCCGCGACTACAGACCTCGGGAGAGGAGCGGTGGGCAACGTGTCTGTGCTCGGTCGAATGCGCACACTCCAGTTAGGCCGCTGGCTCGGACCTAGAAATGTTTCCGCTTTCCTTAGTGCCTGCCCCGCCCAGGCCCCGCCCCTTGGGCCCCGCCCGACGGCTCGGGAGCGCGCGCGGTCGCGTGCGGGAGGGGGCGGGTGGGGAAGGATCGCAGGCGAGATTACGAGGCGAGGCTCGCGCGCCCGCCCCCGCCCTGGCCCCCAGTGCCCACCCGGTCGGCCCGGCACAGCCATGATCAAGGCGATCCTAATCTTCAACAACCACGGGAAGCCGCGGCTCTCCAAGTTCTACCAGCCCTACGTGAGTATCCAGCCGCCGCTGATCCGGGCGAGGGGGAGTCGTTGGCGACGGGCAGCGCCCAGCGCGGCTTTCTCAGAGCGACCCCCTCCGGCGCGCTGCGGCCCTTGTCCCGTCCCGGCCGCCTGGCGCTCGCCAGCTGTCAGCCTCCTGGTGGGTGTGGACAGGGTGCCCACCTCCCTGCCGCGCGGTCAGCCACCGACGTGGCTTTGCCCGGGCGGTTCCTCCGCCCGTCGGTGGGCTGCATGCTTTCCTGGCTGCGCGGGCGAGGCCCTGGAGACTTCCCGGGGCCCGGCCCTCGCCGATCGGGCAGCCGCAGCCCAGCCGCGCCGCGGAGCCCTGCGCCCAGTCCCCAAGAGCCCACCCCGCGCGGCTGCCTTCCTGCCGCCCGCGGCTGCAGTTAGCCCGGGAGGAGGAAGACGGCGTGGAACTCGTTCTTCTCGCCCCCCTCCGCCGACTCCCATCCTTTCCAGGTGGACTTCTTTCTGTTCTTTGGACAGATGGGCTACCGTTTTTCACTGTGGTCCTCTCATAGCACAGGAACTTTGGCTTCCTGCGTTTGATAACTGCACGTTCTGTACAGTCTCTCTTCTGCATGTTTCGATACGTGACAGACTGCCCAGTGTGACTTTCAGGTGTCTCCTTATTGAAAAGGAAGATATGTGAGGACCTAATATTTTTATCAGGCTTTTTACCAGCTGGCTGCAAATTATTTACCCTCGAAGTAACCGGCGACGTTTGTAGTTGACTGATTGGAGCTGTGGTTCTATACCTAAAAGTTATGATTTCAGCTTCTGGTTTGGCATTTTTCCACGTATGGGAATTTGCCCTCATTTATAGTTTTTTTCTATTTATGAAGAATAGTAGCATTTGTAGAACTTCTCTTTTAACGTGTAAATACTGTTTAGTATGGACAAGTGCAGGAGGCATTAAGGTAGTAGAGATAAGTGATTTGTTGATGATCGAGGAAGGGTTTTATAGAGTTATGTGCTTACCTGAGGGCAGAATTCGCTAGCTGAAACACATAAAATTGGACTCCCAGTGGTAGGATTAATGTGAGGTATAACTGTTGTGTGGTATTGTGGCACTTTGCTTATAGCAAGAAATGAGCTTTCAATTCAATTTTGAAATTGTGCCAAGGCTAACACTTTTATGCAGATAAGTCCCAGATGGAAATCAATCTTGCCATTACAAAGTAAATGTGAAAATGTCAGTTTGCCTAAAATGATAATGCAGTCTGGAGGTGTTAGTTGAAGTGAGAAATCTTGAGCTTATTCTTCATTTTTTTCAGTTGTTTTGCTTTTGCTAGCTATAAAGAATATTTTCTGCTACTCGTGTGTGGTTTTAATTTAGTATAACTTCAATACTAATGGTCTGTTTAAAAATTCTACATCATTCTTTAATCCAGATTAAATTCTAGTTGATCCTCCCGAATGGGAAAAAATGCCATTAACTTTACCTGTTTGTTAAAATATAGTACCAGCCTTTATTGAAGGAGTCTTTGTCATAACCATTTTGCCAGTGTCATCCATTTGCAGTGTAAAAAAGGTATGTTGCAATAGTAAAACAATTCAAAAAATTATTTTTCCATATCTAAACTTAAGCAATATTAAAAATAGTGGGTTTCCTGGCTAATCCATGTAATCGGTGTATACTACTCGTATAGTGTATAATTTAACTATCTATTGAAAAATGCATTTAATTTAGAAACTCAGAAATCTGTCTTTCCCTTGTCCAAAAGTGGGAACAGAAGTATTGTTTACCATCACTTACTAGGTAGCAGTGACGGTTAATGTGGGAAGTGGCAGTTTTGGCAGGAGTGGCAGCTCTGGTGGCATTTTTGGCCATTGTATGAGTGACAGTGCCACTGAGGGCACAGAGCTAGAAGATATAAAAAGAAGAATCTGGTGGTCACTGGCCGTTTATAGGTGGAGTATGAGAAGTTGTTTCTGTGTTTTAAGTTTCTATAAGTTGGGTTTTGCCGAGTGTTTTTTTGTCTTTCAGGAATAATTTAAGATTATTTATTTATACATTTGCTTCCTCCACTAGACCATAACCTTTTTGAGGGCAGTTATTTTTTTTCAGTCATTCATTCCATCAGTTTGTCAACGGATAAATTTAATTTATGCCTACCATGTGCAGGCACTGTTTTAAAATCTGAAGATGAACAGATAACTTTCGCTCTTGTGTGAGGAACATAGCACTATTAAGGAGTAGGCTGTATTATAGCATGCCAGATAGTATTACGTGCTGTGGAAAAAAAAATAAAGCGGGTAAGAGTCTTAGAGAGTGAGAGGATGACAGTTTAAAATAGGGTAGTCTGGTAAGTTCTCACTGAGAAGGTGGCATTTGAGCAAAGACTTGAAGGAGGTAAGAAAGGCAGCCTTGCAGATATCTGGGGGAAGAGCATCCCGGGTAGAAGGAGCAGCAAATGCAAAAACCCTGAGGAGAGCGCCTGTTTGAAGAACCCCAGGAACTTGTACATAGCAGGAGCAGACTGTGTAAGGGAACATTAGTTGGAAGTGTCTGTTTGTGTAGGGCGTCATTCTATTCTTGCTGCCTGGAATGTCCTTCCTTTCCATTGCCACGTGTACAAATTCAACCCCTTGTTCTAGGCCCAGCACAAACATCACCTAAACATTCCGTGAAGCCTTTGATCTTGCTCAAAGCCTCCTCCTGGTTTTTAGGATTTTTTTCATCTTTGTTATGACACAGTATTCTCGTTCACAGCCTATAATTCCTCGTGGCAGCCATCCTATAGAATACTTGAAGGAACGTATCAGATTTTAGGTATATTTTTGTCATTCTAAGCAGTCAACACTGAGTCTTGAACATAGAAAACTCTCTAACTCTTTGCTAAATGCATTTATTTAGAATCTCCTAGCTTGGGATAGAGTTGGGATTAGTTAACTTGCTGAGTTTCCTTCTATCTCTTAAAATGTAGTCCTTCACTAACTAGAGGTTTTAAGAATCTCTGCCTTTAGCATAAAAGTAATGATGGCATATGTGTTACTCAGCTGTTTCTGTTTTAAGGGGTCTCTAAGAAGTATATGTCCAATATGAATAAAAATATTGAGTTTAATTTATTAAACAATATCTAGAGGTGTGACTGAGCTAACAATTCCATATACTGGCAGGATGCTGAGGTTTGAGTCCAACAGTAATCGTTTAACACTGAGCAGTTTAAAAAATGTTTAACCATTTGCCAACAAGTTTATCCTACTGCACTTCATTTTCATTCCTCATTTATCTCCCTCAAATATAACAACTTACATATTCATCTCTGCCCTTTAACAGTGCACATTTCCATTTCATGCTGTAATAGATTGTTAGATTCGATTGTGGCTCCAAGCTGTTATATGTGAGAAATAGGAAGTTGCGCACCTGTTTTGCTAAACAGAAGTTTTGGTTCATTCTGCTAGAGTCAGACATTACGAATTCAAGTGTGGGCTGGGTGCCATGGCTCATGCCTGTAATCTCAGCACTTTGGGAGGCCAAGGCAGGCGGATCACCTGAGGTCAAGAGTTCAAGACCAGTGTGGCCAACATGGTGAAACCCCATCTCTACTAAAAATACAAAAATTAGCCAGGCATGGTAGCGCACGCCTATAAGTGCAGCTACTCGCTCGAGGCTGAGATAGGAGAATTGCTTGAACCTGGGGAGGTGGAGAATGCAGTGAGCTGAGATCGTGCCACTGCATTCCAGCCTGGGTGACAGAGTGAGACTCCATCTCAAAAAAAAAAAAAAAAAAAAAAAAAAAAAAAAAAAAAATTCAAGTCTGGACTCAAAATGCATCCCTTTTCGTTTTTGCCTTCTATATCCTTGGTCTATGACTGCACAAATTCAAATGTTTTGCTTGGTTTGTCTTTTTAAGTTGATACTTAGCTTCAG
The DNA here is from genome assembly GCF_000001405.40 of Homo sapiens. Lineage (NCBI taxonomy): Eukaryota > Metazoa > Chordata > Mammalia > Primates > Hominidae > Homo > Homo sapiens. The sequence continues at coordinate 115,845,995 of NC_000005.10, forward strand.
CGACTTGACAACAGTAACCTTTAGTCTTTTAATACTTACCTGACAGTATTTGTGCATTACTGTAAATAACTAATGAGACTTATATTTTATAAACTAAATATATTTTTACATAGCTATCAAACAAAAAAATCCCTTCGGTTGTGATTCCATAGTGTATCCTCTGGTGAATTACTTTTAAAAAATTTTTCTTTTTTTATAGAGAAAAGGTCTCACTATGTTGCTCAGGCTGGTCTTAACCTCCTGGCCTCAAACACTCCTCCAGCTTTGGCTTCCCAAAGTGCTGGGATGACAGATCTGAGCCACCATGCCTGGCCTGTGAATTACTTTTATAAAGTGGAAATGTCTTTCTTTTGTGTGAATTATCTTAGTTGTTTCTTCAGATATAAAATACTGTGTGTATGTATGCATGTGTGTGTACACACCACACACATATTAAGTGCAAGCAGGAAAAATTTCAAATTAACCTATATGAGTTGCCTCAATTTTTTTAATAAACTGTATTTAATTAAACTGTTAACCAAATGCAAGCCTTAGGAGGAACTCTAAGATTCTTCTTTCTCGTTTTTTTTTTTTTTTTTAAATCTTAACATAAAAATACAAAGTGTTGAAAGTATAGATAACTTCTTTTTTCTTTTAAAAATATCCCTTAAAAAGATCCATCCATGTTCACTCATGTCTTTTTTTAGTGACTATTAAGACGTTGTGGCAGATGGGATAATTAAACTTATGTCTGTGATCAAGATAGAATTATCAACACTCCTGAGTATGAGGGTGTTAACACATACTAACACACGGCATTTCAGCTTTTTGTTAAGAAGAAAATTCCATACGATTTGGTTTCCTTCCATATTAGTTATAATGCGTTTGTCTGCATAAATTGGGTTTTATGTAGCCTGACTCAAGTGCTTGGAAAGAACTATGTTAGGTACATTATAGGAAGTGCAGAGTAGTAGACCGATTCCAAAAGTATTTGATTCAGCAAATCAATGACTTTATTGTAGATCCAATTTCTTTCTCTTTCTCTGCTTTACTCATCACAAAATTACTATTATCCAAAGGCTGTTTTTCTCCTTTGGTAATCAGTTCAATTCAGAAAGAGACAACCATCTGTTTCTGCAGTCCTGGACTGTGTCTTTCCCTTCATTCTGGTTAGACCCACCCAAGACCAATATTCTTACCCTAATCAACATCCAACTTTGGATTGGAGCTGAAGATGAGAGTGAAAACGGGAATAAAATGGATATTCTGTTGGAAAGATGAAAGAAAGGAGTGGATGGTGGGTAGGCAAACAAGGGTCTGCTATTTCTTCTTCTAAACTTTTAAAAAAATATTTATTTTTATGGCCGGGTACAGTGGCTCATGCCTGTAATCCCAGCACGTTGGGAGGCCTAGATGGGAGGATTGTTTGAGCCCAGGAGTTCAAGACAAGCCTGGGCAACGTGGCAAAACCCTGTCTCTATGCCAAAAATACAAAAATTAGTGAGTCATGTTAGCACACACCTATAGTCTTAGCTGCTTAGGTGGCTGAGGTGAGAGGATCACTGAGCTCCGGAGATCAAGGCTGCAATGAGCTGAGATTGCGCCATTGCGCTCCAGCCTGGGTGACAGAGGAGACCCTGTCTCAACAAATTTAAAAAAATATATGTTTTTATTGAGGTATAGATGACAAAAAAAAATTACATATATTTACCGTGTACATGTTATTTTTGTATATGTATATATTGTGAAATGGGTAAATCAAGCTAACTAACATGTCTATCACCACTATTCCCTCTTTATTAGCTTTTAATATATATTAGTTTTCTGAAATTTTAGATTGCTTCTGAGGTTGTTAATATCAGGAATAGTTCCTTGTAATATGCAATACTGAACCTGTGTCACAATAGATCTTAATTTCAGGTTTTCCTTATATCAAAGTATCCTCGAAAAACCCAAATGCTTATACGTTCACAGTTTTTATGTGGAGTATGCTGGAAAACTTGCTTTTTAAAAATTAAGACTAAACCTTTTGAATATTTAATTGTAAAGGAGGAAATAAAGTCTTCAAAGTTAAAATGATTTTTGGTTATGAGGTAAGTGTTATAAATAGGACAATGTTATAGGTCATTTCATGGCTTTTCTAAAAGAAGGCCTTACGTGACGTACCTATATTATATTCTTTAGCAAAGTTGTTTTCAATTTTAAGTAAGTTTCTTTTTTTGTGACTGTGGAAAATTAAATATTAAGGCCACTAAGGTCATTCTTGATTTTACCACACACAGATAATTATTAACACTTAGTGTATTTCCCCCCGGTCTTTATTTTTCTTTTCAGAATGTCCCAGTGAATAGGATATACCTTTTAGACATTAATAACACAAATAAATGCTTTGAAGCTGATGATGGATTTATTAAACATTGTGGCTTTAAGATAACTGAATATGTTAATGTTCAGCCACTCTCTTGTTAAAATTTAAAAAAGACAGTATATGGTAATAGCACATTAATAATTTGCATGTCCTAAGAAATGTGTATATATCTTTCTTTTGTATAAAATTAAACTTACCTGTGTAACCTGAGGTTATCAGTGTCCTTGTCTTTTTCGTTCTGAAAGGAAATCTTTGCTAATTTTTGTTTGAAAGTCAAGAGTTCATTCTTACCTTTAGCACTTAGTCTTTTTTGTACCTGTGGATTATGGATTTTGTCACTGCTGTTTTATAATTCAAGGTGATTCTGAGTTGTTACCATCTAGAGGGCCCAGTCCCCTTCCAACTTCTTGTTGTATAAAACTGTCACATTAGGCTAACTAAACACATTTTTTCCTCACCCATCTGCCTTTTCAGCTTTCCTCTCATCAAATCCTTTGAAGTACAATATAGTTAAAACAGCTTTCTTTGCTGAAGAATCAAGCAACTCTTAGAAGGATATTGAAGTGAATAAAGGACAATTCTAGCTAATAACTGTTTTCTTAAGATTCCAAGTGGAGGAAGCCCTTGTAGAGTTAGGCCTCTGACTAGGCCTTCTAGAGATAGGCCTCTGGGAAGAGGGGTGGTCTTTCTGGATACTTTCTGATCTGTCTCTCCATTACACTCTTTCTCTTTTCCTGTCCATATTCTTTCAAGTATTTATTTGTTGTTTGTATGGCCCTATTCTAAGCACTAGTAATACAGTGATAAGTAAGACGGATGTCACCCTTGCCCTGTGGGTTTACATTCTGGTGATAGGAGATAGGCAGTAAATTATTTAAGATTGTAATTAGTCTGAAGACAAATGAAACAGTATAAGGGAATAAAGCTTGATGGAGGAAAGCCTATATTAGATAGGGTCATTGGGAATACCTCTTTGACGACCTGACATTTGAGAGGAAAACTGAATGAGATAAGAGAGGAAGAATATGAAAACAGTAAAGAAAAGAATGTTTCAGGCAGAAAGAAGTGCAGTGTCCCTCAAATGGGACCACACTTGATGTGTTCAGGAATAGCAAGAAGGCAAGCTGAGAAATCACGGGGAAGAGAGGCAGGAGATAAAGCTAAAGAGAACGATGGGGACAGATCATGCCTGTATGCCACACCATGCCCCTTCTTGACATAATTCAGTTTGATGACATCATGCCCAGCATGTTCTCCACAAGAGGAGATACTCCTCTTTGAATCACACTTGCATTTTGCCATTTAAACAGTGCCTCTGCAGAAGGGGCAGTGAGGCTCTCCTCTGATTGGTTACTTTCTTCTCTACCCAGTTATTGTTAGGCTCTGTAAAGAAGGTGTTGCTAGGCCAGTGAATGAAGGTAAAAGTCAGTGCATCAAAACCAGGCATGGTGTGTGCCTATAGTCCCAGCTACTTGGGAGGGTAAGGTGGGAGGATTGCCTGAGCCCAGGAGTTGAGGCTATGCTAGGCAACCATAGCAGGGCCCCTGTCTTCTAAAAAAAAAACAAAAACAAAGGAAACAAAAAACATGAGTGCTCCAGTTCTGTATAGCCTCTCTATCAATGAGACCTGTGATCAAGCTTTCGTAAGTCACCTGTGAAGTAACAGAACTCAAGAAGAAAACCATTTTTTTCTTAGCTTATTGTCTTAATTATATGTGAATAGAGTTTATGTGAAGCCCACTAGACCCACCTCTATTGTACTGAAAAGCATTTACATTTTTCCACTCTTGCAAGCCTGGTGTAATTACAAGAATCACTTGCTGTCAGTCACAGTTCTCTTTGTTACTCAGGAGGAAAGGGCTATCTTTTAATATTCCAGACCCACTGAATTGTTTTGATTACCTTGTGCTTACTGAGGAAGAGTACTAGTTGATTCTACCGCATACATATCCTATTTCCTGTCATTAATATATCTTAGTGTGACATGAAAGGGTTATAAAATAAATTTTATTGTAGTAAAAAATATATAACAAAATTTATCATTTTAACAGTTGCAAGTGTACAGTTTTGTGGCATGAAGTATATTCACATTGTTGTGTCACCATCACCACCCATCCATCTGTAGAACTTAGTCTTTCCCAACAGAAACTTCTTACACATTAAACACTAACTTCCTATTCTCCCCTTCTCCTAGTACCTGGCAAACACCATTCTACTTTGTGTCTCTATGAATTTGACTGCTCTAAAAACCTCATATAGGAGGAATCATAGAATTTTTGTGTTTTGGAAACTGGCTTTTCTTTTAGCACGTCTTCGAAGTTCACTCATGTTATGTAGCATGTATCAAAATTTCCGTAATTTTTAAGGCGGAATAATATTTCATTGTATGTGTGTACATACCATCGACCTAAAAGGAAGAGGCTGAAGCACAAAATAGGATTCAAAGAGTTTACTTGAGCCAAAATGAGAACAGTTGCCTGGGAGACTCAGACTCAAGTATCCTTGGATATGAGCTCCCTTTGGCCATTGTTACAAGCAGGTTTGTGAAGGCATTAAATAAAGGGGACATGGAGTGGGCTGATACTAAGTTGTCTGTCAGGAATTCTCACTAGTTTATAGAAATAACTTTGGTTAATGATTGACTAACATTGTTGAGATGCAGGGAGTAGTTTATAGTGTGTGGTGCAGCATTATTAGGTTATTTTCTAGTTACTTGTGGCAGTATAAAGCAGTTTCAATAGATAAATATTTCTCATAGCTCAAAGGAGAGAAGTAGGATGTGATTGCTGTCACATTTTAATGCCTTTCTGGGCCAGATCATTTAAAAGGACTTGCATTCCTCAGATAAAAGTTTCTTTCTTGATGCCGTATTTTGTTTATCCGTTTGTCAGTGGAAACTTGGGTTGCTTCCATCCTTTGGCTATTATGAATAATGCTGTGAACATAGATGTACTGATATCTGTTTGAGTGCCTGCTTTTACTTTTTATAGGTACATACCCAGAAGTGGAATTGTTAGATTATATGGTAATTTTATGTTTTGCTTTTTTGTGGGGAAGCGGCACATCATTTTCCACAGTGGCTGTACCATTTTACATTCCCACCAGCAATGCACAAAGGTTCTAGTTTCTCTACATCCACGTTATTTTTTGTTTTTTGAAAATAGCCATCTTAATGTTTATGAAGTGGTGCCTCATTATGGTTTTGATTTGCATTTCTTTAGTGACTAGTGCTGTTGTGGGTCTGTTTGTGTGTTTATTGACCATTTGTATGTCTTTGGAAAAATATCTATTTGAGTCTTTTGCCCATTTTAATATTCAGTTGTTTGTTTTTGTTGTTAAGTTGTAGGAGTTTTAAAAATATATTCTAGATATCAGTCTCCTGTTGTATATATGATTTGCAAATATTTTCTCTGATTCTGTGGTTGCCTTTTTACTCTGTTGATAGTGTCCTTTGATACACACAACTGTTTAATGAGATTTAACTTACGTTTTTGTTGTTGTTGTTGTTGTTGTTGCTGGTGCTTGCTTTTGGTATCATACCCAGAAAATATTTTTTTAATTACTATATAATAGTACATTGTATAGTATACTATAATTTAACCAATCAATGTGGACTTCAATTTTGAGTAAGGTTTTTTGATGAGATTAAATAAGAGAATGGTTGTGGAGCTTGACATACAAAGACTTAGTAACTGCTGTGTAAATAATAATGATTACTTTTATTACTGCTTGTTACTTTCTACTTCTAAGTGGAAGATCATGTAGTCAGTCATAGGACTATAGAACACACCAGAGATTGTTCTCAAATACTCTTTGTGTTTTCTCAGAATGAATTATCTCTTTTATTTTATTTTTTTTCCAAAAACCCCAGTGTTTAAATTATATGGGCCCTGTTTTGGTAAAAGGCAAAAGGTTTGTAAGATCTGAAGAGAAACCAGAGTATGTGGGCCCTGTTTTGGAATGAACTTGCTGCTTATAAAATGGAAAGTCCTCAAACACTCTTCCACAGAAAAGTTCTGTAAGAAGACTTTTATAGGAGAAAGTATGGCTGTAAAAGTTGCCCCAGCTTCTTTCATTTTCTCTGAGAAATTAGCTAACCTTTTAAAAAAAATCTTAATTAAAATATAGCTCTCACATGCTATAAGATTCACCCATTTAAAGTATATAATACAGTGGCTTCTAGAATTATATCATGGTTGTGCAACCATCGCCACAATCTAAGTTTAGATCATTTTTGTCAAACTAAATGAAATTTAGTAACTATTAGCAGTCACTTTTCAATCCCCACTCCCCACTGTCCCTGGCAACCACTAATCTGTTTTGTTTCCTTAGATTTTTCTATTCTGAACATTCTATATAAATGGAATCATGAAATATTACAGTCTTGTGATTGGCTTCTTTTACTTTACATGATGCTTTCAGGATTTGCCTATGTTGTAGCATATATTAATATTTCATTACTTTTTATAGCTAAATAATATTTTAGTATGGGGAAATATATATACACTGTATCTTGTTTGTCCATTTATCAATTGATGGACATCTGGGTTGTTTCCACTTTTTGGTTACTATGAATAATGGTGCTATGAACATTCATGTATGAATTTTTCTGTGACCATATATTCTCATTTCTCTAGGGTATATAACTGGGAGTAAAATTGCCAAATCATATGGTAAGAATATGTTTAATTATTTGAAGAAATGCCAGACTATATTCTAAAGTGACTGTACCATTTTACATTCCCACCAACAATGTCTGAGGGCTCCAGTTTCTTCATATCCTAACCAACTCTTGTTATTGTTGGTTATTTTTATTCTAGCTGTCCTGATGGGTATCAAGTAGTATCTTATTGTGATTTTCACTTACATTTTCCTGATGACAGATGATGTTGAACATCTCTTCATGTGATTATCATCCATTTACATACCTTTTTGAAAGAAATATATATTCAAATCCTTTGCCTGTTTTTAAGTTGTCTTTTTATTATTGACTTGTAAGAGTTCTTAATATACTCTAAGTGCAGATCCTTTGTCAGGTATATGATGTGCATGTATCTCCTCCCATTCCATAGGTTGTCTTTTTACTTTCTTGCTGCTATCACTTGTAGCACAGTGGTTTTGAATTTTGATATCATCTAGTTTATCTCTTTTTTTCTTCACTTGAGCTTTTGGTATCCTATCTAAAAAATCTTTGCCTACTCCAAGGTCAAAATCTTGTAACTGTGTTTCCTTTCAAGAGTTTAGTAGCCTTAATTCTTATACCTAGGTCTGTGGTCCATTTCAGGTTAGTTTTGTGTATGGTGTGAGGTGGGGATCCAGTTTTATTCTTTTACATGTGGATATTTAGTTGTTTGAGCACCATTTGTTGATTATTCTTTCCCTATTGAATTGCCTTGGTACTTTACTCCAAGGTTTCCTCCCAGATTTTATCTTGTTCTTGGAGTTCTTAGACCTTCCAGCTACCACCATGGTTGACTCTCTAAATATTTCAAACTCAGTCTGTCACCTTCTCAGCTTTTTGTTATTTCAGTAATAGAGTGTTTGCCATTGAAATTGGGAAATATTTTAATATGTGTCTTTGTTCATTTTTTGCTTCTATAACAGAATACTTGAGACTCAGTAATTTATAGTGAACAGAAATTTATTTGGTTCATGGTTCTGGAGGCTGGGAAGTCCAAGGTCAAGGAGCCACGTGTGGTGAGGGCCTTCCTGCTGCATCATAACATGGTGAAAGGCATCACATGGTATGCACACGTGGGCAAGTGTGGGAGAAAACTTGCTTTGATAACCCACTCCTGTAATAATGACCTTCATTCATTCATGAGAGCAGAGCCCTCATGACCTTATCACCTTTTAAAGGTCTTACGTTTTAACACTGTTGCGTTGGAGATTAAATTTCCAACACATGAACTTTGGGGGAGACATTCAAACCAAAGCAGAATGGTTGATGGTGGTTTAGGGCGTTAATTATACCTGCCATTTATTGAGTACTTTTTTGTGCATGCTAAGCATTTTTTATACATTGTAAGAGAAAATAGGAGAGAATTCTTCTCTAAAGAAATTTAATGAGATATCTTGGAGAGTTCTAATTAAGTTACTATTGTAGGTGCCCCAGTCTCTTCTTGTTTGGGATTTGAGGATACTGCTATCCTGATTGCTGGTTCTTTGCACACTCTGGCTGAAGTTAGGCCTGCCCATGTACACAGAGTCTCCAGCCAGACTTCTTAGGAGAGGCCTTGGCAGAAAACACACTAACTGAATTTTCTTTGCTAGGGTCTTCTCTTTTTCATGATTCCTAAATGTTTGGAGTGCTCTGAGGCTTTGTCCTCAGATATCTCTTTTTTTTTTTTTAAGTGCAACATAAACTATTATTATTCTTCATATATTTTCTTGATTCTGTGATTTTGTCCACATTTTACTTCTGCCCTTCATGTAACTTCATACTCCCCATTCTCTATATTTTTGAATTCTACCTATTCTTTAATGCCCTTCCTCAGTATTTGTCACTTTTCTTTGAAGATGACAGTCTTGCTGCTCAAAATCATTGTTCCTCTTGACTTCTTACAGTATGTTATTTGTACTACTCTTATGTCAGAAATCGCCCTCTACCTTTTATTATAAAGTTATTTTCTATATATGTATGCTTATATATGTGTGTGTGTGTATGTATATATTTTATATCTATCTATCTATCTATCTATCTATCTATCTATCTATCTATCTCTGTCTCTGTCACCCAGGCTGGAGTGCAGTGGTGCAATCTCGGCTCACTGCAACCTCCACCTCCTGGGTTCAAGCGATTCTCCTGCCTCAGCCTCCTGAGTAGCTGGGACTACAGGCATACACCACCATGCCTCACCACTTTTTTTGTATTTTTAGTAGAGATGGGGTTTCACCATGTTGATCAGGCTGGTTTTGAACTCCTGACCTCAAATGATCTGCCTGCGTTGGCCTCCCAGAGTGCTGGAATTACAGGCGTGAGCCACCGTGCCTAGTCCTATTTTAATATTTTTATTCAACCAGGGCCTCGCTCAGCCACCTAGGCTGGAGTCCGGTGGTATATCACGGCTCACTGCAGCCTTGATCTCCCTGGGCTCAGGTGATCCTCTAACCTCAGCCTCCTGAGTAACTGGGACTACAGGCATGCATCACCATGCCCAGCTAATTTTTGTATTTTTTGTAGAGATGGGGTTTCACCATGTTGCCCAGGCTTGTCTGGAACTCCTGGCTTCAGGTGATCCTCCCACCTTGGCCTCCCAAAGTGCTGGGATTACAGGCTTGAGCCACTGCACCCAGTTGATTATGAGGAATTCGGTTTCTTTTTTTGAAATATAAAAAAGGCAAAATACAAAACTATAAATTCAAAATAATGATATCTATATTTTACTTCTTGTATTAGATCATAAGCTGTTTGAGAAAAGGATCTATTTGTCTTTGATCTTGGTAATCCTCTGTATTTTAACATTTACCAGAGTGAATGAATGCATTTTAAGAAAATACTTTCCTAAATTTTTAAAAGAATGATGAGGATGGGAGATGACATTGACTATGATTAGAGGGAAGTTTTAAAGTTGCCTGTGTGATATATGCATAAGGACAGGAGGGAAACGTAGGAAAAGAGAAAATATTGTTAGTGGGTTTCTGTTTTTTTTAAAGTTTATTTTTGTTTTTCATTACTACATTAAGAAATATTAAAATAATAAAAGTTTGTGCCCTTTTGTAACTGTAGTTGTCTTTAGACTGATGTAATCTAGGAGTTGTGACCAACTGAAATATAGCTCTTTTGACTTCGGTTGTGAAACTATAGTGTTAGGAAATCTGATCAGCCTGAAGCAAGTTCTAGGCTCCTTAATGAAAGCTGCTAAGTTAAATAAGGAAAATAGTTTTATGTCAGCAGATACTTATTTAATTTTAGCTTAGCCTTTGGATGTTTGATTAAAATTTTAAGGCATTCTTTCCTATATTGTTTTCTTTTTTCTTCATTTTTAATTGATATAATAACTGTGCATATTTATGGGGTACAGTGTGATGTTTTGATCTATGTATACATTATAAAAGGATCCAATCAAGCTAGTTAATACATCCAGCATCTTTTTTTTTTTTTTTCTAGAGATAGCATCTTGCCCTGTCTCCCAGGCTGGAATGCCCTGATGCCCAGGCTGATGGGCAGTGGTGTGATCATTAGCTCACTGCAGCCTCAACCTCCAGGGCTCAAGGGCCTCAAGGGATACTTTTGGCTCAGCCTCCTTGGTAGCCAGGACTACAGGTGCCCACCACCATGCTCAACTAAGTTTTTAAAACGTTGTTGTTGTTGTTTAGATGGGGTCTCACTTTGTAGCCCAGGCTGGTATGAAATTCCTGGCTTCAAGCAATCCTCCGGCCTCGGCCTCCCAAAGTGCTGGGATTACAAACGTGAGCCACTGCACCTAGCAACGTATCTATAATCTCACCAACTTATTATTTCTTTGTGGGGAGAATGTTAAAAATACATTCTTCTGGAAGTTTTAAAATATATATTATTATTAACTGTGGTCACCATGCAGTTCAGTAGATCACAAAAACTTATTCCTCCAGTCTGACTGAAACTTTGTGCCCTTTGATCAACATTTTTGCTTTCCCCGTTCCTCCTTTTATTCCCACCACCAGCCGCTGGTAACCACCGCTACTGATTTTCTTAGTTGAGTATTGCCAGCATTCTAAGAAGATTCCAAGTGGCAGCAGTTGAAGTTCCTATGAGAAATTCTTTCACTATCAATGTAATGAAACATAGTTAAAGGTTAGCACAGTTGACCTCTTCCTTGATAAGCAGTAATATAATACAGAAAGATAACATTCCTTAAAAGAAAACTTCCTATGAGATTTTATTGTCCTTAGAATTGTAGAGCTGACTTTTCAGATAAGGCCCAGAGGTAGTACTTAAAAATAAGTCAGTGTTAATGCATGCTTATTATATGCCAGATATCATTCTACAAGTATGTACACGTATGTATAAAGTAAGTGTATGAACTCAGTTCTCACAACACCACCATGAGGTAGATATTGTTGCATTCTCCATGCTACAAATGAGGAAAACTCAGGCACAGAGAGGATAAGTAACTTGCTCAAAGTCACAGAGTTAACAAAGAGTACATCCAGGAATAAACCCATATATCTGGTTGCAGATTATTTACTCTCCTCCTTTCCTTCTTTTAGTTTGTTTCTTCAAGTTATACGTACATATTGGTTAAAGAATCTAATAGTTTCATAAGGTTTGTTATGAAAAATAACATTTCATTTCTCCCTTTCCACAAGTAACTATTTTTAGCTGCTGATTTCAGTGTTTATGTACGTGTCTAAATAATGTACTTGTTTTACTGCCTGATTTATTACTTGTAGACATGATTTATTCTGCTATTAAAAATGATTATTTGGCTGTCCTCTCCTCCACAACTAATTCCCAGTCCCCTCATAGTTATTTCATAATTTTGGTTAGATCAGTGTTTGATGTTTACGTTAATTTATTATGTAAACACTATCTTCAGCTGAGCCATGTTGTAAACTGTACTGTTTTTTCTTTCCTGACACTTTTTCTTCAAAGGTTGTAATTACCTTTTCATTTGATGTAGTTTTTAATGCACTTATCACTAGTTTACATCTTTGCCAGTTGTCTGAATCATACACATCTTTTCTCAGTTTTAGGTTCTTAAATAAATCTCTTCTGGAGCCTTTTGACTAGGACCAATCCAGACCAGTTGTATGGCAGTCATGCTGGGATCTTTATTATTTTAGGGGATTCCTTTTGCTTGTTTCCTGTGTTGGACCTCCTATTGCTTCATTTCTTTGTTTACTATCCTGCCATGGTGGAGCCAGTAATACCCTCCAGCAATTTCTTGAGAAAAAGGTCATGGGAAGTAGATTTTTTGTGATCTGGCATGCTGCCCAAAAATTTTTATTATGACTCCACATTGACTGCATATAAAATTTTAGGTTAGAATTTTTTCTCAGAACTTTGATTATATGCTTCATCACCTTTTAGTTTCCAGTGTTGCTATTTAAAAGTCTGAAGCAGTTCTGATTACTTACCTTTGATGTGTGATCATTTATACCTTCCAAAAAGTTGTAGATTCCTGTTTTTTGGGCAGAGTTTCTACAGTTTCACAGACCCTTGCCATTGGTCTGTTTTCATTAGTTGTGCTGGGTACTTGATGGGTCCTTTGGTCGTAGAAACTTTTGACCCCTGCTGGAAACATTTCTTCATTTTCTGTTCTCGAGTCTCCTTTTTTCAGTTTTTCTGAATTTCTTTGGACTCTTCTACGTATCTTATTCTTTCTCTTTCATTTTCTATCTTTGTGCCCTTTGGGTCAATTTCCCACCTTTATTCTCCAGTTTTCTACTGAATTTTTAAAATTTCTCCATATATTTTAAATTCCCATGAGCTTCTTTATTTCTGAATTTCACTCTTTTATAATATACTGTTATTTTATAGTTGTATTATCTTTTCTTACTTCTCTTATATTAATGATATATATTTTTAAATTTTCTTCTTTTTACTTGGTTTGTTTCCTCTGAGTTGCTTTTTCCCCTATTTTATGTTTAACTTTTTAAAAAAATTTATTTATTTTTTATTTTTTATTTTTTATTATACTTTAAATTCTGGGATACATGTGCAGAATGGGCAGGTTTGTTACATAGGTATACAAGTGCCATGGTGGTTTGCTGCACCTATATTAGAGTTGTCTTCAGCTGTCCAATAATCCTTGACTGACTGCTCCTTTCTAAGGATAGGGTACTGAAAGCTGATTGGAAGCTCTCAATCCATGATTAGAGGTTGCCTGTGCGATCTTTACTTGAGGTAATCAAGCTAGGCAGTTTAGGTAGTGTAGGAATTGGAATTGTGACTACAACTCCCCAAATCGTCATGACTTAACGTAATACAAGTTTGTTTCTCACTTGGATAAAGCCCAGCGTTGGTGTTCTTGGTCAACTAGAACCTTTCATGTGGGCCTTTTTTTATCATTCTTGAGAAGGGGCCAAAGGAACTTCTACATCTAGTTAGCATGGAAGATTTTGCAGGAATTTTTATGAGTGAGGCTTGGGTAGTATATTTTTAACAACCTGATCATCTGGGAGGAAAAAGCTCTGATTTATAGCATTTGCTGATCTTTATGGTATAAATACTTCATCATGACCAATTTCAGGCTACTGACATGATGTCACCAAATGCAGAATTAGGAAGAGATACACCCAGTAGGCTTTCATGCCAGCTCTGGCATACCACTGTAACTACTAGCCACATTCCACTGGCCAGAACTGTGTTGTATGGCTCCACCTAAATTCAAGGGAGGGTGAAATTGTGTGCCCTGGAAGTAAGGGAACTAGATTTTAGTGAACAGCTAACAGTTTTCTGTCATAGTTGGTATCTCTATTATCATTATCTTTAGATCTAGTTAGAGTTCCTACAGAGTTATGTTCCAATCTCCTGCCTAGACGGTGAAGAAGGCCTGCCTCTAGGTATTCTGAGAACTGATTAGACAGGATCTGGTGGTATCTGTACATTTACCTAATCCCCATGTTTTCAGTGTGGTCCCTGAATTTATTTTATGTTACTGTAACAAATTACCACAGACTTAGTGGCTTAAAACAACCCAAACTTATCGTTGTACGGTTCTGTAGGTAAGAAGTCAGATGTGGGTTTTACTGGACTAAAATCAAGGTATTGGTATAGCTGCATCCCTTTCTGGAGGCTCTGGGAGAGAATCTATGTTCTTGTCTTTTCTAGCTCCTAGAGGCCACCCTCATTCCTTGCTCATGGCTTCCATTCTCCATGTTCATAGCCAGCGGCATAGCAGTATATCTGTGATTCTTTTTCTCTAGTCACATCTCCCTCTGACCACAGCCCAGGAAAGATTCTCAGATTTTAAAGTGCCATGCGATGCAATTAGCTCCACCTATATAATCTGGGATAATATCTTCATCTCAGAGTCCTTAATCACATCTGCAAAGGCATTTGTCATGTTAACCACACATATTTACAGGTTCCAGGGATTAGGATGTTGTCATTTTTTGGTGGGCCGTTTTTCTGGCTACCACAGTACCCCTTGCTCTCCGAAGACCCTCCCTTTGATCTATTCCTAGTAATAAAATTATGAACTTTTGTTGGGGATGGTAGTGGGAATTTAGTGATCCTTCTGCTTTTCAAACAAACTTTCCATCCTTATTTTACAGTACTCTCTTTATCTTCACTTCCAGACATATGTAAAAGCACCAATTCATGAGGTTTTTGCCTAGTTTGTGACACAAATTGAGTTAGTTTTATGATTTCCCTCTCACCAATTTAGGATTAAATTTTCTGAGAATACTTTAACACTTATTTAAACACTTTCAAGATTTTGTTGTTGTTGTCTTCCTTTCCCATTCTCCTCATCCTTGTGTGTTTATGCCTTTACCAAAAAAGCCCTTTAATATTGTCTTAGCTGGGGTTTGGGCAGGCAACAAAGGCAGATGTGTGTTTAATTTACCATCTTAATTAGAACACAGCTTGCACTTTTAACTTCTGTACCATACTGCCTTAACTTTATTGCCTTTTTTATGTGTAAGGTAACCCAGATTTTGGATAATATAAATGGTTGTGGATCCTGTCTTCTAGATTACAAATTTATTTATTCAATACGCTTTTATTGGCTACTCTACATCAGCCACTTTGCTGAGCATTTCAAATACAAAGCTCAGGTTCCGGTGTTAGAATTCAGACTACTACAAAGGAAATTTGAGCACATTGTTATAAGTGTATGATAGGAATAGAAACAATACTAAGGAACCATGGAGAAAAAAGGGACTAATTTTAATTGAGAGTCAGGAAAGACTTCATAGAAGTCATAATGTTCTAGCTGTGTCTTAGAAAGGGTGTTGCTAGAGAATGGAGTGTGGAAGTTGTTCCCAGACGGAAGTGGGAAAATGTGAAGAAGGTGAATGGTAAGAAGTTCAATGTGGCTGGAGCAGATCATAAAGGGGAGAAGAAAGAGATGATGAAACTTCAGGGATTAGTCTGGCTTAGATTTTGGAGAACGTTTTATGGCATGGTAGGGAGTTTGTATTTAGGTCAGATAAAAACTAGAGATCTTTAAGAAAGGAAGTAACACGGCTTGCACATCTTTGGTTAAATTTATTTCTAAGTTTTTTATTTGTTTAATTTCTTGTTTGGGATGATATTGTGAATGGATTTTAAAAAGTTATTATTAAAAAAATTTTTTTTGAGGCAGGGTCTTGCTCTGTCATCCAGACTGGATTGTGGTGGCATGATCTTGGCTCACTGTAACCTCCACCTCCCAGGCTCAAGCAATCCTCCTACCTCAGCCTCCCAAGTAGCTGGGACTACAGACATGCACTACCATGCCTGGGTAATTTTTTGTAGAGACAGGGTTTTGCCATGTTGACCAGGCTGGTCTTAAACTTCTAGACTCAAGAGATCATCCCACCTCAGCCTCCCAAAGTGTTGGGATTACAGACGTGAGTCACTGAACCAGGCCAAAATTTTCTTTTCTTTTCTTTTTTTTTTTTTTTTTTTGAGATGGGGTCTCGCTATGTTGCCCAGGCTGATCTTGAACTTCTGGGCTCAAGTGATGATCCCCTTCAGCCTCCCAAAGTGCTGAGATTATAGGTGTGAGCCACTGTGCCCAACTCAGAATCATTCATATTTAAGGGCGTGGTTCGGTTCTTTAACTTACTTTTTATAGGATTCCATTGTACAATTCCATTCCGTAATTATCCTTCTGTGACTGGTGGACATTTGGGTCATTTTCAACTTTTCTTATTACAAACAGCGCTTTTATGAACATTCTTCTGTTTGTCTCCTGGTACAGAGGTTAAGAGATTTTTTTTATGTACAGTCAACTCTTGCAAGGGTCTACTTACACACAGCTTTTTTTCAGTAAGTTTATTGGGAAGTTTTTTGGAGATTTTTGACAAATTGAAAAAACTTGCCAATTGTGTAGCCTAGAAATATAAAAAAAAATTAAAAACTTTGGAGATATGTTATCAATGCATAAAACACAGTAGATACTAGTTTATTTTATCATTTACTACCATAAAATATATACAAATCCATTGTAAAAAGTTAAAATGTATCAAAATTTATGCAAACACGTAGAGACTGGACGTGGTGCTATTCTCAGTACGTGGTGCTACTCTCAGTGGAGAGAACTGTAAACAAATGTAAAGATGCAGTATTAAATTATAACTGTATAAAATTAACTGTAGTTTGTACTGTACTACTGTAATAATTCCAACATTCTGTTGCTATTGTGGTAAATTCAGGTGTTTTGAGAATCTGCTTAAAATGCTGTGTGATGCTAATCATCTCCTGGTGAGCAATTTGTCTCTCTAGTAAATTGCACATCACAGTAAAAAGTGCTTTCTCCCAATTCCTGTGTAATTTGTTATCATGTTTGTTGTAATATCATAAACCTTGAATAACACTATGGGAGTCATATGAAGTGCTACTAGTGATGTTGGAAGTGCTCCCAAGCAGCAGAGAAATATCATGACGCTACAAGAAAAAGTTGAATTGCTTGTTATGTACCTTAGATAGAGGTCTGTGGCTGTGGTTGCCCAGTATTCAATGAATCCAGCAAAAGGACTATTGTAAAGAAAATAAAATTCATGGTCAGGCACGGTGGCTCATGCCTGTAATCCCAGCACTTTGGGAGGCCAAGGCAGGTGGATCACTTGAGGTCAGGAGTTCGAGACCAGCCTGGCCAATATGGCAAAACCCCTTTTCTACTACAAGTACAAAAATTATGGCTGGGCGTGGTGGCTCCCATCTGTAATCCTAGCACTTTGGGAGACCGAGGCGGGTGGATCACCTCGGTCGAGTTCAAGACCAGCCTGGCCAATATGGTGAAACCTCGTCTCTACTAAAAATACAAAAATTAGCTGGGCATGGTGGTGGGCGCCTGTAATCCCAGCTACTTGGGAGGCTGAGGCAGGAGAATCGCTTGAACCCAGGAGGCGGAGGTTGCAGTGAGCGAGATCATGCCATTGCACTCCAGCCTGGGCAACAGAGCAAAAACTATCTCGAAAAAAAATAAAAATAAAAATACAAAAATTAGCTGGGCATGGTGGCGGGAACCTGTAATCCCAGCTACTCGGGAGGCTGAGGCAGGAGAATTGCTTGAACCCTGGAGGTGGGTTGCAGTGAGTCAAAATTGCACCACTGCACTCCAGCCTGGGCAACAGAGGGAGACTCCATCTCAAAAAAAAGAAAAGAAAAAGAAAATTCATGAATCTGTAGCTATAGCTATGCCAGTGTGTGAGAAAACTTTGCACCTTTTGCAAAATCCCTTTTTACGTCGTATTGAAAATCCAGCTCTTATGTGGGCACAGGAATGCTATAAGAAAGGCATATCTATAGAATATGATTTGAGAAAAAATGAAGTCATTATATGATAACATAAAGCATAAGGAAGGTAAAGGATCTAAAGCTGGAAAATTTAATGCCAGCAAAGGATGGTTTGATGCTTATAGAAAGAGGTTTGAGTTTAAAAATGTCAAGATGACAGGAGAAGCCAGCTGTTGCTGACCAAGAGGTAGCAGACGAGTTCCCAGGCACCATTAAGAAAACCATTGCAGAGAAAAGATGTCTGCCTGAACAGATTTTTAATGCAGACGAAAGTGCCTTATTCTGGAAAAAGAAAAAAATCTACCACAAAAGATATTTTTTAGTAAGGAAGAGGAACAAGCACCAGGATTTAAAGTTGGAAGGGATAGGCTAACTCTACTGTTTTGTGCAAATGCATTCAGGTTTATGATGAGGACTATCTTTATCTATAAAGCTGCTAATCCCTGAGCCTTGAAGGGAAAAGATAAACACCAGCTGCTAGTCTCTTGGTTCTATAAGAAGGAGTGGATGAGAACCCCTTTTCTGGATTGAGTCCATAGATACTTTGTTCCTGAAGCTAGGAAATTCCTTGCTAGTAAGTGACTGCCTTTTAAAGTTTTTTTGATATTGGACAATCCCCCTGGCATCCCAGAACCCCATGAGTTCAACACCAAAGGCATTGAAGTGGTCACCTTGCCCCCAGTCACAAAGTTTGTAATTCAGCCTAAAGATCAGGGTCATAAGGACCTTTAGGGCTCATTACACTTGGTATTTATGGAAAGGATTTTCAACACTATGCAAGAGAATCTTAATAGAATATCATGCAAGTCTGGAAGGGTGACATCATTAAAGATGTCATTGTTGTTATAGAAAAAGCTGTGAAAGCCATGAGGCCTGAAACAGTGCATTCCTGCTGAAGAAAACCGTGTCTATATGTTGAGCATGACTTCACAGGATTTATGACACAACCAATCAAAGAAATCATGGAAGAGATTGTGAATGTAGCAAAAAAGGTGGGAGAATGAAGGGTTTCAAGATAAGGGTTTCAGAGAAATCTAAGAGCGCATAGCACAACAGAGTAATTAGCAGAACACATTTTGATGGAGATGAGTGCTTCTGAACAATGCCAGATGATAAGGAAGTAGACTTAGAAGAAGCAGCGCCAGAAAACAAATTGACATTAGACAATCTGGCAGAAGAGTTCCAGTTATTCAAGACTGCTTTGACTTCTTTTAATGACATGGACCCTTCTGTAATATGATGCTAAAGCTAAAGCAGACAGTGGAACAAGGATTAGTACTGTATAGAAACATTTTTAGAGAAATGAAAAAGCAAAACGGCAGACAGAAATTACTGTGTATTTCCATAAAGTTATATCAAGTATGCCTGCCTCTCCAGCCTCCCCATCCACTACCTCCACCTTTTCTGCCTTTGCCATACTTAAGACAACAAAACAAACACCTCTCCTCGTCCTCTGCTTCTTCAGCCTACTTAACATGAAGACAAAGAGGAAGCCTTTTTGATGATCTGTTTCCACTCAGTGAATAGTAAATATATTTTCTCTTATGATTTTCTTAATAACATTTTCTTTTCTCTAGCTTACTTTAAGAATTGTTAAGAGAAAAAGTGTAGTGGAGTTAACATTTTTGGGGAGTGAAAACTTATGCATAGATTTCCAAATGCATGGGGGATCAGCATCCCTAACTGCCACATTGTTCAAGGGTCAACTGTCTATGTAATTGCCAATGTGCAATTGTTTTTGATCTTCAAAAACTGGTTTCATATGGTTTAGATTAGTATCTAGGAGAGAAAGTGCTGGTTAATAAAACTGTTTCCCCAAGTGATTATATGTTTACCCTCCCACTGGTGAGATGAGAGTTTCTTTGGCTCTACATCGTTGTCAACATTTTTTACTATCATATTTTTATACTTTTGCTGATATGGTACATGTGGAGCTATCTCATTGTTTTAATTTGTATTTCACTTAATTACTACTGCGATTTAGTATCTTTTCATTTCTTTGTGGACCATTCACATCCTTTCCTGTGAAATTGGTGTTCATGATTTTGGTCAGTCTTCTATTGCAGTGTTTAGGAAGCTTACTCTTGTTTTGTTTTGTTTGAGATAGAATCTCACTCTGTCGCCAGGCTGGAGTGCAGTGGCGCGATCTCAGCTCACTGTAATCTCTGCCTCCTGGGTTCAAGCGATTCTCCTGCTTCAGCCTCCCGAGTAGCTGGGATTACAGGCACGTGCCACCACACCCAGCTATTTTTGTATTTTTAGTAGAGACGGGGTTTCACTGTGTTGGCCAGGATGGTCTCGATCTCCTGACCTTGTGATCCACCCATCTCGGCCTCTCAGAGTGCTGGGATTACAGGCATGAGCCACTGTGCCCGGCCAGGACGCTGACTCTTACTGGAATATGAATTGCTTGGTCCAGGTTAATAAATGTTTATTGACCCAATCCTTGGCTTTAGATCGGCTTATATAAAGATGAGTAAGATGGATGGACTCTTACCTCAGTCTATATTTAGTAAAGGTTAAACTTAATTGGAAGCTCCATAGTTCTATTTCTTTCCTCCATTCAAATATAGATTAGCTACACTATTTATATCTTTACCTTTCTGATTCAGTTTACTCATTTGTAAGATAATCAGCTTTGACTAGTTAATATCTAGTTTCCCTTTTACCAGTGTATGTAATTCATCTAATATTTTTTCTTGTTGGTTTTTGAAACTTAGAAATGTGTTACTTTTATTATAGTGGTAAATATAAATAATTGGGTTTTTTTTCTTTTTCATCAAAAAATACTGGGTTTTGCTTCTGTAAGGTATAATTTAAGTCACTTCTCCAAGGACCCCTCTCTTAGATGGATTTCCCAGACAGATATTGCTACCTTTGATTTTAAAAATTCTTAAAATGCTATTAAACCTATACACTCCATCCTAATATATATGAATTATTCTTCCTCAGAGTGAAGATACACAACAGCAAATCATCAGGGAGACTTTCCATTTGGTATCTAAGAGAGATGAAAATGTTTGTAATTTCCTAGAAGGAGGATTGTAAGTAAAGCATTTCATAGACATTTCTAAGTTTTGACTATGTGATTAAAATATATACTGTTTAATCAGTTTATGGTAAAAGTTTTCTACTTTTGATTAATTGGATTAGGTGAATTAATTGCCACCTATGTTAGCTATAAATCTAACTTAAAGAATTATTTTTAAAAGATATGCAATCTTTTTTCCTCTTAAAAATTTTGGAAGGGAATTTTATATAAAGGTAATATATTAAATCGTAAAAATTCCAACATTACAGGGAAGTATAAAATGTAAAATAAGAATCTCTCAACCTTAGTCCTTCTACCCAATTTCTTGTGTATCCTTCTAGAAAATAGTTTGTATTGACTAACATATAAAGTATGTTATATGTGTTGACTAACCTACAACCTTAAAATTTTTATTTATGAGATCACACTTTGTATGCTCATTTGCATGTTGCTGGTTCTCAGTATTTTCAAAAGCTTTGCATAGAAACACATCTAGGACAAGCTTATTCTTTTTAATGACTACAGAGTATTCCTTTTTGTGAATGTTCATAAAAATTAGATTACATTCTTTATTTTACTGTTACAAGACTGAAGTCTGTTTTTCAAATATACCTAATTCAGCTAATCAATTTTT